>NC_000016.10:57895833-58198863 GCF_000001405.40 Homo sapiens
TATCACGAAGGTCACAAATGAGCCACCTTGAAAAAGTGCCCACTGGCCAAACTGGACTAATTTGAGCATCAAAATAATGATTGTTAACAGAGTATTCATGGAATCAAGTAAATCCATGCCTATATACATTGAGAAATGAATAAACAAATGGGAGAGAAGAGAAAGCTCTTCCACACAGCTGACTGCCAGCTAATAATCAAGGAGGGAGTGGAGTTACAAAATTTCCATTTTACAACTATCATAGCAATCTCTTTGTAACTATCATAGGGAGGAACCATCAAAGGATGCTAAAAGCAGTGGGTAAAAGTTTGACAGGGAACAGGATATCCTCATAGTCTGAAGGTGACTACCCACTAATTACTTAGGAATTAGGTTTAAGGGAAAATAGGTTTACAATACAGAAACCTTAACCAAGTAATCAAAGTAAAAATCATCGATATTGGGAGTAAATGGCATCGTGCGCCTCTCGATACATTTGCTGCAGAAGCGACTCACTTCTGAGTTCTTCCTGCCAAAAATGCACACTCTAATGGTAATCACGAGAAAACATCAGACAAACCCCAACTGAGGGGCATTCTGTAAAATAACTGGCCTGTATGGGCTGGGTGCAATGGCTCACGCCTGTAATCCCAGCACTTTGGGAGGCCGAGGGGGGTGGATCACGATGTCAGGAGTTTGAGACCAGCCTGACCAACATGGTGAAACCCCGTCTCTACTAAAAATACAAAAATTAGCCGGGCGTGGTGGTGTGCACCTGTAATCCCAGCTACTCAGGAGGCTGAGGCAGGAGAATTGCTTGAATCCAGGAGGCAGAGGTTGCAGTGAGCCAAGATTGTGCCACGGCACTCCAGCCTGGGCGACAGAGCAAGACTCTGTCTCAAAATAAATAAATAAATAAATAAATAAATAAATAAATAAATAAATAAATAAAATAACTGGCCTATATGCTTAAAAGAAGTCCAAGTCACTAAAGGTTGGAAAAGCCTGAGGAACTATCCCAGATCAAGGAAGACTAAGAATACTCTGCACCTTAATTACAATATGTGATCCTAGACCTGATTCAGGAATGGAAAAGAAGAAAAGGTACAAAGGATACTCTTAAAGAATTAGCAAAATCTGAAGATGGATTGTGAATGAGATAATAGTGTTGTTTCAATACGAAATTTCCTTATTTTAATGAAGGTACTAGGCCAGGCGCAGTGGCTCACACCTGTAACCCCAGCACTTTGGGAGGTCAGAGCAGATCATGTGAGCCCAGGAGTTTGATACCAGCCTAGGCAACATAGTGAGACCCCAGCTCTAGAAAAAAATTTTAAAAATTAGCTGGGAATGGTGGTACGTGCCTATAGTCCCAGCTACATGGGAGGCTGAGGCAGGAGGATCACTTGAACCTAGGAGGTTGAGACTGTAGTGAGTCATGATCACTCCACTGCACTCCAGACTGGGTGACAGAGCAAGATGTCATCTCAAAAAAAAAAAAAAAAAGATAAAGGTACTGTGGTTATGTAAGAGAAATTCATTGTCCTTAGCAATTTTTTATTAAACGAAAGAAAAGTTACATACCTGGCTTTCTTCCGGAGTAACTTCTGAGACTCAGGATAATGCACCAAAATCTCATTCAGGTCCTTCTTATCCAGGATGAAGAGGTTGGTAAACCCGTGCGCCACCACGTTGGCCGTGCGCCGGTTCCCGCCCCCAACAGCCAGCAAGCTGGGGCAGAGAAGGGAGGAAGGAGGCCCTTCAGAGACTGCCGTTTCGGTCACATTCAGATCTTCATTTCCCATGTGTGGAGGACAGTGGTGGCCCCACACAGATGAGAACCTTCCCCCGCCCCCATCCCCGCATACATCAGCAGGTGCCAGTGCTGCATCTACCAAGCCGTAGACACTCGCACTGCCCGCTGGCCGCCTTCTTTCCCAGCCCTTGCCCCAGGCCCCTCACTTTACCCCAGCTGCGTCTGACCTTATTTCTCCAAACACAGATCCAGCTTTCAGCGTCACCAGCACAGATTTCCCATCAGGGCCGCCCAAGACCTGCACTTGCCCTGCCTGGATGATGTACATCTCACGGCCGATCTCCCCCTGAAACAAAGAAGTGACAAGTCCCTCTGTTCATCCCCCAAAGTCACCAGAGAAGCAGCCAGGGCTGGATCCAGAGGCTGGAGGTCCGGCAAGGAGGAACCTAGGCACTGGGGTCCAGCCCTGCCACCACAACTTGGGGTGTCGTGTGGGGGCAGTCACTTCCCTCTCAGGCCTCAGTCACCCCATCTGTAGACTTGGAGGAGTGACTACCCCATGCCCTCCATAACTGACAGGGTTGCAGTGGGGGAGTTAGTGATGTCATGGAATGGGAAGTGCCAGCTAACCTGGGAGGTGCAGGTATAATGGAATTCTGCAAATTCCAGTTAGACTCACTGATGGAGGCAGGGCAAATCAGATAGCAGCTCCCACCATCAAATGATGTCTACACCTGGCACATCTCAGGGGCTCGGGAAGAATTTGCTAACTGCAACAGGAATGGGAACAACAATAACGATAATATTCAAATTGCCTTTTTTTTTTTGAGATGGAGTCTCGCTCTGTCGCCCAGGCTGGAGTGCAGTGGCATGATCTTAGCTCACTGCAACCTCTGCCTCCTGGGTTCAAGCAATTCTTGTGCTTCAGCCTCCCAAACAGCTGCGATTACAGGCATCATGCTTCAGCCTCCCGAGTAGCTGGGATTACAAGCATGTGCCACCATGCCCGGCAAATTTTTGTATTTTTAGTAGAGACAGGGTTTTGCCACGTTGGCCAGGCTGGTCTCGAACTCCTGGCCTCAAGTGATCTGCCTGCCTTAGCCTCCCAAAGTGCTGGGATTACAGGCATGAGCCACTGTGCCCAGCCCCAAATTGCTTTATGCAGTGTACTACTTATCCTCAACAACCCTCAGAGTCGAGATCACTCTTTGCCCAAGAGCTGGGATCTGAACCCAGACAGTCTGGTTCCAGAGTTCATGGTTGTTATGGGTTGAATTATGTACTCCCTCCCAAATTCATATATTGAAATCCTCATCCCCAGCATCTCAGAATGTGACCTTATTTGGGAATAGGGTCATTGCAGATGTAATTCCTAAAGATGAGGTCCTTCTAGACCTAATCCAATATGACTGGTGTCCTAACAAAAGGGAAATGTGGACACAAAGACAGGCATAGAGACCAGAGGATGTGAGGAGACACAAAAAAAACTAGATGACCACCTACAAGCTGAGGAGAGAAGCCACCCAGCTTGTGGTGGAGTTGCACAGTGTCCCGCGGCAGCCTGGAGAATGAATACAATGGCCTTAATCCCAAGTTAAACCGAATGCATGCATGAATGAATAGCTTGCTTTGGACTGCAATTAGAAACACCTAGTCTGCCATGCGCCTTCCAATCCTCATGCCTTCACCGGCCCTTGTCCTGGCCAGCTACCTGTGAGTCACATGTGTTTAAAAGGGGAAGAGGAGGTCTACAGAAAAAAAAAATAATAATAATAATAATTAAAAAGGGGGCCGGGTGCAGTGGCTCATGCCTGTAATCCCAGTACTTTGGGAGGCCAAGGCGGGCACATCACCTGAGGTCAGGAGTTCGAGACCAGCCTAGCCAACATGGCAAAACCCTGTCTTGACTAAAAATAAAAAAATGAGCCGGGCATGGTGGCATATGCCTGTAATCCCAGCTACTTGGGAGGCTGAGGTAGGTGAAATGCTTGAACCCAGGAGGCGGAGGTTGCAGTGAGCCGAGATAGTGCCACTGCACTCCACCCTGGGAGAGAGAGTGGGACTTGGTCTCAAATAAACAAACAAACAAACAAATAAATAAATAAGGGGTGGGGGGAGTGACCAAGGACAGTAACTGTCACACTTTTGACTTATTTGACAAAAATTTCCTGTGCATTTCACACATGCATGACCCCCTTAACAAAAAGGTAGAGAGGTTTGCCTCCATGTTTCTGTTTAGTTTGACAAGAGTGAAAGGGTGAAGGGACCCTCACCTCAGTAACCAGTCCCCGGGGTGTCTCAGAGAGATCGCTGCCGAGCAAAACCAGACAGCAGAGGGCGCCCTTCACACGTGCTCACCAAGTGCTCAATTTAATTTGCAATCACAGACTCTAGATTCACTTTTTCTCATTTAAAGCAAACTCTGCATCACCCACGAAGACAACAGCAACAGTACTGGCAGCTGCTGTGTGCCAGGAACAATGTTAAGCTCTGTATGCACATCTTATTCAGCCCTCACAACCACCCCATGAGGGAGGTACTATCAACATCCCCCACTTTATCCATAAGATGAGCAGGACTCAGAGAGGGCAAGCCACTTGCCCAAGGCTGCACAGCCAGGAAGGGGCTCCAGTGTCAGGCAGGCCACTCTATTGCTCCCAAACCCCTCTTTGCCCCTAAGGTTGCAGCTTTAAATTCTCAGGTCTCTGAAGCATACTTTTCCCCTCTTCACCCCGGCTCTCTGCTTCCAGAAATTTCACTGCTGCACAGCATATAACCTGGAGACAGGGACTTTCTTGGGGACGGGGGTTCCCAAGTCTTGCAGAGCCTGCTTGGGTAATGTTTCCCCCCGTATGCTTATTAACGGTTTATTATTAACTTATTAACGGCTCTGTGCAAGAGGACTGAAACCTGGGTTCCTGACCCCTCCCGTCACTCACCAAGTGACCTTGGTCTCACCTTGAACCCCAAGGACAGGGAGCAGAAAGGGCTCTAGACATTGTCAGGCCCCAGGATTCAACTCCAGATGTTTTCTGGGATCAGAGGGTGAAGCTGAGCAGGGAGGGGGTTCTAGGGTGGGGCAGTGGGGAGTGGTGGGGGCTGTGGCATCAGGAAGGGACACGATGTCCCCCTTTGGGGCAACCTTTCCTCCACCCCAGCTGCCTCTTGCCATTTGGGAAAGTGGACCCAGCGCTGGCAGATTTTCTGTTTTCAGCCAGAAATCTGAATTTTTATACAAAATCTCCAAATTTTTAAAGGTTGGGGACCAATTCAACATTTTTTAAAAATTAGAAAAAAAAAAACCCACAGAATACCTGTGTGCTGGATCTTATCCAAAGGCCACCAGTTTGCAACCTCTGACCTAAGCCCATCCCTTCTCCTGCCCCATTTTCCTGATGGGAAGATGGAGACCCCAGAAGCAGTTCCAGCTACACAGTCAAGGCCCTGCCTCTCTTCAGGCTCCACAGTTTCCCTTTCTGTAAGGTGGAGTTGGGGGGGGGGTCTTTGTCCTGGCCCCCATGGTCCTGTGTCAATGGAGCTGAGAAAATGCTTTGCAAAGCCCGAGGCACATGTGTGTTGACTGCATAGAGTCGGCAAAGCCTCCTAATCCGCTCCTGCTCTTGGGTCTGGTCAGGTCACTGCAGCATGAAGCCGCAGACGCTCTTCTCCCTCCCCAACAATCTCGCTCTGCCCTGGGCTGGCAGGCACCCCTCCAGCTCAGTTCCTTGAAAGCCAGGGGGATGGTGAACCCCAGATCCCGTGGTGGCTGCCAGGCCAGCTCACCTTCTTGCACACATAGTCGTTGGGCAGGTAGACAACAGAGCGAAGCCTCTTCAGCATGTCAAAGATCATCTGCCGGTCACAGCCCTGTCCCGGTGAGGAAGGGAAAGGAACTTTTTAGAGAAGATTGGGCTTGGAGCCTCCCACAGCCCTGAGCGTGAGGGCACCAAAAGGTGTACCTGAAAGAGTGCGACTTTGCTAACGATGTTGTAGTTCACGTCGATGGCGAGGTCCAGCCGCATCTTGTCTGGAAGCTGCACCATCAGCTCTGACTCATCTGTGAACAAGGCCTGGCAAGGGTCAGAGGCAAGGCCGGGCCCCACCCCAGACATACATACCGGCCAAGTGCCCACCTACTGGCTCACCAGGGCACACCATTGCCCTGCCGCATGGAACCACTCTGGATTTGTAGTGCACCCTCTCTCACCTCCAGGCATTTGCCAATACCGTTTCCTCTGCCAGGAGCACCCCTGTGCATTTCCCAAACTCCTACTCATTCTTCAGAACCCAGCACTAATATCACCTCCTCCAGGAAGCCTTCCCTGCCTTCCCTTGACATCCTCCACTCAGCTACTATGTTAGTAGCCCCTGCGCTGTTGCAATTATTGGTCACCTGTGTTCCCACTTCCCTGGAAGGACAACATCAGCAAGAACTAAAGTCTCTGGAGCACTTCTATGAGCCAGGCACCTGTTTTTTTTGTTGTTGTTATTTATGTTTTTGTTGTTGTTGTTGTTGTTGTTTTAGACAGTCTCGCTCTGTCACCCAGGCTGGAGTGCAGTGGCATGATTTTGGTTCACTGCAACCTCCACCTCCCTAGTACAAGTGATCCTCCTGCCTCAGCTTCCCGAGTTGCTGGGACTACAGGTGCCCACCACCACGCGGGCTAATTTTTTGTATTTTTAGTAGAAACGGGGTTTCACCATGTTGGCCAGGCTGGTCTCAAACTCCTGACCTCATTTGATCCACCCACCTGAGCCTCCCAAAGTGCTGGGATTACAGGAGTGAGCCACCGCACCCAGCCAAGCCAGGCACTTTTTAATAGAATGTTTTATAAAGATTATCTTAGTTTTAGTTTTTATTAAAATAAAATTTTTAAAATACTTTGAACCCTGAAAAGCTAAAAAAAATTTTTTTCTTTTAGAGACAAGGTCTCACTATGTTGCCCAAGTTGGTCTGAAAACTCCTGGGCTCAAGCAATCCACCTGCCTCAGCCTCCCAAAGTGCTGGGATTACAGGCATGAGCCACCGCACAGGTACTTATTTTTACTTTTCTGAGACAGGGTCTTGTTCTGTCACTCAGGCTAGAGTGCAGTGCAGTGGCACAATCACAACTCACTGCAGCCTCAACTTCCTCAGGCTCAAGCGATCCTCCAGCCTCAGCCTCCTGAGTAGCTGGGACTCACAGGGACGCACCAACATGCCCAGCTAAATTTTTTGACTTTTTGTAGAGATGGGGTTTCACCATGTTGGCCAGGCTGGTCTTGAACTCCTGGGCTCAAGTGATCCTCCCGCCTCAGCCTCCCAAAGTGCTGGGATTACAGGCAAAACTATTTTACTAAATCCCCTAAGCAACCCAAGAGGTGCCCTACTATAATATCGACTTTATAGATGAGCAAATGGCAGTGACATGCCCGTAGTCTTGTAGCTCGAGGGATAAACTCAGGACCCCAACCTGGCTGTGGAGCTCTAGAGCTGCCCCAGGAGATCCAGGGCTAAGCCTGCTGCACCCATCATGGGGTGTGCAATGCCCTGAGAGAAAGCGAGGAGAGAGGAGAGAGAGAGGGAAGGAGGGAGAGAGAGGAAGGGAGGGAGGAAGGGACAGAAAGTCCTTCTTCCTTTTTTTTTTTTTTTTTTCAATTTAAACTGCACTTCGGCCTCACACCTGTAATCCCAGCACTTTGGGAGCCCGAGGCTGGCTAATCACCTGAGGTCAGGAGTCCGAGACCAGCCTGGCCAACATGGTGAAACCTCGTCTCTACTAATAATATAAAAATGAGCCAGGCATGGTGGCACATGCCTGTAATCCCAGCTATTTGGGAGGCTGAGGTAGGAGAATCGCTTGAACCCGGGAGATGGAGGTTGCAGTGAGCCAAGATTGCTCCACTGCACTCCAGCCTGGGTGACAGAACGAGACTCCATGTCAAATAAATAAATAAATAAACAAACACACAAACAAACTACACTTCGCTCTTGGATGGGGATGCATTTCAAGGTGGGTAAAGTGAGGGGGGCAGGCACACAGAAGACAAGCCCCCCGTCTCCAGGGATCTCATGACAGCCCTGCTAGAGGCACTTCAGGGGCCCCACTGGGCACCTCTCACACCAATGTTGGGGACACAGCCAAGACAGGCCCCAGTACTCGGGACCTCAGAGACACAGAGGACGAGGGAGGCGCCCCGAAGGCATGGCACCGGGCACCAGGCGACAGGAGTTGACTGGGAGCTGGTGGCTGCCAGGGCGTGACCATCTTACCCAGCATGCCTTGCGAGTGCCAGGTGTACTCGTACCAGGTCTTGACGCGGTTCTGCACGGACTTGGGGATCTTGTAGAAATTCATGTACTTCACCGTGCTGTCCATGCAGCTGCGGTAGTAGGTCTGTCCGGCGGTGGCGGCCCCTACCACATCTCTCATCTGGGGGAAGGGTTATGGGAGGTCAAGGAAGCCACTGGGTCATTGGGGGTGGGCGCTATTCCATGGATTTGGGATGTGTCACTTCACACAGACCACGGGCATGTGCTCCTGGCAGGGCGTTGGGAGGGGGGTAGGCAGATGTCCTCACACAGAGAAAGTTTTACTGACGGGAAGTTCTGCCTCCAGCATGGATGTGGGGAAGAGGAAGGGAGGGAGACTGCCAGCCCCTTGGTGGCCTCAGGTCCCTGGGACCACACCATGGGGGAAAGCTCCTTGGGCTGGGCTGATTCTGGTACAATACAGTTCCTCGGTGACGGCGGCCATGTTGTCTGACTCCATGCTGGAGGAAATAGGAAGCCAGTGTGCTGTTCCTCGGGGCGGGGCCCTTCAAATATAAATTTGAGAACCTCTGACTGTCACCTCATGTCTCGACCAGAATGTAAGATGCTGCCCTGGCACACCAGAAACACCAGGGGCTTCTCCCTCGGTCTCTGCAGAAAACCATTCAGCCCAGTGCACCCGGAGGAACTGACATTTCAAATGATAATGACCTCAGAGAGGGAATAGGGCCGAGTTCACCACCACCCCCTTCACCGCGCAGGGACCAGTGCTCCAGGCTCCTGACTCTCAGTCTAGTGCCCTTTCCCAGGCTTAATCCAAAAGCAACGGGCACAGAGGGTGACATTTCTGGCAACAGTGGGAGGGGGCCCTGCAGTCAGGTGGGGTGGGAAGCTGGGCTGGTGCCCCGATACCTGTCCGATCATCACAGAGAAAGCAAAGACGCCCGTGAAATAATTCAGCAGCTGGAAGACAATTTCAAAGAGTGTCTTGGGGTCAGGCAGCCCCCCGATGGTGATGAGGGTCTTCACAGCAAAGTAGTAACAGCGAATATAACTGGAGAGAGAGGAGAAAGGGAACATGGGTCATCACAGGCCCCACTCTGCCGCCCCGAGCAGTCTGGCTCAGACGCCTCTGATAGATGCATGTTGTGCAAAAGACAGAAACCCTTTACAGCTCATCTATGCAAGGAAAACCACCTCCTGCACGTGTAGAGCACGTTGCCGTTTGCAGAGCAGGTTCACAAATGCTATCGGGTATGGTTGTGTCTCTAGGGACATGTTGCCATCCCCATTTACAGATATGGAAACTGAGGCTCCAGGGGATTTCCAGGAAGAGTTGGCAGGAGGCCAGACCAGGGTCTTCCAACTCCTAATGACCGCACTCCCTCAATTTCCTTCAGTGTTCCTTCAATTTTCAGTCTTTTCATTTGCTATCTCCTGCCATATTGGCTTATGAAAAGCAAAAGCAACATCAAGTTTGGACGATATCTTGAGGATGACTTTTTCTGACCCGCCCCTACCCGGCCCATCCATTTTCCAGAGAGTGAAACTGAGGCCCCCAAAGGGAAAGGGCACACCCGTGGTCACTAGTTGGTAAGTACAAGAGCTGGGCGCTGTCTGCTTCTCTAAGATGTCATCCACCAGCAGTAACCCTCTGACGTCGGCTTGTGAACCTTCTGGAAGGGAGGTATGGGGGAGGGTGTCCTACTGTGTGGTAAAAGGCATAGGAAATGCCCCAAGTGCTCCAGTCTGAATGTGTCCCCCGAAATTCAGGCATTGGAAACTTAATTCCCAGTGCAATGGTGTCAGGAGCTAGGGCCTTCGGGCGCCGTTTAGGCTGCGAGGGCTTTGCCCTCATGAATAGATTAAAGCTGTTACAAAAGGTTCTGGTGGAGGGTTTCCACTTCCTTTGGCCCTTCTGCCTTCTTCCATACGAGGACAGCATTCCTCTCCTCTAGTGGACACTGTGGCCTTCAAGACATTGTCTTGGAAGCAGAGAGCAGCCCTCACCAGATGCCAGCACCTTGATCTTGGACTTCCCAGCTTCCAGCACAGTGAAAAATAAGTTTCTGTTCTTTATAAGTTACCCAGTCTCATGTATTTTACTACAGCAGCTCAAAAGGCATGAAGACACCAAGCTTGTGTGTGATTATCACAGAGCAGCAAGGGTCCCTCTGACACCTGTCCACACCTCAGGCTGAGCCCTCCCCTGGGTCAGCAAAGGTGAGGTCAGAAGGGCCTAGACACTGGGCAGTCCCTGCCGGCTTTCCTGCAGCAGCTATTTATGCAGTGTCCTAGATAGAACATGGGCTCTGGACCAGGCTGGCTGGGCTCAGCCATTCGGCTCAGCCACCTTCTGGCTGCATAACTTGGACAAATCTCTCTCTCTCTCTCTCCAAGCCTCAGTTTCCTTCTCCATAAGATGGGGATGGCAATAGAATGTCCCTTACAGAAGACCATGAAGACAAAATGAGGTGCTAGAAGAAGCCTGGCACGTGGTGGACTCTCAGCAAGGGAGCTGTCAAAGCCTTCACAGCCACTGTTGCCTGCCCTGGGGAACTGAACAGATTCGCCCATATCCTCAAGAAGCTCGTGGTCCAGTGAGGGGACAGGCAGGTGACGTGCAATGCGTGCAGGAAGGAGGAAGCAGAGGTTGCTGGGGAGTGTGGTAGGGGCTCTGCCTCTGATAGCTGCGGGGCCTTGGGCAGGGCTGTGGGCCGCCCTGCACCTCCACATCACCTGTTGCCTGCAAGTTTCAGAACCCAAAACGGGCCTGTCAAGCCCCCGTCATACTGGTTCTGGCCATCAGAGGGCACGCGAAGCAGCGTTTAGCGGGACGGAGCAGCACCCCCAACTCTGCAGACCCCTCGGCTGTCCGGGAGCTGGGTGCTTATGCCGCTGGGCCACCAACAGAGAGAGGACATAGGCGCGATGTCCACAAAGCTCTGGCTTTACCCCAAACCCTTCCTAGCTGGAGGAATCTTCCAATGACATGCCACATCTTAGGGGCCTCCCTGAAGTCTCCTTGTCCTTGTCTGTGGGGACCATCTGTGCTTCAGGATGGGCAGAACTGGGGCAGGAGAGCACTGGGGCGGGATGCAGGGCCTAGCATTTGTAGGAGCTCGGGACCCTGAGCCCCTGGCACACAGCAAGCACTCCACAAATGTTCGCTTTGTAAAAGTTGTTATTCTTCATGCTATTGGAATTTCTTAAGAATCCTCCTTCATTACTCGTACTCGGTTCACATGTTGGGGTTCCCTGCAGGACGACATTTGGGAAGGAGTATTGCTGCCAAGGAAGCGTGCCCTTCCCACTGCTGGGCAGCTCGAGCTCCTCCCGCAGAGGGCCCTGCAGAAGGAGGTCCCAGATAGCTGTCCCCCTGCCCCACCCCTGCCCTGCTCTGCTTACTCTCCCTTCCCTGAGCTGCCCAGTGACGGATGTGCCAGGCTTAGCCCCAGGGAGGAGAGTTCTTAGTTTACTGGGGCACAAGCCCCTTTGAGAATCTAGAGAAAGCCAGCTCTCTTTCCCTAGAAAAGCCAACATATGCTCAAATTTTAGCTCCAATGTCTGGGGGGTTTGTGACCCCCTAAAATCTCTATACCCCAGGTTATTAACTCCTTTCCTGCCATGCTGGCTTCCCCCTAACAATAGCCATAGCTAGGCACAGGGGCCACTGACTCCTGTTCAGGCCCAGGCTAGACATGCTACACATATTAATTTATTATTTCTCATAAGAAATCTGGATGTAAGTTACCCACATTGTGCCTGTGGGAACACTGGGTCTCAGAAAGGGTAAGCTCACAGAGTTCAATTCCATGCAGAAATTGCATTCTCCCCTTTGCATAGAAAGGGGCTTCAAGTCCCCCTCTGCCTCCTTGTGATGGGTTAGATGAATAAGGAAGTGAATGAATGCATGGTTTAGCCAGGGCTCAGGAGCAGGGCTGTGAATGGGAATGGGTAAAAGGGCCACTGGTGACGTGGGGAAGCATTAGATCTTGACCCCATCCCTGATATTCTCCACCTCACAGTGGCTCTCAGGGACTCCTCTCCTGCCTGCCTGGGCTGCCCTGGCCTCTGGCACATCTCTTTCGAGACAAGGTCTCACTCTGTCACCCAGGCTGGAGTGCAGCGATCTGGGCTCACTGCAACCTCCACCTCCTGGGTTCCAGCGATCTTCCCATCTCAGCCTCTTGAGTAGCTGGAATTACGAGCGTGTACCACCATGCCCAACTAAGTTTTGTATTTTTTTTGTAGAGAGGGGGTCTCCCCATATTGCCTAGGCTGGTCTCGAACTTGTGAGCTCAAGCAGTCTGCCTGCCTCAGCCTCCAAAAGTGCCGGGATTACAGATATGAGCCACCAAAACCAGCCTGGGACATCTCTGTAAAGGCGTGGCTCCCCCTCGGGGCAGGGCTCATGGCAGAAGGCGACGGCCATAGCCATGATGGCTGAGGTTGGGGCATCTATACTGGGAGGGGACGTTCTGAACAATTAACCACTCTACAAAGCCGCCACCTTGGACGCAAGCATCCCACCTGTTCCCACTGGGAGCAAGGGCCTGGGGGTAGACAGCTGGACCACGGGCATTTTGTGTCACTAGTGGGCACAGCCCAGGGTGAGGCGGGCACCCTTCGGTGAGTAACTCCCCGCTGGACCTTTCCTTCTTCCACCTTCTCATCCTCACTATGGCTGACTGAGCGCCCACTGTGCCCAGGCACTGAGGCAGGGGCTCAGAGGCATCTACTCCTGTCACTTCTTTAGGGTGGGAGTCCCATTTGCAGCCCCATTTTGCAGGTGAGGGAACTGAGGCCCAGAAAAGAGAAGTGGCCTGTCTCCGCTGCCAGGGGGCAGCTCTAGGAGTCACACTTGGGGACTCCTCATCCCTCGTCCCTCAAGCCTCCGCTCTGACTCTGCAGGCCCAGCCCCCATCCTGTGCGCATCCCTCCTGCCCACACTGCCCTCCCTCCCCTAGGTCAAGCCACCGGTTGGCCTGGAGGGTTTGCTGCTCTCTCTGACACAGCAGGGCCCCTTGCTGGCTGTCTGCTGCCTGCCCTCACCCCCAGTGCACTCTTCCATCAGCACGAGGGCTGAGCCCTCCCTCTGCTCACTCTCCTGCTTAAGGCTTTTGACAGGGCAGGGGAGCGAGTGTCGCCTTCAACACCATCCAGCCTTAAAATGAGGTGCACACCTGTAACTCTAGCACTTTGGGAGGCCAATCACAGGCAGATAGCTTGAGCTCAGGAAGCCGAGACCAGCCTGGGCCACACGGCAAAACTCCATATATCCAAAAAATACAAAATTAGCTAGGTGCAGTGGCGTGTGCCTGTGGTCCCAGCTACTCGGGAGACTGAGGTGGGGGGATCACTTGAGCCCATGAGGTGTAGGTTGCAATGAGCTGAGATCATGCTGCTGTACTCCAGTCTGAGCAACAGAGAGTAAGTCCCTGTCTCAAAAAATAGTAACAATAATAATAATGGAGGTGGCATATATATGGGAACTCTCTCTACTTTCCAGTGGACCTCTCTATAAACTTCAAACCACTTTTAAATAAATTAAGTCTGTTCATTAAAATAATTTTCTAAACTTTTTTTTCCTGCTCTCTGTTGCCCAGGCTGGAGTACAGTGGCGCAATTTTGGCTCACTGCAACCTCCCCCTTCCGGGTTCCAGCGATACTTCTCCTGCTTCAGCCTCCCAAGTAGCTGGGATTACAGGCGTGCATCACCACGCCTGGCTAATTTTTGTATTTTTAGTAGAGATGTGGTTTCGCCATGTCGACTAGGCTGGTCTCAAACTCTTGGCCTCATGTGATCTGCCCACCTTGGCCTCCCAAAGTGCTGAGATTACAGGCATGAGTCACTGTATCTGGCTAAAAAAGTTTTTTTAAATGTTAGTAACTTTTGGTGACTTTTGGTGGAATCAACAGTGCTCATGCCCACCTCCCCCACTCCCTCTGGCCACCAGGTTGGCACTTTTCCTTTTCATCGAGGCAGTTAGGACTCTGTGGCCATGACACCTGGGTTCAAATCCCAGCTCTGTAACTCATGAACCGTGTAACCTTGGGAACTCCCATCTGCTACCTCAGCTGTAAAATGGGAATGGGGCGGTACTATCTGATGTGATGGTTGTGAATTACTGTGTTCAGTGCTTTAAGCAGGGCTGGCACAAAATAGGTATCCTACAAGCATTGCTGCTATTATCATCATCATTGTCACCATCACCACCATTGTAAACCAAAAATAAATTATAAGGCCCCCAACCATCGGAACGGACCCCTCCTCTTGGCCAAGGGCTTTCCCGAGTTACCTGAAAACCTAATTCAGGCCATGAAGGAAGAGGGGGTCGGACACGCCTCATTGTACCCCTCCAGCGTTAACATCAACACAGACCTTAAGTCTGGTAAGAAACATCACAGTCTCTTTTCTCTAAAGCCCGCTATTTAGAGGCTTCATCTGCATGAAAATACCTAGGTCACCACAGCCCCTTATCATAACCCAGACATTTCTTTCTACTGATAACTCTTTCAACCAATTGCCAAGCAGGGAATTTTTATTTATTATTGTTATTATTATTTTGAGACAGAGTCTTGCTCTATCACCCAGGCTGGAGTGTAATGGTGCAATTTCATCTCACCACAACCTCCACCTCCCGGGTTCAAGTGATTCTTGTGCCTCAGCCTCCCGAGTAACTGAGACTACAGGCGCTGCCACCATGCCTGGCTAATTTTTGTATTTTTATTACAGATGGGATTTCGCTGTGTCGGCCAGGCTGGTCTCGAACTCCTGACCTCAAGTGATCTGCCCGCCTCAGCCTCCCAAAGTGTTGGGATTACAGGCGTGAGCCACCAAGCCCGGCCTTTTTTTTTTTTTTTTTTTTTTCCCAAGCAGAGATTTTTTTAAATCTACCTATGACCTGGAAGCCACTCCTCCCTTTGAGTTGTCCCACCCTTCCAGATCTAACCAATATAAACCTTACATGTATTGATTGATGTATCCTGTCCCGCTAAAATGTATAAAAGCAAGCTGCACCCCAACCACCTTGCACACATGTCATCAGGAACCCCTGAGGCTGTACCACGGGCGTGTCCTTAACTTTGGCAAAATAAACTTTCTAAATTGATTGAAACTTGTGCCAGATTCTTTTTGGTTCGCACGTCATCATCATCCCTTTGGCAAGTCTCATAATGGATGGTGGCTCTCTGATTGGCAAGTGGGTCTCACCTCATTCGCCAGCACCTCCATGGTAGCAGTGCCTGGGGAGCTGTGCTGGGGAGTATTCTCTGGCCTCATTCCCTCTTGGCCATGCCCGGGGAAGCAGGAGTAGATGCACAAATACAGCGTATTTGCACACCCTAATAGAGTTTGGATGCAGAAAGGATCCAAGCAAGTCTTGTTCACACCAGTACCTCCGGCCTGGCACATGCAGGTGCTCAGGAAACCTTAGCTTGGGGAAGATGTAGTGACCTGGCTCTTTTTCTATTTTTATTTTTTGAGATGGAGTTTCGCTCTTGTGTCAGGCTGGAATGCAATGGCACGATCTCGGCTCATTGCAACCTCCGCCTCCTGGGTTCAAGAGATTCTCCTGCCTCAGCCTTCCCAGTAGCTGGGATTACAGGTGTGCATCACCACGCCCAGCTAAGTTTTGTATTTTTAGTAGAGATGGGGTTTTACCATGTTGGCCAGGCTGGTCTCTAACTCCTGATATCAGGTGATCCGCCTGCCTTGGCCTCCCAAAGTGCTGGGGTTAAAGGTGTGAGCCACCACACCCGGCCCAAGATGTGGCTCTTGAGCCTTGTCATGCCAGTGATTGCTTAGGAGCAAAGTGGCCTTGGCAATACAGCAGCAATAAGACTCCTTCCTGGAGTCTCTGTGCTGCGAATTATAAAGAACAGGAAGGTCACCCAGGCATGGCCCCAGGGGGAGGACTGTGGCTCACCTGTTTCCCACGCCATCGTAAACCCAGTGAGTGGAGCCGAGGCCCTGATAGGCCGATGCCCAGTAATAAAGACAGGAATTCAAATGCAGGCTGTAGAGAAGGTAGGCTGTGGTCCTGATGACCCTGCAGAAGGAACACAGCGCATGAACACAGCGGCGGAAGGGGGAGGTGAGGTATAGACACCTGGACAGTGAGAGCCAACCCATGGCTGGGCTGGCCCGACTGGATGCTTTGTTGAGATTGCACCAGTTAGGAAGGGTGGTGCTTGAATGGGGCGTTGTCATGACCTGGGGCTAGGATTGGAACAGAGGTAGCAGAGCTGACTGTGCACTGGGGGATGGAGGGGCCAGAGGGGAAATGTGTGTGTGTGTGTGGAGGAGCAGGGAGGGACTGATGTGTGCAGAGGAGTTGAGTTGAAGATGGGGCCATGTCGCCCCAGGAGAGATGTGGACAGGAGCCTTGCTCCCTAGCACGGCCTGGCTGGTCTTGCACCTCATGCTCAGACATCTGTGAAACAGCCACCGCCACCTTACACCTGTTCCCATTCTGTTAGAGCTGGCTGGGGGCTCCAGTTCCCTGAGCTGAGGCCAAAATGAGGCCCGGTTCGCTGCAATGCTGGTAAGCCCCTCGTGCCAGCTGATGTGCACCCTCATCACAATGAGGGGCATCGGATATTCCTGGTTCTCTAAATAACAAACATTTCTCTGGGAAAGAGGAGGCGGGACCAGGAAGATGCCTGGCTTCCAGTGGAGACGGGGCCTGGAGGTCAGTGGGGGTAGACAATGTCTTGCTGTCTGTTCTAGGTGCAAACTTCCTGTGTTGTGTGTGTGTGTGTGTGTGTTGTGTGTGTCATTTGTGTCGTGTGTGCATTGTGTGTTGTGTGTGCACTGCATGTGTTGTGTGTTGTGTGTGTTTGTGTGTGTTGTTTTGTGTTATATCTCTGTTGTGTGTGTGTTGTGCACGTATGTATGTGTTGTGTGTTGTGTGTGTGCATTGTGTGTTGGGTGTGTGTATGTTGAATGTTGTGTGTGCATGTATGTGTGTATGTTGTGTGTGTGTTGTGTGTGTCGTGTGTGTGTTGTGTGTGTGTCATCTGTGTTGTGTGTGTATTGCGTGTGTTGTGTGTTTGTGAGTGTCATGTGTGTGTGCATGCATGCACATGCAGGGGGAGTCTCACCTGTACACGTAGGCTTTGCTGAGGATGGATTCCAGGCGGCTGTTAAACTCGAAGAAGGCCATGTACTGGAGGGAGAGGAGGGCGTGAGAGCAGCCCACCGGCCATAGGTAGCATGCTGCTCCCACGCCCACGGGCGCCGAGACTCAGGGCTCTTCCTGCAGCCCCCAGGAGGGAACAGGACGGTGAGCATTCAATATCAGAAGTCCTCAGCCCCTTGACGGGTAGGGGCCAGAAACTCCATTTAGGAATCTGAAGAAAGTCATAGCCCGTCTTCCCTTGGAAATGACATGTAATCTTGTTCTCACAATTTGCATATAATTTCAGGGGACTCCTGGACCCTCTGAATTCTATCATGAGACTTTTAGGGGTACATGCATCCAGGTTAAAGCTGCTGTTTTTAATGTTTCTTATAAAGAAAACAATTTAATAAAGAGACAGCATCCCTAACACCCCACTCTTATATCCTTCAAAGGTTTATTTATAAGAATAAAAGTATATTAATAACTACTTTTCTTTATTGAGCACCTATTATATGACTGGCATATGCCTTTTTTTGTTTTGTTTTTTCAGAGACAGAGTCTCACTCTGTCACTCAGGCTGGAGTGCAGTGGTACAGTCATAGATAACCACAGCCTCGAACTTCTGGGCTCAAGCGATTTTTCAGCCTCAGCCTCCTAAGTAGCTGGGACTACAGGCACACATCAACACTCATGGGTAATTTTTAAATTTTTTGTAGAGACAGAGTCTCACTGTGTTACCCAGGTTGGTCTCACATTTCTAGGCTCAAGTGATCCTCCTGCCTCAGCCTCTTAAAGTGCTGGTATTACAAGCATGAGCCGCCACACCCAGCCAGCACATACATTTATATACATTACCTTATTCCTTATTTACATATGAAGTATGTATTATCATTCTCCTTTGACAGAAATTGGTGCTCAGGGAAGTCCAGTAACTTGTCCAAAGCACACAGCTGGTATGTGAGAGAGTCAGCATTCCAACCCAGGCCAGACTCAGAGCTGCAAGCTCTCTCCTTATGCTATACCACCTCTAGATCTTTGGATTTATTTTTTGATATTTGAAAATAGTATTTATGAAGATTCTCTAAGGGATATTCCAGTTATCATCCATGTGTTCATTCTAGTTCCAGCCACAGTTTAAACTGGAGGCAGAAAGAACAGGGGCTTGGATGGCTCACTTAAAGAGTTTTGTCCACTGAATGGTGTTCAATGTTAGGCCTGTGAGTTTTGCCCCCTCACTGGGGCCACCATGTGACCCAAGGTATGGATCTCACCTCTGCGTCTGGGGTGAAACTTGGCCTGTGGACCCAACCTTCCTCACTCTGATGTTTGGCTCTAAAGCAACCTCTGCAGCCCCTGGGAGGCTGGTATGTGTCAAATAAGAATGGTGCCAATTCCACTTTCCCCCTTCCTCTTGGCAGCCAGGAAGCTCAGAGGCAGCTTCCATGCTCGATTCCACATAGGTGTGCTTTCTTCTCATCAGGGCACTTGCACGCCCCCTAGTTTTCTCTGCCCTGTTTCTCTGGGTTGTTCATGTTATTGCATTTGCATTTTTTGTAAATTCCCTCAGTACTGTTTTCAGAAAAAGGCACCAGTCTTCATTTCAGGAGACAGATGAATGTGATTGGTTGGCCATCAAAATCCATTTGGGGGATCCTGAATGCTCTGAGTGGCTATCCACCCTGATCACGTGACAGGACCATGGCCAGCTGTGGCAGCCAGACCATCCTGGAGACTTTCGCTCTGCCCAGTGAGTGCCAGAAGGAATGGCTGGAATGACACTGAGGCCTGGCCAGTGATGAAACGGGTGTCTGGCTGTGCATTCAAATCCATCCCTGGCACTTCCTTGCTCCTGCGACCTAGGGCAAGTCCCCCAGCCTCTCCAAGCACCAATGTCCCCATCTTTTAGACAGAGACCATCATAAAGCAGAAGATCCCCTCTTGAGAGTCTCTATAATCACTGAGAGCGTAAACAGTGGAGACAGATGACCTGCATTCATATCTGGGCTCCACTCCCTCCTGGCTGTGTGACTTTGGGCAAATTAATTAACCTCTCTGTGCCCCAGTCCTTCATTTGTAAAATGCTGGCAATAATACTACCTAACATGCAGCACCACAGAAGCACTAGCAAATTGTAATGAACTTTCCACTAAGACACACGTGGAATAAATGCATCTCCCCTCGGGCCATCCCTTGAGGAACTCCCCTCCCCAGTGCTGCTGGGGGCAGACACGAAGATGCCAGTGTCGGTGCAGAGCAGGGATGAGCTGAAGGCCTGGGGTGGTGGGCCCAGCAGTCCTACCTTTAAACAGCGGGGCAGGCGGAGGAGGGGGTTCACACCGACTTTCAAATAGAGAAAATCCAAGGGCAGGAGGCTGAGCAGGTCCATCTGAAATCCCAGTGGGACACCATGGGGGTAAAACGGATGACTCCAGGGTGGAAGGTGAGGGGAGTGAGAGGCGGAGTCTCTCCCTTCCATGGAAAGGTGAGGTCAGAATGCCCCAGTAGAGCTTAAAACTAGAGGGCAGAAGGTGTCCCACCGACAAGCCCTTGTTTGGCTTCAAAGCCCGTGTTGCCAGCCCCAAGGGCAGCTTCATTATCCTCGATAGTGGCTGCTGTGCCATACAGTAAGGGGCGGGAGTGGTACAGACACAATGAAAGGTGGCTTCTGGCCAGGCACGGTGGCTTATGCCTGTAATCCCAGCAGTTTGGGAGGCCAAGGCAGGCAGATCACTTGATGTCAGGAGTTCGAGACCAGACTGCCCAACATGGTGAAACCCTGTCTCTTCTAAAAATACAAAAATTAGCTGGGTGTGGTGACGCACACTTGTAATCCCAGCTACTAGGGAGGCTGAGGCAGGAGGAGTGCTTGAACGAGGAGGCAGAGGTTGCAGTGAGCCGAGATCACACCACTGAACTCCAGCCTGGGAGACAGAGTTAGACCCTGTCTCAAAAAAAAAAAAAAAAGAAAAGAAAAGAAAAAGAAGAAAGATAACTTCTGGGGGCTACCCAGCCTGTGCTGGTCTCCTGGGGCTTGTGGTTTGGAGGACACTCCCACAGGGACCAGCATCCCTCCGTGTGGCAGAAACCACATCTCATGAACGCCCCAGGCACCCAGGGCCCTCTGAGGCACCCCCTTCTGAAACCCCGCAGACGCTAAACCTTGCATGCCCGGCACACACCTTGAAGCGGCGAGACTTCAGGTAGTTATTTCGCATGTCCTTTTTGTCCGTCTGAAAGAAAGGGAATGATGATGGTGAAATGACCTTACAGCTTAATCTCTGACCCTGTGGAGCAATTGTGAAACTTCCCCAAGAACCCCACCCTGAAACGAGCATAACAGCCCAAGGACCATCTGAGCCTTGGTGAAAGCCTTGAGTTTTATGGGTGGAGAGGCCCAGCCCCCAGGGAGGAGGGATCTGTTCTGGTCACCCAGCTAGATCCTGATTTCTTGGGTGGAAAGCAAGGACATTAAGCTTATTCCCTCTGCCCATTGGTCTTACCTGGACCATTTGCACATCTGTTTACTAAGGAATTGGTAGTCACTCTGATCAGGCCAGAAAAGAGGTTCTCCAAGGAAATCTCTTTACTTTTTACTTTACTCTCTTTAAATCTCTCCAAGGAAAATCGTTTACAGGCAAAACCTGAGCTTGTCTGCACACAGCAAAACAGGCACTGCCGGGGTGGAATTTTGGAAAGTGACCCACACTGGGAGACAGGGACTGTGTCTCCTGTTCCTGAGAAGTCACAGTCAGGGCCTCAGTTTCCTCCCTGGTAAGGCAGGGGTGGTGCACGGGGCTGGACCAGAGGCCAGGGTCTCAAATTGGCCCAAGTAGGAGAGCATCAGTGTGTTTTTGCAGGACCCCTGGGAGAAGTCAATTGCCAGTGGATACCTGTGCTGAGCGCCCCGCATGCATCGTTTCAACCAATCCTCATGGCAACACTGGGAGGTGGAAGCTATTACTAGCCCCATTCTACAGATGAGGAAACAGAGGCGATTCAGCTAGTTGTGGTGGAGGTGGGATTCAAACCAGGTACATCCTCACTAAAGACCATTCCCTGGACCACTTCTCTATCTTTGATTCTGTCAAGTGGTCCAGGAACTATTTCACCTATGAGCAATATCTGATGTGCGTAATTTGAACGTATCAAAGGCATGCAAAATAAACAACCATGCTATTGAACAAGCACAGCAGCCGTTCTTGAGATTTCCTTATTCACTTATTTTGTCATCTATGACAGCATCAGGGGTCAGTGCCCTGGAGGCTCTGGCTGAGCGGTCTGCCCCCGGTCACCCCAACACCACCTGCCTGTGACTCACAATGATGTCCCCGCCTCTGACAAACTGCAGGCGTGTCTGGAACACGGTGATGTCCAGGAAGTAGATGAGGTCGCATAGGTAATCCATCAGCAGCCAGTGGTGGATGTTGTCCGGGGTCTGGTAGGGGAAGGCCCAGCGCACGGGAATCAGCCAACAGTTCCAATTCCAGGCCATCACCACGAAGAACAGCCATAGGACATACATCAGGTCTGTGGGGAAGGTTGACGGGGACGCTAGAGCATCAGCCAGGCAAGGCTCTTCACCAGTTGGATCAGGTAGGGTTTTGTTCTTTCTACTCCTTCAACTACTACATGTGGCACTTTTGTAAGAGTGTGTGTATGTGTGTGTGTGTGTATATATACACACACACACACACACACACATACACACACACACAACTCTCTGCTTTAGGAGCCAGGCACAGTGGCTCATGTCTGTAATCCCAGCACTTTGGGAGGCCTAGGTGGGAGGATTGCTTGAGCCCAGGAGTTTAAGACCAGCCTGGACAACATAGCAAGACCCCCATCTCTACTTAAAAAAAAAAACACAACTATCTGTTTTAAAAATAAATTACTGCTAATCCCTAATAAATCAGAGTACTCTCAGGAGGGACTATGCTGGTATTATAAGATAATAGGCAGCCAACTGGAAAACTCATTTGCTTTTATTCTTCTTTAATTTTTTCCCAAAATGTATTTTCTTCCTCAGTAAATACAGAATAGTAAATAATGCATGAAGGATGGACAGATAGATGGACAGACAGGTGAATGCATGGATGGATGGATGGATGGATGGATGGATGGATGGATGGATGGATAGATGGGTATTCCAGATCATCTGGTTATTTATTTATTTATTTATTTATTTATTTATTTATTTACTATTTTTGTAGAGATGAGGTCTCACTATGTTGCCCAGGCTGATCTTGAACTCCTGGGCTCAAGCAGTTCTTTCACTACAGCCTCTCACAGTGCTGGGATTACAGGTGTGAGCCAATGTACCCAGCCCATCAGGTTATTTAAAGAATCCAGTGGACACCAGGGTTGAAGTCCTGCCCCCCAAATGTGTGACCTTGAGAAAGTCCCTCTCTGGCACCTGCCCTCTTCTGAGAAATCACAGGAAAAGGTCAGATAAGAAAGGCAGGGAGCCCTCTGTAAACTCTAAAGTGCTATGCACATATGAAGTGGGTTATTTCTGAGGAATATGAAGTGGGCTTAAAGGGAAGCAAGAGGAATTCACATTCCTGCTCTTTTTCTGTTCAGAGCAGGAGCTCTAGGAAAAGGCCAGCACGACCAGAGTGAAAAAGGACTTGGCCAAGAGTCAGGAGTCCTGGGTCCGCACTAACTAGTTGCATCTTTACCCTGGCTGACTTATCTGTACCTTAGTTTCCTCATCTGTAAAATGGGTATGATCTTATGTTCCTATTCCAGGGACTTTTGTTGTTGTTTTTAAGACAGAGTCTCACTCTGTCACCTAGGTTGGAATGCAATTGTGCGATCTTGACTCAGTGCACTCTCCACCTCCTGGATTCAAATGATTCTCCTGCTTCAGCCTCTCAAGTAGCTGGGATTACAGGTGTGCACCACCACACCCAGCTAATTTTTGTATCTTTAATAGAGGCAGGGTTTCGTCATGTTAGCCAGGCTGGGTTTGTTTTGAGAATCAGGCAAGAAACTGTGGAATACTTTTGAAAGGTATAAAAGATCATGAACCCAGGTTGTCTGTGGCCTCCCATCCCACCTCTTGAATCCCCTGACCCTCTCCCCATCCCGCTCCAACTCTCCTGCTCTCTCATCTTACACAGTGGGAACACCCATTCCCCAGGACTCACTGGTCAGCGGGTCAATGCTCTGGGGAAACTGGTACTTCTTCCAGGGGCGGTGTTTGAACTTGCAGCAGAGCATGTCGCAATAGTGCTCCTCTTCCACTGGCTCGGCTTCAGCGGGCTTTGTGTCTGGAGCTGGCTCTGGGGCTTTCTTGGCTGGGGCTGTGGGATGACATTGGTGACCATCTGAACCAGCCCTGAGGCCCAGGTAGAGGATGCAGAGAGAAGGGTCCCAACTGCAGACCTTGGATCCAGATCTGAGAGGACCCTGGCACCATTATACAAGCTACTGCAAGCTCTGTGTGCAGAACCCAAGGTGCTCTTCTGGAGTGAACTCCACAACCCTCCTCAACAGCAACAGCAACCTGGGTGCCCACCCAGAAGTTCTTACCAATTACAGTCTGGAACTGCTTCTCAGAAGCTGCCCCAAATGAGCTGTTTCTGGGCCAGTTGGATGTTTCAATGTCTGCTTGTGTGTTGTGCTTAGACCCCCTTTGTTCCCTCTGATGGGATGGGGGCATTTTGTACCCAGTGTTCCCAGTACCCATGGCTGGAATGCTGAAGGGCCTAACAAAATCAAGGAAGTATTGCTCCAGGTTTCTGAGAGGGAATCTCAACTCTTTCATCTCTAAAAACAGAGACCAGATGGGATCACAGCCTCCCTGTGCATCTATGATGATACTTTTGGTCTAGGGATTGGCTCTTATAGGTTCAATATGGCTATGTTTTCCAGCTTCAAGACTGGGACATCAGGCTCTGCATGGCCTGTTGTGGGCACCATGATTTCCAAGATACAGCCTTCCTCTGGAAAGATCTAAAAAATCTCCCTGACAAGAGATCATGTGTCTTATTTCCTCCTGATACCTTGAAAGAAAAGAAAAATTCGGATAGCCTCAATAAGAACTTTCAAGGCACTGACATCTCTGAAAAATAGGACTGCCTAGTTCCAGAGCAGGCTGTGCACACAATCTGAGTGTAAGACCATAAGATACATTTTGGGGTGGCACCACTCACCTACCAGTAGGAAAGGGACAGAAGGGTCAAGGAAGGCACTTGCCCCATGGGAGAGAGGGCCGAGTGCAAGTGGATTGTTGGTCAGAACTTTGATCTTCCCACCCTTGGGTACATATCTCAACCTGTACATATGGATCCCAAATCCAGAGAGTGGGGATCTGGGCTTCTCTCATGGACCTCAACCATTTCCTTGGGGCCACCCTTGCCATGAGTTGACAGGGAACTTTGGAGGCCCCACCCCATCCCCATCCAGGTAGACCCCCTCCAGCTCCAGACTCACAGGGCTTGGGGCTCTCCTCATCAGAGGTGACGTCAGGGTCAATGAGTTTCTCCTTCACTTTCTCTGTCCGCTCCTTGAAGAGCTTCACCAGCTCCTGGAGCCGGTCGTTGATGATGGCGCTATTTGTGCTGGCCGTGGAGGCCGCACGGTCCTGGCCACTGTGGGAACATCACCCAAAGCTGAGCAGGCTGAGCCGGGAGGGACCTGTGCACCCCCAGGCCAGAGCTGTGCAGCGTCTGTGTCCCACCTTCTGACAGAGCCTGAAGGAGGTAAGTCCTGCCCCCATCTCCTTCTGACATCAGAAACCACAGACCTACCGTAATCACCTAGAAGGAAATTCAGTCCGGGAATAATGCCCAGGTGTTCTGGCCCAGCTTTTGGAAAATGTACCACGTAGGCTCTGATTCAGATGGGCAGTTCTGGAAAAAGCGTGACTCCACTTGTAATTTAGGAGGAAACTCTTGGAACTCAGTTTAGAGTTCAGCAAAATTGGGCTGTTCATCCCAGTGCAGGGTTCACATGAGATATGTGTCCAGGGGCAGAACAGAGAGGGAGCAGGCCTACTTTTTTAGGCTTAGGATGTAACTGGTGGAAAAAGCAGTGCAGATACATTCTATATCCCTTTAACTTACAGGAATTAAAGTTTCTGCACTGTCAGCAAGAGAGAGAGAGAAACTGCTTTCTTTCCTCTGAGTAGCCTCACTGAGATCATCTTGCTGAGCTGAATATCTTTTTTATCTTTTTTTTTTTCATACATTAGGACACAGAAACTGCAGTCGACTACTCTTTTTGAGCTCAACTGAGGAAGACGGGCTGGAGAAAATGAGGCTCTTTTTTTTTTTTTTTTTTTTTTGAGATGAAGTTTCACTCTTGTCGCCCAGCTGGAGTGGCAGTGGTATGACCTCGGCTCAGTCAACATTCACCTCCTGGGTTCAAGCAATTCTCCTGCCTCAACCTCCTGAGTAGCTGGGATTACAGGTGCACGCCACCAAGCCTGACTAATTTTTGTAGTTTTAGTAGAGAGGGGGTTTCACCAAGTTGGCCAGGCTGGTCTCAAACTCCCAACCTCAGGTGATCCACCTGCTTCGGCCTCTGAAAGTGCTGGGATTGCAGGCGTGAGACACCGTGCCCGGCCAAGTGTGGGGCTCCTAATGAGAGCTGGCATACAGGTGTGGCGGGGACATGAGCTGCTCCCCTACACTCATTCTCTCCTGTGGTGCACACTCACTGGGATATAGCCACCCAGCCAGGGATCACGTGCCAGGCTCTCGCTATTGGAATGTGAGCTCTCAGACACAATACATGCAACTAGGGGCCTCCTTACTGAAGACAGGCCTGGAGTTCTCCCTTTCTAGTGGTGACCAGTGGGACATGGGAAGGCACATGGATAAAGTGGCAGAGCACTGTCATCTGGGTCCCTAAATGATTGCATGGAGCAGAACCTTCTGCTGACCTGATGCATGCAACTATTGAGATGATGATGGTATATGATACAGTTCCTTAAGCCACTCAGCTTTTGAGGTCCATTTGAGGTCCAGCAGCCTAGCCTGCCTAGCTAATACATGGGTCTCCAAGGTGACCTCCTTAAGAGTTTTCAAGAATAGGTTTTCTCATTATACCTCATTTCTGCCTTCGTTTCTGATATTAAACCCTACCCCTACCCTATCTCATAAAATGTGAGTCCACTGCGTGCTGCAGTGGGCAACTGGACTGAGGGTGGGGTTGGGGCTTCTTCTTGCTTATCTTTTCTAACTTTCCACAGCTCTGTTAAGCATAAACTGCATAAAATTGTGGATAGAAAAAAAGACTGGAAGGAAGAAGGAAAGCCTACTGTCTCCTGTGGCTCATCTAGGAGTCATGGCCAAGGACTGTGATTGGGGATTCCAGGCAGAGCCCAGGGCCCGGGTATTCGCCATCCACCAGAGCTTCTCAGATCCTTCGGGAAGAAACCTCCCACTGGCCCAGCCCTGGGGACAGTTCGATCTCAGAGACCCAGGTCCCAATGCCATCACAGTGGTTTCTTTCTCTCTTTCTTTCTTTCTTTCTTTTTTTTTTTTTTGAGATGAAGTATTGCTCTTGTCACCCAGGCTGGAGTGCAGAGGTGTGATCTCAGCTCACTGCAACCTCTACCTCCCAGGTTCAAGTGATTCTCCTGTCTCAGCCTCCCAGGTAGCTGGGATTACAGGCATGTGCCACCACGCCCGGCTAATTTTTGTATTTTTATTAGAGACAGGGTTTCACCATATTGGTCAGGCTAGTCTCGAACTCCTGACATCAGGTGATCCGCCCACCTCAGCCTTCCAAAGTGCTGGGATTACAGGCATGAGCCACCACGCCTGGCCGTCATCATAGTGGTTTCTAAACATTGTTCTGCAGGCCAGCTGCACCACATCCCCTGGGGAGTTTGGAAAATGTGAACTCCCCAGGCCTACTGTCTGCAGCTCTGATCCAGCGCAGCCAGGTAGGGCCAGGGAATCTTTTTTTTTTTTCTTTTTTCACAAACTCCCCAGGGCAGAACCCACTGGAGATCCTGGTGGTCCTCCCTGTCCCCACTGACCTTTCAGAAGTTCAGCAGCAGGAGCCCTGCAGGCAGCTCCCCTCAGCCTCTCCTTCACAAGGGGACCTCTGCCTAGAGATCCCTCCCTCTCTGAGCACTGCTGGCCGTGGACACAGCTGGGCCCAGAGGTTGAGCCCACTGGATTTAACAGGACTCCTGGGCCAGCCAGAAGCAGCCTGGGCAGGCGACCGATCCCGACTTACTGCTCGGAAGCCACTGGCAAAGTCTGCCTTGCGGTAGAAGGTTCTAAAAGCATCCACACTAGCCCCCCCACATCCCCCACCCTCCCCGCAGTCTTTCAATTTTCTGAGACCCCAGAGGGGTCTCACTCAGTGTCCTTCGGGGTGGTGGGGTCAGACCAGGCAACCACTGGGGACTCTGCTGGTGACAACGCCTTGAGCTCTTCAGCCTCATCATCCTCAGAGGGCAGCTTCTTCCTGCAAAGACACAGATGTGGAAGGGGCCTTCAGCAAAGGCAGAGGCCCCAGGGAGAAGTGTCATGACTTTGATCCCTAAAGATCATCTAGAGCCAATTCCTAGATAGAGGATGGGGGGCGGAGCATGAACTTCTGAGTCCTCATTTGCCTGGAGGGAGGGAAAACGGCAGAAGAGAGGGGCATAGCCACTCTCTAGACCTCAGTCTTCCCATCTGTTAAATGGCTTGGCCTAAAGGTAACAGCATTGGTATTGCACCCCAGTCCTGCCTCTTACCTGTGTGTGGCCTCAGCAAATTACCAAAACATGCTGAGTTACCTCAGTTTCCCCCTCTGTAAAATGGGATTAAATCTACTCAAGTAAATGAGATACTTATCACTTAGTTCTCAGTTTCAACTTCCTTCCCCTCTCCTGCTCCCTGTCTAAAGTCACCCACCTCATTCCCCTCTACTCTCTATCACACCACCTTTTCAGCTATCAGAGAAGCCATGGAATCCAGTCTCCGCCTTACGGTGTGACCTTAGGTAAGTCCCATCCCCTCCTGAGCCCCAGGCTCCCTATCTGAAGAATGAGGACTAAATGATCCTGGGGTCCTCCATCAGTCAGGAAGTCCAAGTCTGCCATGGAGTACCTCATTCTTGAGCCATTAGTGTCTTGGCTTATGGTGTCTAGATCTGAAATCCACCTGAATTTCAGAGACAAGAAGGTTCTTGCCCAACCTGCCTCTGGCCTGACATCAGCAGGTTGGAGCCTGGGTGTCTGACTTGGTGGAAGAGGTGATTTTGACACTATTTTATGTTGGTATCTTAGGGGCTAACTCTCTGGATTTTCCCACCCTCTGTCCCAGCAGAGAGAATGAATTGGTTTACTGAGAAACGCAAAAGCCTGGGAAAGAGGAAAAAAGATCAAGAGAGAGAAATTCCTTAATACCACCAAGAAACCAAGCTCCAGTGTTAGAGAAAGAATCCTCTTTAAGATAGAGTAGAACTAACTGATGTAGAAACACAAAGATTGTGTCTGGAGGACTCCGCCCAGGCCAATATCTACCAATAGGAAGAGCATTTCATATGTCCATGAATGAAGTCCTGGTGGAGAAGAATGGTCATTATTAATGACTTCCATTAGCATTTAAAACACAGAAGGCTGAGTGTTAGCACATGAAACCAAGAGTCTGGGGACATGGGTATGCATGTCACACATGAAAGCACATCAGGATGAGCATCAGATCAGTCAGTAGCATGAAGATGAGAGTTTAGGACTTGACGTGGTTTTGGCTCTGTGACCGCACCAAATCTCATGTTGAATTGTAATCCCCAGTGTTGGCGGTGGGGCTTGGTGGACGTGATTAGATCACGGGGGCGGAGTTCTCATGAATGGTTTGGCAACATCCCCCCTTGGTACTGTATAGTGAGTGAATTCTCATGAAATCTGATTGTTTAAAACTGTGTGGCACCTCCCCACTCTCTCTCAGTTCTGCTCCTGCCATGTGAGAGCCTGTTTCTTTTGCCTTCCACCATGAGTACAAGCTCCCTGAGGCCTCCCCAGAAGTAGATGCTGCCATGCTGCCTGTACAGTCTGTGGAACAATGACCCAATTAAACCTCTTTTCTTTATTTTTTAGTATTTTATTTATTTATTCATTTGAGATGGAGTCTTGCTCTGTCACCCAGGCTGGAGTGCAGTGGCACGATCTCGGCTCACTGCAACCTCCGTCTCCCAGGTTCAAGCAATTCTCATGCCTCAGCCTCCCAAGTAGCTGGGATTATAGGTGTACACCACCACACCAGCTAATTTTTTTTTTTTTTAGTAGAGATGGAGTTTCACCATGTTGGCCAGGCTAGTCTCAATCTCCCAACCTCAGGTGATCCACCTGCCTCAGCCTTCCAAAGTGCTGGGATAACAGGCATGAGCCACCACGCCCGGCCTCTCTCTTTTCTTTATAAATTACCCAGTCTCGGGTATTTCTTTACAACAATGCAAGAATAGACTAATACAGGAATTGAACCTGAGTGTACCAAAAATGGGCATAACATGGTAGTACACACAGCTGAATCAGCAAGAGAAACTTGGCTGTGGGGACATGAAAATAAAATGCAAGTTGGGAGTGGTAGGACTAGAAAACGGTTAGAGGCTGGGCACCTGCTGTGAAGGTCAGGCTGCAATTGCTACACTCAGCAGGGCTCTCCTCAGCCTTGGTGAACACAGGGCAGCCTTGCTTCGGTCTTTAGCTGTGACTCTGTGAAAGTAAAATGGTGGAGCTGACTTCCAGAAAATAGGTCCTGGGACCTTGGTTTCCCAAGGGAAGTTCATGATTACTTTTTTTTTTTTGAGATGGAGTCTCGCTCTGTTGCCCTGGCTGGAATGCAGTGGCGCAAGCTCAGCTCACTGCAACCTCTGCCTCCCGGGTTCAAGCAATTCTCCTGCCTCAGCCTCTTGAGTAGCTGAGATTACAGGCAGGTGCCACCATGCCCAGCTAATTTTCGTATTTTTAGTAGAGACAGGGTTTCACCATATTGGCCAGGCTGGTCTCGAACTCCTGACCTCAGGTGATCTGCCTACCTCAGCCTCCCAAAGTGCTGGGATTACCGGCATGAGCCACCGCCCCCGGCCATGATTACTTTTTACCAGGGCCTTCATTTCCGTGAGGTTTGATCAGAAATGGAATCCACAGGCAGGGAGCTTCACCTTGGGACCAAGCCTGACAAGGATCTTTAGTGATTAATCTGCAATTCCCAGCAGAAGCTGAAAACTCCAGCCAGTCCCCAAATTCCACCCTTTCCCCAGCTGGAGTGTCAGAGGAGGAGCCTCTGAGAACACACCCTGGGGCCCAGCCCAAACCTGCTGACATCTGCACATCTTCCCAAGAAGCTCACCTCAGCAGAGGTTCCTACTCCAGCCCCTGAGGGCCAATCAGAGAGCTGGGCAGGAGGACACTGGGGCAGGGGTCACTGAGGCCATCACAGTGCAGACGCAGCACTCCACTGGGACCCAAACCTGAGTCTGCCAGGGTTCTAGGCCAGCGCTCTTCCCCAGCCTCATCATCTTGACTCAGGATTGTACCACTAGGATTTCTAGGGGGATCCAGAGGGAGGGATGTGTGACATCCACCTTGATTCCAGAAGGCTCTGAAATGATCCTGTTGCCTTCTGCCAACTCGCCGAGGATGGCAAAATTCATGGATTCACTTTTTTCACACTGTAATTAACAAGAACAGCCCCACACAAGAAGATTGGGGCCAAAAACCCCATTGCTGGGACCCAAAGTCCATCCTCCTGTGCCCAGCACAGGGCACTCTCCTGAGCCTAGAAAGTGCACACTGCCGCTGGATGCTGTGGCTTACACCCGTAATCCCAACACTTTGGGAGGCTGAGGCGGGCAGATCACTTGAGGTCAGGAGTTCAAGACCAGCCTGCCCAACATGGTGAAACCTCGTCTCTACTAAAAATACAAAAATTAGCCGGGTATGGTGGCAGGCACCTATAATCCCAGCTACTTGGGAGGCTGAGGTAGGAGAATCGCTTAAATCAGGGAGGCAGAGGTTGCAGTGAGCTGAGACCATTGCATTCCTGCCTGGGCAACAGGCAACAAGAGCACAACTCTATCTCAAAACAAAACAAAACAAAATAAAACAAAACAAAACCCACAAAAGTCAAGCTGCCCCAGAGAAGCCAGAATGAGGACCTAAGCTGGCAGCTTCTGGTCCCCCAGCACTGCCTGTGTCTGGCCCTGTGCTCAGTACCTTAGGGTGCAGTAGCTCGTTAAATTCTCACAATTCTAGTAACCAGGTGGTGTTTCTTTCCTCGTCTTACACGGGGAAAATGGAGGCCTAGGGAGGTTAAATGACCTGCCTTAAGACCCACGTCTTACAAGTGATGCTCTGGGATTCACTCCAAGCCATGGCCTTAAGCTGGAAAGAGGGACTTGCTCAAGCTCCTCTGTGGCTTTTTGGCTCCCAATGTTCATTCTGTCCCTGCTCACAGTCAGCCCCACCGCCCTCGGCCTCTACAGAGAGGCAGGCCTCAGAACTCTCCCCTCTCAGGGCTGGGCTCAGGCAGAGGTTTCCCACCCTGTTTCTCATAGTCACAGTCAACCTGGCACTTGCTTGTTTATTTGGTTACTTGTTCATTGTCTATCTTGGCCCCTCTAGAATGTCAGCCTCATGAGGGCAGGCCCCTGCCAGGCTTCTCCCTCATGTATCCCCAGCACCCAGGGCAGAGCCCAGCACATACAGATGTTCAGTACATGCTTGCGAATGCATGAATGACAGGGACAAGAGGAGCCTCACAGGCCCAGCTCACAAGCAGAAAGCCAGAGGCTTAGATTCCAGCCACACATGATCTTGGTCCCCTCCCTCCCCTAAATATGCCACCCCCTACCCAGCCCAGCCTTCATTGTTTCCCTGCCCATATAAAGGGAACAGGGGTAAATGGAGAGATGTCTACAAGTGGAGCCATTTCTGGATCCCCTAATGGGCTTTGTACATACTTCAGTGAACTAAACATAAGAACTGATGAAGTTGTGAGCTGTACTCCAAGGCTCAGTGAAACTGTGTCTCTTTTCTCTGTGTTAAGACCTCACAGCCCTCAGTTTGCTACACCTAGCCATCTCCACTCTGACAGCCTTCTGACCTCAGCTGAGCAATTACTCAGGAGCTCATGGATGAGAGCAAAAATTAACTAAGAAGAAAGAACCATCTCTACATCCAACCAGTGCAGAAGAGTTACAGACAGCCTCCCTTAGCTTATAAAGCACTGTCCTGCCCTTGGCAGTTTGCCTCCAGCTGTACACACAGCCTTCTCCCAGGCACCTGGCTTGAGTTGTCCAAAAGCAGCTCTAACCACTCAGCAACAAATTTATCTGAAGAGGTGTAAAAATGTGCACCACCTTGACTAGGAGTGTCACTCTTGAGAAAGGAGCCTAAGGGCAGAGAGCGGAAGACCAAACACGTGATCATGGTGCCATTAGGGATAGGGCCCAACAAGAGGGGATTTGTTAAGTTCATTCCGGCACATGGAGCTGGAGGAATACCCAACAGCCATCATAAGTGAGCATTAAGGAGACAGCCCAGCAATATGGAAAAGGGTTCATGGAATGAGACAGCACCGTAAACTGGATCCCTCCTCCAATTAAAACCATTCAAGACCATGGGCCTAACCAAGGCATAGAGGAGAATGCAGAGTAGTAAAAACACCATCTTGGGTGGTGGGATTGTAGATGATTATTTTTCTAGTGTTCTGTGGTGTTTCCATTATATTATCTATTATCTTTTTTTTTTCTTCAGACAGAGTCTCACTCTGTCACCCAGGCTGGAATGCAATGGCATGATCTTGGCTCACTGCAACCGCTGCCTCGCAGGTTCAAACGATTCTCCTGCCTCAGCCTCCTTAGTAGCTGGGACTATAGGCATGTGCCACCATGCCCAGCTAATTTTTGTATTTTTTAGTAGAGACAGGGTTTTTCCATGTTGGCCAGGCTGGTCTCAAACCCCTGACCTCAGGTGATCCATCTGCCTCCGCCTCCCAAAGTGCTGGGATTACAGGCATGAGCCACTATGCCCAGCCCACATTATATTGTCTAATAATACAATGGGTAGATGACACTGAAAGCACAGGTAACAAAAGCAAAACATAGACAAGTGGGATTATCTCCATCTAAAAACTTCTGCATAGAAGGAAACAACAGTGAAAAGAAAGCCTGCAGAATGGGAGAAAATCTTTGAAAATTATATATTTGATAAATAAAAGAAACTCCTACACCTCAATATGAAAACAAACAAACACATTACCTAACTAAAAAATAGGCAAAGAACTCGAATAGACATTTCTCCAAAGAAGACATACAAATGGCTGGCAGGAATATGAAAAGCTACTCGACATCACTAATCGTTGGGTGTATTAGTCCATTTTCACACTGCTATAAAGGACTACCTGAGACTGGATAATTTACAAAGGAAAGAGGTTTAAGTGACTCACAGTTCCGCGTGGCTGGGGAAGCCTCAGGAAACTTACAATCATGGAGGAAAGCAAAGGGGAAGCAAGGCACATCTTACACAGCAGTGAGAGAGAGAGAGAGAGAGGGAGAGAGGAAAAGAGAGAGAGGGAGAGAGAGAGAGACTTTTTCTTTTTAATTTATAAGGAAAAGAGGTTTAATTGACTCACAGTACCACAGGCTTAACAGGAAATATAACTGGGAGGCCTCAGGAAACAAACAATCATGGCAGAAGGCAGATGGAAACAGGTACATCTTCCCATGACAGAGCAGGAGAGAAAGAAAGAGCAAATGCGGAGGGGCCACACAGTTTTAAATGCCAGAAGTGCCACAGTTTTAAACCATTGGATCTCGTGAGAACTCACTGTCATGAGAACAGCATGGGGAAAACCAGTCCCATGATCCATTCACCTCCCACCAGGTCCGTCCCTTGACACATGGGGATTAAAATTCGAGAGGAGATTTGGGTGGGGACACAGAGCCAAACCATATAATCAGAGAAATGCAAATCAAAACCACAATGAGATACCATCTCACACCTGTTAAGATATCCATGATCCAAAAAATAAATAAATAAATAAGACAGAAAATAACAAGCATTGACAAGTATGTGGAGAAATAGGAAAAATGGTATAGTCACTGTGGAAAACAGAATGGTGGTTCCTCAAAATATTATAAATAGGACTGCCATATGATCCAGCAGTCCCTGTTCTGGTTGTTTATCCAAAATAATCAAAATCAGGATCTCAAAGAGATATTTGCACTCCCATGTTCATTGTAACACTATTCACAATGGCCAAGAGATGGAAACAATATAAATGTCCATCAACAGATAAATAAAGAAAATGTGGGCTGTGTTGGCAGCTCACACCTGTAATTCCGGCACTTTGGGAGGCTAAGGCAGGTGGATTGCTCGAGCTCAGGAGTTTGAGACCAGCCTTTGGCAACAAACTAAGACCCCATCTCTACAAAAAATAAAAAATTAGCTGGGTGGTGGCATGTGCCTGTAGTCACAGCTACTCGAGAAGCTGAGAAGGGGAAATGCTTGAGCCTAGGAGGTTGAGGCTGCAGTGGACCAATATCACACCACTGCACTCCAACCTGGGTGACAGAGAGAGATCTTGTCTGAAAGGAAGAAAGCAGGAGAGGGGAGGGAAGGAGAGGGGAAGAGAGGGGAGGGGAGAGAGAGGGGAAGGAGGAGGGGAAGGGGGAGGGGGAAGAAAGGAAGGAAAAAAGAAAAGAAAATAAAAGAACAAAGAAAAGAAAATGTGGCATATCCATACAATGGGACATTACTCAGCCTTAAAAAAGGAAGAAAATCCTGTCACATGCTACAATGTGGATGAATCTTAAGGACATTGTGCCAAGAGAAATAAGCTAGTCCCAAAAAGATAAATATTGCATGATTCCACATATATGAGATATCTAAAGTAGTCAAGCTCATAGAAACAGAAAGTAGAATGAAAAAGTAGAATGGTGGCTGCCGGGGCTGGGGTGGGGGTGAAGGGAAGAATAGGGAGTTGCTGTTCAATGAGTATAGAGCTTCAGTCATGCAAGACGAAAAATTCTAGAGATGTGCTGTAAATAATGTGCATATAGGTAACAATACTGTACTGTACACTTAAAATTTAAGAGTTTTTTTTTTAAAAAAGACTTGGTGAGTTATAATATGCAAGTTTTAATAAATAGCATCCTATCAAAAATGAAATAAAATAAAATGTGGAGGTAGAAATTAATTCTGTAACATTTATTATGTATTACTATATTATTTATTTATTTTAAATTTAAAAAGTTTTTTTTTTTTATTTTTTGAGACAGAGTCTTGCTCTGTTGCCCAGGCTGCAGTGCAATGGCACAATCTCAGTTCACTGCCACATCCCAGGCTCAAGCAATTGTCATGCCTCAGCCTCCCGAGTAGCTGGGATTACAGGAGTGAGCCACTATGCCTAGCTAATTTTTTTGTATTTTTAGGAAAGACGGGGTTTCGCTATGTTGGCCAGGCTGGTCTTAAACTCCTGGCCTCAAACGATCCACCCACCTCAGCCTCGCAAAGCGCTGGCATTACAGGCAGTAGCCACCGTGCCTCGCTATTACTATATTATTTATTATATTACTCCTTCTAACTTATAGCTGAGGGCATTTGGGACAGGGCCTCCCATGAGAGCTTTTATAAGAGACCTAATTCAGGAGTTAGGAAAACGAGGAAGGGGCATCATAGTCCCACTTCTGACACCAACTCGCTGTGTGATTTTAGTCCAGCTGCTTCTCCCTCTGGCCTCAGTCTCTTCATCTGCCAAATAAACAGGTGGCACAGTGCCGAGAAAAGCCCAAGAGAAGCATAAAAGGTAACCTGTGTGTCCCCGAGGCTGAGCTTGGGACTATAAGGGTGTCTGATTTGGCAGGAGACGGTGGCGGCAACACGGTTGAGGGTGGATTCTCTTCTGCCATGAGGGGGCAGCTATCAGCATCAGTATCTTCCACCTGCACTTCTGGGTGCTGTTTCGTGGCAGGCACTGGGGGAGAGGAAGGAGAGGAGAAAGTCAGAGAGAGACAAAAGCTGGGTCCCAGGAGTCCAGCTGTGTTCTTGAAGAAAACCAGAGAAAGCATGTTTGGAGGGGACTCTGATAGCTTCACTTCCCAATGGGGCACACAGAAAAGCTCCATGCAGGGGGTACAGGAACGTGGTGCCTGGGGTCCTCTGAGGGTCACAGCCACCAGCCCAGGAGCCACGAAAGAAGCCACAAAGCCACAGAAACCACGGGAGCTCCCCTACACAGCCTGGAGCCCAGCTCTCCTAGCTCTCAAAGCCCAGTTTGGTTTCCCTGCACTTGAGCAAGCTCCAAGAGCTGAGGCAGTGGCAGCCCCCAGAGAGGACACAGGAGAGCCAGAGTCCTGGCGCCTGGCCTAGCACAGCCTGAGTCAGCTGCTTCCCCTCTCTGAGCTTCAGTTTCCCCACCCCAAGTTAGGGTGACCATGCCTTCCCAGGCCTGTGGGGAGGAGCCAGAAGGCACAAGTACTCACATTCTTAAAGATTCTTTTTTTTTTTTTTTTTTTTGAGTCGGAGTCTCGCTCTGTCTCCCAGGCTGGAGTGCAGTGGTGCAATCTCAGTTCACCCCAAGCTCCTTCTCCTGGGTTCATGCCATTCTCCTGCCTCAGCCTCCCGAGTAGCTGGGACTACAGGCTCCCGCCACCACGCCCGGCTAGTTTTTGTTTTGTTTTGTTTTGTTTTTTTGAGACAGAGTCTTGCTCTGTCACCCAGGCTGGAGTGCAGTGGCACAGTCTCGGCTCATTGCAAGCTCCGCCTCCCAGGGTTCATGCCATTCTCCTGCCTCAGCCTCCCAATTAGCTGCGAATACAGGCACCTGCCACCACGCCCGGCTAATTTTTTGTATTTTTAGTAGAGACCGGGTTTCACCGTGTTAGCCAGGATGGTCTCGATCTCCTGACCTCGTGATCCACCTGCCTCGGCCTCCCAAAGTTGCTGGGATTACAGGTGTGAGCCACTGCACCCAGCCAAGTCCTCACATTCTTTTTAAAAATTATTTTATTTGTTTGCTTTTGAGAAGGGGGGGCGGGTCTCACTCTGTCACCCAGGCTGGAGTGCAGTGGCACGATTGCAGCTCACTGCAACCTCTGCCTCCTGCAACCTCTGCCTCCCAGACTCAAGTGATCTTCCCGGCAGCCTCCCGAGTAGCTGGGACCACAGACGCACACCACCATGCTCGGCTAATTTTTGTGTTTGTGTAGAGATGAGGTCTCACCATGTTGCCCAGGCTGGTCTCGAACTCCTGAGCTCAGGTGATCCACCTACCTTGGCCTCCCAAAGTGCTGGGATTACAGGCGTGAGCCACTGGGCCCGGCTGGCCTCACATTCTTGAAGAGCATCAAATGGAGACATTTGCAGGGTCCCTCCAATCAAGGGTAACAGACTGTGTAGTGTGTGCTACTTCCTATTTGGATAACTGCTTGGTTATGTCCTTGTTCTTGTACATGCCAGGGGCCCCCAAATTCATCAGCTAGCCTGACTCTGGACCTCTGAGAGGCCCTGTACTGTGTCCCACATTCTGAGAATCAGGTCCTCTCCAGGGAGCCTGGACGTGGCCCTACCTTGGGCTCCATCACCCACCTCAGGGACTGCAGGGACAGGTCTGCCCCAAGTCCAAGCTCAGAGGATACTGAGAGGCTGGGATAGTATTCCTCCTTCTCCCCTACACCTAGGGGGGTCTACCCAATAGCAGCTGGGCACAGGTGTGGGCACCAGCAAGGCAGGCAGGGATACACCCCCCAAAAGCGGGAAGCAGGGAGATTTTGAAATAATTATATATGTGCTTTTTGTTTCTTTTTCTTTCTTTTCTTTTCTTTTTTTTTTTTTTTTGAGATGGAGTCTCGCTCTGTCGCCTAGGCTGGAGTATAGTGGTGTGATCTCGGCTCACTGCAACCTCTGCCTCCCAGGTTCAAGCCATTCTCCTGCCTCAGACTCCTGAGTAGCTGGGATTACAGGCCCCTGCCACCACGCCTGGCTAATTTTTGTATTTTTAGTGGAGACGGGGTTTCACCATGTTGTCCAGGCTGGTCTTGAACTCCTGATCTCAGGTGATCTGCCGGCCTTGGCCTCCCAAAGTGCTGGGATTACAGGCATGAGCCACCGCACCCAGCCGATATGGGGTTTTTTTCAAATGGCCTTTATAAGAAAAGCCGGCACTCTGTTAAATTGCTTACACTTACTCTATAGTTTAATGGAGTGAACCCTAAATCCTCTGGAGAAGAGGATGAGCAGGAATGGAGAAGTTGTTAAAAATGTAAAGGGGGCCAGGCACAGTTGCTCATGCCTGTAATCCCAGCACTTTGGAAGGCTGAGGTGGAAGGATCCCTTAAGTTCAAGAGCAGCCTGAGCAACATAGCAAAACCCCACCTCTACAAAAAAATTCAAAAATCGGCTGGTCACAGTGTTCCAGCTACTTGGGAGGCTGAGGTTGGAGGATAGGTTGAACCTGGGAGGTAGAACCTGCAATGAGTCAAGATCGCGCCTACTACACTCCAGCCTTAGCGAAAGAGCGAGACCCTGTCTCACAAAATAATAAAAAATAAAATAAAATGGAAGTAATGTTCTTACTACAGCTTCTCATTACCTTGTCTGTAGCATCTAGAATCATCATGTACTCTAGCACAGCTAGATCAGCCCCCTGTGTCAATGTGTCCCCGGGAACATTTTCCCAAGTGTGGGGCTCCCAGAGACTGGGGAGGACACGAGATGATCTCAGATGGTACAGACAAGGCAAAGTATAACCTAGAATAAGAATGTTACTCCTGGTCGGGCGCAGCAGCTCACGCCTGTAATTCCAGCACTTTGGGAGGCTGAGGCAGGAGGATGACCTGAAGTTAGGAGTTTGAGGCCAGCCTGGCCAACATGGAGAAACTCCATCTCTACTAAAAATACAAAAATTCCCCAGGCCTGGTGGCATGTGCCTATAATCCCAGCTACTCAGGAGGCTGAGACAGGTGAATGGCGTGAACCCGGGAGGCGGAGCTTGCAGTGAGCTGAGATTGCGCCACTGCACTTCAGCCTGGGTGGCAAAGCCAGATTCTGTCTCAAAAAAAAAAAAAAAAGCAGCAGTGGTTGCAGTGAGCCAAGATCGCGCCACTGCACTCCAGCCTGGGCAACAGAGCAAGACTCCATCTCAAAAAAAAAAAAAAAAAGTTACACCCTCTTTTAGTGAATACCCAGAGAGGAAGTCTCGGGTCGGTGCCACTGTGGCCTTAGAGCCTCTCTCACACAGCCTAATCCCACTTGTGGCTAACAGAGCAGGCCCAGCTTCGAGCCTGCAGCAGGCCCATCCGTCTCATTAGAAAACAGCAACACCATTGTGTTTTCAGTGTATTTGAGGTTATTTTTATTTATGCCTCTGTTTATGGCAAGCAATGCTGGTTTTCCATTTGAATAGTAATAAAGTTTTCCTGTTTAAATATACTTAATTAAATAAAAAAGAGAATCCACTGAAAGAAAAATAGTAAGCAAATAAAATTAGAATTGAGGCCGGGCACAGTGGCTCATGCCTGTACTCCCAGCACTTTGGGAGGCTGAGGTGGGCAAATCACCTGAGGTCAGGAGTTCAAGACCAGCCTGACCAACATGGCAAAACCCTGTCTCTACTAAAAATACAAAAATTAGCCCGGAAAGGTGGTGCACACCTGTGGTCCCAGCTACTCGGGAGGCGGATGTTGCAGTGAGCCGAGATGGTGCCACAACACTCCAGCCCGAGCAACAGAGCAAGACTCCGTCCCCCCCCAAAAAAAAATAGAATTGGTACAGATTTAGCAGTTATCAGGGAGTGGCCTGTGGCGGTGGGAGCTGGGGGATGCTTTGGGGTCTTTTTGCTTTGTTTCCTTTTTCTTTTTTTTTTTAAGCAATTCAGCATCCTCAATGATAGGGGTGGGCTGCTTTGGAGTAGTAGATTCAAGGCTTGCCTACCAGAAGATGGAGGCCGGGGTGGCACCCCTTACTGTTGGATGACCTCCATGCCACCTCATCTCCTCTCTGTGCCCACCTCAAGCCAGGGAGAGGAGAGAAGGACAACAGTGGACGTCTTCCCGTGAAATGTTCTGTCCTGCCTGGTTGGACTGATCTCAGAGGCAGCTCTGCACCGTGTCAACCACAAATAAACAAACAAGCCAATCAAAAGGGCAAGCAGGCATGTCTGGCTTGGGTTAAGTCAGAAAGTGACAGGGGTTAGTCCAGGGTGCCAGTATGTTCCTGAGCTCTTTGTCATCAGGGAGTGAGCAGTAGCAGCCCAAAGGCCACTACGGGGACCTTGTCACAATCAATGGATCCAGACAGCCCTCCCTCCACCCTAGCCTCTGAGGATGACTATCTGCACCTGGAGCTTCTTTCCTGAAATGGAATTTGCTGAGCAGCAAACTGTCAAGGTCAGTGGGTTCTGTCTGCAATCAGCACCCACATTACTCTTCTATTCCATTTCCCTCCTTTCACTCCCCTCCACTCCGATCCCAGACTCCCTGTCCAAGCCTCTCGGCCTAGAGATCTGAGCAAGTGACTTGTTTAAACTAAGGTTTATAAGGTTTTACCTGTATAAAAACAATGTGCCTAAAGAAAGGAATATATGTTTAACCCAAAGAAATGAATTGCTGGCCAGGCACAGTGGCTTATGCCTGTAATCCCAGCACTTTGGGAGGCCGAGGTGGGCAGATCATTTGATATCAGGAGTTTGAGACCAGCCTGGCCAACATAGCAAAACCCCGTCTCTACTAAAATACAAAAAGTAGTCAGGCGTGATGGCGTATGCCTGTAATCCCAGCTACTCGGGAGGCTGAGGCACAAGAATTGCTGGGAGGCAGAGGTTGCAGTGAACTGAGATCATGTCACTGCATTCCAGCCTGGGTGACAGAGAGAGACTCTGTCTCAAAAAACAAACAAACAAAAAAAAAACAAAAGAAAAGAGAGAAAGAGGAAGAGAAAGAGAGAGAAAAAAATAAATGAATTGCTAATTGTGGTGGAATTTTAGGCAGGAAGAGAAGGGGGCTACAACCCCTCAAGTCACTATCACAAAGCAGGATGAAGGTATTGATCGGCAGAGGAAAAGGAGATGGTTTTCCATAAGCAACTAGTGGTCCACACTATGACCACAGCACCCAGGCAGGAAGACAGCCCCAGCCATGCAGAAGCACACGCCACAGATATGAGAATGCTGGGTGGGCAAGATCGTGCTACCTAGTTGGCGGATGGAGCTCCTGGTCTCCTTGGCGAAGCTGGAGTTGGACAAGCTGGTTCTCCGGGAGGTGAGGACAGGGATGCGGGTGATTGGGATGCGGTAGCTGGGCACATTAGGGAGATGCTCTACCAGGTTTTGGAGGGCAGAGGCAGAGGCCACCTGGCCAGGTATCTGGTCCTGGACTAGGCAATTCAGCTCCATGTTCTGACATGGTGTAGCCATGGTGCTGGGGCCAGAGAGTCTCAGGCAGAGGAGTGACCCTGGGGACTGCAATTAGGAGCACAGAGTTGGAGGAGACAATAGGTGGGGGTCCTCCCACCAGCCTAACACGACCAGCCTGGTGCCTACCTGCATTTTCAGCAGTGCTACCCAAAGCCAGAAGCATCGCTCTTGTCCCTGGAGTTCAACGTCTAATGTGTCATCAGGTCATGTGGCTGGCCCACCCAGGAGCACCGAGGGACAGCCCAGGAGGCCCCCAACTTCCCATGCTCCCTCCACTTACCAACCACCGGCAGCATTTCCCAAAAATATTAGAATCAAAGAACCCAGAACTCACAGAATCTCAGATTCTTAGACCCAAGAAACCCAGGACTCGAACATTCTTAGCCTGGTAGAATTTTCCAGTCCAAAGCAGCCCTGGAGGTCAACTAATTTCACTTCCAACCAGAAGCAGTAACTCTTCCTATGGCCCTGGTTCCCCAACTGGGCTGTGCATTGGAATCACCTGGGAAGGTTTGACAATTTCTGTTACCCAGGCCCATTCCCAGAGATTCTGACTTAATGGCTGGGATGAGGCCTGGCAGCAGGAATTTTTAAATCTCCCCAGGTGATTCCAATGGGCTGTCAGGTTTGAGGACCAGGGCTCAAGGCTATTGCCCCTCAAACACAAATGTGCAGACAAATCACCAGGAGATCTTGTTACCACGAGGAGTCTGATTTAGCAGGTCTGGATCGCGGCCCAAGTTACTCATTTCTAACCAGCTCCTGGGTTACGCCAAAGCTGCTGGGTCTAGGTCCATACTTTTGAGTGCAAATGGCTATGCCTCAGCATTTCTCAGAGTGTGGGTCCCAGACCACCTGCTTCCAAATCACCTGGGAAGGGGCAGAACCCACCCCACTGAACCAAGCCTGCACCTGTTTGCTCCTGGTCTTTTTCATCCATGTGGGGACCCAGCCCCAGGCCTGGACTTAGTAGGAATTCCTATAAATATGTGTTGAAGTTAACAGAGAACACTTTTCAAAGACCAAGTAGGGAGCAAGCTCAGGATACCCAGGGTTAGGACACTTGGGTCCAGTCCCATTTCAACCACTCGCTGGCCGAGACACATCCTCGTCCCAATATTGACTCCTCCCTCAGTGCCAGCCACAGTTTGGGGTGCCTTGGACACATTGTCTCCCCTACTCTGCCCAGCAACCTGTGAGCTAGGTACTATTATTGCCCCTTTTTTCTTGATTTGGAAGTCATGGTTCAGACAGGTCACAGAACTGGCTCTGGGTCACACAGCAAGGAAGAGAGAAAGGAGCCAGGAGTGAAATGCAGGTCTGTGCCTTGACCTCTTGGCCAAATCCGCACACACAGAGCCTCAGTTTTCTCATCTGTAAAATGGTCTGTCTGCCTCACAGAGCGGCTGAAGACCCATTGCGTGGGGAATGTGGAGTGTAAGGCACGCAACACCTGCCGGCCAGGGGTTGGGTCCCACCTGTCCCAGCTCCAGGGTCCAGCTGTTGCTGGACTCCTTGGGACTCTTTCTCCGCCATTGCTTGAGTTCTCAGGATTGAGGGCAGGGTGGTAAATCACAGCAAAATGTATGTGCTGGGTACAGCTGGAGATCAGGAAAAGCTCATAAAGAGACATGGAGTCCAGGACACTCTGTTAGGAAGTTCTGGTTCCAGTTTTCACTCAGCTATGTGATGTCTGAGCCAAACCCTCACTGGGCGGTAGCCCAAGAGCTGCATCCTCATTGAGCGGAAGTGGCAGGAGAGGCTGGCAGGAGGGACTGGCTGGGAGGGGCTGGTTAGGAGGGGCCTGCAGGAGGGGCTGGCAGGGAGAGGCTGGAAGGAAGGAGTTGGCTGGGATCGGGATTTCCCCGGCGCCACTGGGAGTCCTGGGCCTCAGTGAAATTCCTTAGAACCTTTGAGATGTATCAGTAGGCTCTGATAATGTGGCCCCAAGACACCAAGGATGGGATTTTCCTGAAGACAGGGTGGCTGAGGGGGCAATGGGGGGAAGGAGATGGAGGGAGAGGAGGAGGGGTTGCCCCTGCACGAAGGCTGCCTCCAGCCTAAAAGGACCTCAGACATTCTTGCGCAACCCATCACCACCACCACCACACCTACCTCCTGAACTGGCAGCCTCGGCCTCAGCCTCAGGCTCCTCCTTGGTCTCCGCCCAGTCCTGGGGCTCCTTTTCAGCCTCCTCTTCAGCCACCTCCTCGGCCTCCTCCTTGGCCTTCTCTTCAGCCTCCTTCTTGGCCTCCTCCCCAACTTCCTCCCACAGCTTCTGCAGAGAATAAAGTGAAAACAGAAACTGTGACCATCAGCCCCCAGCCCTAGTCTCAGCAGCTCCTGTTAGATCTGCCTTCAGAAGTCCACATGGGCCCAGTTCTGCTTCTTGCCCTGCCCAGCCAGTCAGGTCCTGCCAGCCCACCTTCTGGGCATCCTGGGAGTAGCCTACAACCTGTAGAGGGCAGTGCACCCAGGACCTACGGGTCCTAACAGCTGGACGTGTCACCTGTGATGAGGGACACTCGCAGCCTGGCACATGGGGGAACAAAGCATCGACAGCACCACTCTTCACAGTGTGCAAGCCCTTTTGGGTCCTCCTACAGGCCCAAGGGAGGCGTCTGTAGCCCCCTCGTGCACAGGTGGCCACTGGGACCCAGAGTGGGGAGGCGACTTGCCCCAAGCCAGGCACCCACAGGAGGACTCGAGCTGGGTCCACCCGTCTCCCCACCCACGGCCTGGGCCGCTATCTGACCCCTGCCAAGAGGGGGCCTCGCAGGACCCGCCACCCTGCTCCCTCTGTCCTGCGGGCATCTTACCAGCCAAAACTCCCCCTGTAAGCAAAGTGGACAAGGTCCCCATCCTTCCACCAATGCCAAGCCAGGCCTCAGAGGTGCCAGTGCCTGGTGCTTCTCATACCTGATCTGAAGTGCTCTGGGGCCGGGTCCCGTCTTCTTCACTCTGGCCCACGCCCACCTGCGACACCACACAGCTATCCAGCAGCACCCTGTGACCCGGGGCGGGGTGGGGAGGATAAAAGGACTGGGTTAGGGTGTTAAAGGTTTCCCCAGCCCTGCTGAGGGCCACGCTCTGTGCCAGGAGCGGAGGGTACAGAGATGCCCAAGAACCAGTCTCAACCTCAGGAGCCTCCAGGGCAGTGTCCTACTAACAATCACCCCATCTGAGACATGCACTCAGCAAGGCACTGTGAAGGACATGCCACAACTCTGCTAGGAAGGAGGGCTTCCTAGAGGAGGTGGCCTGTAAGCTGAGCCTCCAGGATGATGATTTTACCACAAAGAATGGTGGGGAGGAAAAGGTTGTCCAGGAAATGAGAACAACATGTGCGAGAAATGCATGGAGGACGGTTGGAGGAGCTGTCATCTGGGGTCTCCCAGTCTCCAGGCAATCTTGGTGATGGGTAGAGCATGACAAAAGTGAGGCCCAGAGAGGTGAAGTGACCTGGCAAAATCACACAGCAAATTGTCCCAAACCACACAAACCTCAAACCCAGGCCCTGGTTCTTCCCATGCCATGAGATCAGAGCCACTGCAACTGCTGAAGTTTTCATGGGTGCCGGGCCCAAGCAGCAGGCATACATAAGTGATAGGGCCAGGGGTGAGGGTGCAGTGGGCAGGGAGGGCTGTGGCAAATTAGCGAACCCATGTCCATTTGAAGGCAGCAACCCCACTCCGCTGGAAAAGGGGGCCCAGGTGGCCAGATCATTCCATTTTCAAACAGAGCCTGAAATATATGTTTCTAAGGTAAAGTTGTCTGATATTTAGATGCTGATAATTCAAATTAATATATCTTTATTAATATGTAGTAGCCAAAAGAGCCCATCTCCAGGCTAAATTAGATGTCCGTGTGCGACCTCTGGGTTAAAATGATGACTCAGGACCAGGGACTAATGTGATTTTTGTAGTTAGGATTAGTTCCTGCTTCCTAACACCCCCTCCCCACCCCTCAGACTCCTGTCATCCAGGGGTTCACAGAGGATGCTCTGGGGTGTCTGCCACCCAGGAAACTTGAATGCATCATTCTCTACCCAGAGGGCCAAGTCTCAGCCCTCCTGAGCAAGGACGGTGGGGCAGGAAGGTGGAGACGGGATTGTTGCCTAGTCGGTCTGGAGCCAGCCGCTTGGCAGCAGAAATCAGTCGGTAATCACATTGCCACAGCGGCTCCTGGGCTGCGTGCCAGGCAGTCTGCATGAAAAGTCTCCCCAGATCCTCCTCCAAATTACCTTGAGAAATCTATAAACGCGGTACACCACAGCAACAAAATCATATGATCATCTCAATAGATGCAGAAAAAGTAATTGACAACATTCAACATCATTCCATGATCAAATCTTTCAACCAATTACATATAGAAGAAATGGACCGCAATACAATAAAGGTCATATGTGACAAGCCCGCAGCTGACATCATACCTAATGGTGAAAAGCTGAAAGCTTTTCCTTTAAGATCAAGAACAAGACAAGCATACCCACCCTCACTAGTTATTTATTTTTCTTTTCCTTTTTATTTATTTATTTATTTATTCATTTATTTTTGAGACAGGGTCTTACTCTGTCACCAAGGCTGGAGTACAATGGCATGATCATGGCTCACTACAGCCTCAACCTCCCAGGCTCAAGCCATCCTCCTGCTTCAGCCTCCCGAGTAGCTGGGACTACAGGCATGCTCCACCACTCCTGGCTATTTTTGTTTTTGTTTGGTTTGGTTTGGTTTGGTTTGGTATTTTTAGTAGAGATAGGGTCTTGCTACATTGCCCAGGCTGGTCTCAAACTCCTGGGCTCAAGTGATCCTCCCACCTTGGTCTCCCAAAGTGCTAGGATTATAGGTGTGACCCACCACGCCTGGCCCACTCTCACCACTTCTATTCAATGTACTATAAGAGGTCCTGGCTAGAGCAATTAGGCAAGAGGAAGAAATGAAAGGCATCCAAATTGGAAGGGAAGAAATTAAATTGTTCCTCTTTGCAGATAATTTGATCTTATATATAAAAAAAAACCCTAAAGATTCCACCAAAAAACTGTTAGAACTGATAAGCCAATTCAGTAAAGTTGCAGGATATAAAATCAACATAGAAAATTCAGTAGCATTTCAATATATTAACAATGAACTATCTGAAAAAGAAATGAAACAACCCAATTTACAATAGCTATAAAATAAAATAAAATGCTTAGGAATAAATTTAATCAAGAAGGTGACAGAACCATATGCTGAAAACTATAAAACATCGACGAAAGAAACTCAAGAAGATGGCTGGATGTGGTGGCTCATGCCTGTAATCTCGGCATTTTGAGAGGCTGAGATGGGAGGATTGCTTGAGTGCAGGAGTTCGAGACCAGCCTGAACAACACGGCAAAATCCCAACTCTATAAGATACAAAAACTAGCTGGGTGTGGTGGCATGTGCCTGTGGTCCAAGCTACTTGGAAGGCTGAGGTGGGAGGATTGCTTGAGCCTGGGAGGTGGAGGCTGCAGTGAGCCGTGATTGCACCACTGTACTCCAGCCTGGGCAACAGAGCAAGACCCTGTCTCAAAAAAAAAAAAAAACCCTACCCACATTGATTGAACACTACTTAAATGTAAAATCTGAAACTATAAAACCAATATATAAAATATAGGGGAAAAACCCTATGATATTGGTCTAAGCAATGATTTTTAAAAATATGAACCCAAGAGCACAGGCAATGAAAGCAAAAATATACAAAATGGGATTACATCAAACTAAAAAGCTTCTGCACAGCCAAGGAAACAATCAACATAGTGAAGAAACACCCTACAGAACGGGAGAAAATACTTGCAAACCGTAAGTCAAATAAGGGGTTAATATCCAAAATATATAAGAAACTCAACTCAATTGTAAGGAAAAAAACTGATTTTAAAAAATGGGCAAAGAATCTGAATAGACATTCCTCGGTGTCTCAAAAGATGACATACAAATGGCCAACAGGTATATGAAAAGATGCTTAACATCACTAATCATCAGAGAAATGCAAATCAAAACCGCAATGAAATATTAACTTCTCACCTGTTAGAATGGCAATTATCAAAAAAACAAGATAGGCCGGGTGCAGTGGCTCACACCTGTAATCCAAGCACTTTGGGAAGCCGAGGTGGGTGGATCATGAGGTCAGGAGTTCGAGACCAGCCTGGCCAACATTGTGAAACCCTGTCTCTACTAAAAATACAAAAATTAGGCGGGCATGGCAGCACACTTCTGTAATCCCAGCTACTTGGCAGGCTGAGGCAGGAGAATTGCTTGAACCCAGGAGGCGGAGGTTGCAGTGAACTGAGATTGCACCATTGCACTCCAGCTGTCTGTCGCCCTGCCCCCACCCGAAAAAAGACAAGATAGCAAGTGTTGGTGAGGATGCAGTGGAAAGGGAACACTTACACACTGTTGGTGGGATTGTAAATTCACACAGCCATTATGGAAAAGAATACGGAAGTTCCACCAAAAGTTAAAAATGGAACTACCATATGATTCAGCTGTTGGGTACAGATCCAAGGGAAATGAAAACAGTACGTTGAAGAGGTGTCTGCACTCCCATCATTGCAGCATTAATTTTTTTTTTTTCAAGACAGAGTCTCGCTGTGTTGCCCAGGCTGGAGTGCAATGACGCGATCTCAGCTCACTGCAACCTCAGCCTCCCGAGTTCAAGTGAGTCTCCTGCCTCAGCCTCCCGAGTAGCTGGGAGTACAGGCCCATGTTACCACACCCGGCTAATTTTTGTATTTTTAGTAGAGTCGGGGTTTCACCATGTTGGCCAGGCTGGTCTTGAACTCCTGACCTCAGGTGATCCACCTGCCTCAGCCTCCCAAGTGTCTATCAACAGATGAGTGGATCAAGGAAATGTCCTATATATACACAATAGAATTCAGCCTTTAAGATGAAGGAAATTTTGTCATTTGTGAACCTTGAGGACATTATGTTAAGTGAAATAAGCTAAACACAGAAAGACACATACCATATGATCTCACTTATACGTGGAGTGTAAAAAAGTTGAACTCACAGAAGGAGAGAATAGAATGGTAGTTACCAGGGGCTGGGGAGGGGTGAGAGGTGGGGAGATAGATGTTGGTTAAAGGGTACAAAGATTCAGCTAGATAGGAAGCACAAATGTGAGAGATCTATTATACAGCCTGTGACTCTAGTTAATAGCAATGTATTTGTAAAAATTGTTAAGAGTAGATCTAAACTGTTCTCACCACAAAAAATGATGAACATATGAGGAAATGTGTATGTTAATTAGCTCAATTTAGCCATTCCACAATGTATACATAATTCAAAACAACAATTATACACAAAAATATATACAATTTATGTCAATTGAAAAAATAATTAGGCTGGGCACGGTGGCTCATGCCTGTAATCCCAGCACTTCGGGAGGTCGAGGTGGGCGGATCACTTGAGGTCAGAAGTTTGAGACCAGCCTGGCCAATTTGGCAAAACCCGCCTCTACTAAAAATACAAAAATTAGCCAGGCACAGTGGTACATGCCTGTAATCCCAGCTACTCAGGAGGCTGAGGCAGGAGAATCGCTTGAACCCAGGAGGCAGAGATTGCAGTGAGCCAGTATCATGCCACTCCACTCCCTGGGCAACAGAGCGAGACTCTGTCTTTAAAAAAAAAAAAAAAAAAAAAACAAGAAAAGAAAAAATAATTAACTTTTTAAAAGAGCCTAGGGAAAAAAAAACTCAAATCTCACATAACCCTGACAGATCGTAACTGTTACTGCTCACATGCAAGCTGAGAAAACAGAGGCTCAGAGAGTTTCGATGGCCAATCCACGGTCATACCGCCTGTGCAAGGTGGGCCTGGATAAGATACTGCATCACTGACCCCAAGGCCACGTGCTTAATGCTCTGTTTCACTGCCTGCCTCTGAGTATTTTGGAGACTGTGCCTTCTACACTAAGGAGAAGTCAGCCTTGCACAAATGGGTTAAAGACAGGTCTCCGGCTGCAAGGGGGATGACTGGATGACTTTCCTGAAATAGATACAGGTTCTGTCTCGGCTCTCTGCCTACAGCACAAGGCTCAGAAAATGAACTGCCCACAGGCCCAGCCAGAGGCTTCCTGGGGTCCTGCTTATTCCAGTGTCAGACCAGAAGCCCCTGTATGGCCTTGGGCAAGTCACCTCGAAGCCCTTGGGCTGCCTCTGTCTGCTCATCTGTCAAATGGGCAGGATTTGCCTGGCCTGTGCAGCCTGACCTATTTGAGTAAGATCAGAAGGGCCAATGAGAATCTCACAGAAAAGTCAAAAAAAGACTGCCAGATGTTGTTCTGGTGATTCTTCTGGATTCTTCATCACTAAACATTGGGAGCAGCTTTCCTTGTCTGTAATGCCAAGAATCCCAGCTCTACGCTTACTGGCAGGGCTCTGTCTCTGAACCTCAGTTCTCTCATCTGTGAAATGGGATGAGAGAATAATAGAATCTGCCATTCAGGCTGCCTTAGCCGTGAGTGGCATGGAAAAAAATCGTAAGTCAAATGGAGGCCATTATTATTGTTCTTGTCATTATTATTATTAATCCCAGAGGAGGCGGTGATCTGCAGGGTTATGAAATCACCCACGTGGATTGAGAAACCTTTTGCACAAAAATCCCCAGCTATCAAAACACCTAAACAGCCCAGTGGTGGCGCTGTCAGCATCACCGGGGGCTGTCTAGGGGCCATGTTACCAAAGCCGTATGGCCCCTGCTTGACAGGGTGCCCAGTGCCTGCCAAGGCCCCCTCTTGTGCAGCCCAGAAGCAGCAAGCCATCAACTTCCAGAAAGTTCCCAAGTCCCAGGGATTTCCAAGCAAAGGAACAGACAGATTGGCTGAGGTTGGCTTCCTGGAGACACCCTCCGGCTTTCCAAGTTTAAGATCCAGGGAGCAGCAGTGGCAGCCAGCTCTCAAAAGCTTACCCGTCCACTCCTCCCGCCTTGTGCCATCCCGCAGGCCGTGCCCCAACATTAAGGTCCTCACTGTCACCTTCAGCAGACTGTCCACCTGAAATCCCAGCCCCAAAAGCAGGAAGGAGGGGAGCCTTAGGGAGAGGCAGCCACCTACTTGGATCTCTCGGTCGGGACCAGTCAGGATGCCCATGGTGCAGGGGTTCAGCTGGGGGCTGTGGCGTTCATCCCAAGCCTGGGTCGGTGCATGCAAGTGGGAGCCCAGCTCCCGAGCCAGGGTGGCTCCAGTGGCAGAGGAGCCAGCAATCCTTCCTGCTTCTAATCAGATTGAGGAGATGTGCAGGGAATGGCAGAAGCATCCCCAGGGAGGCCAGGTGGAACCAAAAGGCCTCGGTTGCTAGGGAAAGCTGAGCTGTTGCCTGTAGATACCGGGTCTCTAGGCGACCATCTGCCCGTTACCAGGCCCTCACATCATCAGTAACCTGTGTCTCTGCAAAGCTGGCCAAGAGCATCCTTCCCCAGCCATTGACAGCCCAGTTTTTCTTGCCCTGGGCCTCACACCCTCTGGCCCTGGCCCTGTGATCACCAACTCTGTCACTCCCTTGTCCCTCCCTGGGCCTGGAGCCCAAAAGTTCCCCAAGTTCAAAACTCTGGGTAAACATTTGTATGAAGATGTTCACGCCTGCAGCATCTGCCGGTAACTCTGGATGCATGTGCATTTGTGCAAGGCTGTCACGTGGATGTGTGCAAGTATGTACATGTGTGCCTGTGTGCACACACATGTATGAATATGTATGAATGTGCTGCCTGTGCTTGTGCATATATGAAGCATGTGTGTGGGTATACGTGTGTGCATGCCTGTACATGTAAGTGTGTGCATAACCCAGCATGTATGTCTGTGTTGGTGTGCTGGTGCATATGGGTATAGTGCAGATATGTGTGTGTGTGCCCATGTGTACTGCATTCTGAGAACATGTGTATAGTTAGTACACATCTGCACATGCATGTATGTGAGCATAGTTGATCACTGGCCTTCAAAGGGTGTCTCAGATCCAGAGCAGTGGCAAATACAGGGGTTTTCCAGCCTGGGTGTTAGGTGTACAAGTTCAGCAAGGCAGCCACTTGTAGCTATACACCCCACACAGAAGCACAGCTCCATAGAAAGCAGAGGGCAAACAAGCTGCTCTAATGAAACCAGGCAGCAGCTAAGTTCCTCATCTTGCTGGGACTGCAGGGTGGCTCAGAAGGCAGAATTAGGACAAGTCAGGAAGGGACAGAAGCCATAGGGAAGCAGGCTTAGTTTTGGTCTAAGAAATAATTTCACAAGTCAGCGGGGCATATGGATGACATGGACAGCCTTTGAGAGGTTGTGAGCTCCCCGTCATTGGAGGTAAGCAAGTAGAGGCTGTGTGGCCTCCTGTCAAGGATGGAAAGAGTCTATGTGAACTGAGTAAGGATGGACTAAAAGCAGCTGACACTGAACAGGCTTCCAGCTCTGAAATCCTGTTTAACTATTTCCTGACTGGAACGAAAAGAGGCCACTGGGGGACGAGAACATCAGTGGCCATCGATGGGGCACTTACTCCCCTACAACTTCCATCATCACCGCTGGCCCTGATGACCCCTCTGCAGGAGCCTTTTATTATCCCCCATTTTACAGATGTGGAGGCAGAAGCTCTGAGCGGGTACACCACTTGCCCCAGTCATTTCACTAACAGAAGCAAAGTGGAGTTGGCGTTTCTGATGCCAAAGCCTGTGCTCCTAACACTCACAGTGCTATCCTGTCTCAGGCCATGGCCAGAGGGACAGGTCAGGGAGAAAGGACGCGGGTCATGAGGTACCATGGTGGTCAGAGACACAGGGACATAATGCCAGGGGACTGGAGCAAGGAGAGAGTAACTTACTGTCACCTGGCCCACCATAACAGTCTCCTCACTGTTCTCCCTGACTCAATCTTTCTCCAACACAGCTGCCAGATCATGCCACTCTCCTGCTCATGAACCTTCAATGGCTCCCCATCGCCTTTGGGAAAACAAGTTCAAGGCTTTACAACCTGCTTTTGAGGCAGTCCTTCTTTCTTCTTCTTCTTCTTTTTTTTTTTTTTTTTAAGTAGAGATGGGGTTTTGCTATGTTGGCTAGGCTGGTCTCGAACTCCTGGGTTCAAGTGATCCACCCACCTCGGCCTCCCAGAGTGCTGGGATTACAGGCGTGAGCCACCACGCCTGGTCGACCTTCCTGAAACACTAACTTGGCTTCTGGGCCCCATACTCTTCTTGTCTCTGCCCTGCTCACTGGTGCCTCCTCCTCAGTCCTTTTTGGTTCCTCATCTCCCCAACCTCTGGTCTTGTCCATGAGCCTCTCCTCTATCCACACTCGCTCCCTGGGCATCTCCTCGAGCCCCACAGCTTTCAATGCCACCTACATGCCCAGAATCCCAATGTCACATCTCCAGCCCCACCTCTCCTGCTCCTAACTCCAGGCACAGGTGTCCAACTGCCTGCTCTTCCCCATGCATATCCCCCTGTCCAGTCATCCTTCCACTCACCCTCCATAGTGTTTCCTGATCTCCAGTGTTTAATTTTTATTTTAACTGAACTCTTCTGTGTGTTTAACATTGAAATATATGGATGTGGGTGGACGATCGACCATTACTGGGCAGTAGAGCAGAATCCAGGACAGCCCTAGAAGGCATCAAAGGCAACCAAGGTGGGTGGATATGGAGGGGAGGCAGCCTTGGCTTTGTGAATAAAGGGAGAACTGGGAGCCCACTGCATATGTCCATGCAGACAACTAACATTTATTTGGTGCCCACTGTGTACCAGGCACTGTTCTAGGCTCTAGGGACATGGCAGTGAAAGCAACAGATAAAAGCCCCAGCCCTCTTGGAGGCTGCATTCTAGTGTGTGTGGGGGGGGATGTGGAGTGGTGGGTAATATGATTCCCAGGTCATGATGAGCACAGCAGGGGAACCCCAGCTTCTCGCAGCCTCTTTGGTCAAAGCCCAGCCTTACACAGCACAGAACAACAGAAAGGAGCTCCCATGAGCAGCAAAGAGTGCCCAGACCCCAGGAGCTCAGCCAACCCCAGCCCCAGGGCCGTTCCCAGACAGGTGAGCAAATGACTTACTCAGTCACCTCCTCCTCTTCCTCCTCCTCCTCCTCTTCCTCTTCCTCCTCCTCATCTTCTTTCTCCTCTTCAATCCGGGACAGCTCTCTGAGTTGGGGTTAGAGGCAGGAGGTGAGCCCACCCGAAGCTGCCCCGCTGAGTCTACCTCCTGCCTCTATTTTCTGTAGGATGTCCCATGACACCTGAGCCCAGACCTGGACTTTCCAACCAAGGCTCAACCTGGGGAGCCCCACCCGAGCAACCCTGAACTCTCTCTGGCAACAAACCCTCTCCTCTGCATGAGGGGACTGTCCCAGCCACTGTCCTGGTGGTGACCCTAGGTCAGCCTCTGATCCTCTCTGGGCCTCAGTTTCCCCATCTTAGCTATGTAAGTTATGGGCTTCAGAACCCGAGACCTCCCACTGTCACCAAGCATCTCTAGTAGGAACAAAGATTGCGACATCCCTGTGGAAGGCGACTTGGCAATCATGACCACAATTCCACATTCCCATGACCAATGACCCAGCAATTCCCCTCTAGAAATCTCCTGCAGACGTATTCACACATGTGCAAAGACATGCATACAAGAGTGCCTGATGCAGAATTGTTCATAATAACAAAATTTTGGAACCAACCTAAATGTCCATCAATAGTGAAGAGGTTTAATAAATTATGGTACAGCCATATGATGGAATACTATGCAGCAGTGAAAAATGAAGATGCCCTCTATATCCTGAATGTGGAAAGACCTCAAGGTATATTGTTGAATAAATACAGGAAGGTGTAGATAGGTACATGTGCTATGCCATCTTCTGTACAAAAAGAAAAAAGGAGGGAGATGCGAGCTTGCATGTACCCAGACTGTCTCTGGAGTGGCACATAAGAACCTGGTAGCCATTCTACCCATGGGAGAAGGATGGCTGTATGAAGGCAGGGGGAAGCAGGCTTGGTTCCTGCTCTGTGCCTTTTCATCTTTGAGATAAGGTACTGCATGCTTGGCACTTTCTCAAACAATAACTAATCTTTTAGGGTCTTCTCAGACTCCCCACCTGGGCATCTTCTCCACAGCTTTGTTCTCTTCTTCATAAGCTGGAACCACCTCTGTACCCTGTGGGCTGGTACTGACATCCTGGTGGGCATCCTCCCAGGGCGGTTCAACCTCCTCTAGGACAAGGTCAGGCTCCACTTGTCCTCCAGGAAGGATGCTGACTGCAGGGAACACAGGAAGAGCCATTTATGGGATGTGCGGGAGAGTGGGCTTGGGCCTCTGAGTCCCAGGGAGCCTGCAGGGAGCCCTGGCTGTCGCCAGCAGTGCCTCAGTGCTTAGTCATGCAGTGGGGAAATGGCACTTTCCATTTTCAGCGGGACCAGATCGGTGTTCCGGTGATAGGTTGAAGCCTGTGCTCATTCACTCTGTCTCCATTATTTTCCCCCCTTCTCCTCTTGAGACAGAGCTTTGATTATGGTTGATCCTGTTTGTTTCTCACGGGGGATTCCTTCTTAAAGGTTTGTGCAGAGGCAGAAACAATGCTTCCAATCACAGCATCACAGGGATGCCAAAAGGCCCAGGTTCAGGGTCCACCTGGCCACATCCAGGTGCAGGTGGACTGGATTGTCCTGGGGGATGCAGAGAGAGCTTGCCCGCTTCCTGCTCTGTAGATGCCACCCCCGGGTGACAGCACGCCCATACGTTCGGCATTTGCTTCTGAGAGTCCTTCCCTCCCTCCTGGGTCTAGAGGCTCCGCCCTCCAGGGAAACTCATCTTTCTCATGGGGGTGGTCCCAATTTCAGATGGGAGTCTAATTTTCAACACTTCTTCAAGTATCCTGGTCCTTGACAACAAAAACACCCTGGGCCTATAAGCCTGGCAGATGCTCAAAGGGAGTGCAGAGCAGTCTCATCAGGAACCTAAGCCTACCCCCAGGCAGGTGTCAGGGACAAAGGACAATGCCTGAATACTAGGTGTCCCCCGAAAGCTCCAGGGATCTTGGTGGACCTCAGCCAAACATGAATTAGTAATAGTGACTTTTTTGTTGTTGAGACAGGGTCTTGCTCTATTGCTCAGGCTGGAGCGCATTAGTGCAATTATGGCTCACCTCAGCCTCGACCTCCTGGGCTTAAGCAATCCTCCCACCTCACTCAGCCTTCTGAGTAACTGGGACTACAGGCATGCACCACCATACCTGGGTAGTAGTAACAATGACTTTAAATGGAAGCCGGCCTCAAGTCTTATCCTGAGACTTTGGCTGTTATTGTTCATGATGTTGCATAACAACAATAATAGTAACAGCAGCTGCATTTTTGAGCACTTACTATGTTCCAGGCCCTGTGCTGAATGGCTTACGTGGAATAACTCGATTAGTCCTCACATCAACATTTTGGGGTTATAATTTGCATCCCCATTTTATTTTCCCTCTTTTATGTTTTTCTCCCCATTTTACAGATGAGCAAACTGAGACACAGATAAATACCTTCTTTTATGGGGTGCTTCCATTGCCAGGCACAGAGCTCCCCACTTCTAGGTACAGATATTATCCCTGTTTCACAGATGAGGTGCTGCCTGCCCTCTAGGGAAGCCCCAAGAGCATCCTGAACTAGCTGTTTCCATGGTTGCTCCCGGCTCCTCTGGCCCTGCAAACGCCCCTGGGGTTTGGCCAGGGAGGCTCCTCCAAGTGTGACCCTGAATCCGGTGGTGGGACGCTTTGTCTGTGTCAGTCTATGCTGCTGTCCAGCAATAGTGCCATGTCTCCACTCTAAGCAGCCCCTTGGGATGCCAGTTCCTGCCTGGGCATAGCAGGGGACATCCAGGGAACAGAACATCTTGCCTGACAGCACGTGAGCTTTCACAGCAGCCCCAAAGGGCAGGAACAGTACTTTCCCCCTTTTAAAGAGAGCCAGCTCAGAGAGGCTGAGTGTCTTGTCCCAGGCCACACAGGAAGGTGGAGGCAGAGCCAGGTCCCCTGACTCCCGTTTTCCCAGTGCACTATCCCAGGTGATAAATGTGCCCCACGAGCGCCTCACTGGCATCAGTGGCCACTCCTTATGGGGTGCCGTCCTTAAGAATTGATGCTGTCCTTGCTTCCACACTTCCTTTCCTTTCCTTTCCATTAACATTTTCTTTTTAGGTCCTATTTAGTGCGTGGGTGTTTTACAAGCATTTCCTTTTTTTTTTTTTTTTTTTTTTTTTTTGAGACAGAGTCTCACTGTGACACCCAGGCTTGAGTGCAATGGTATGATCTTGGCTCACTGCAACCTCCGCCTCCCATTCAAGCAATTCTCGTGCCTCAGCTTCCCGAGTAGCTGGGATTACAGGCATGCACCACCACACCGGGTTAATGTTTGTATTTTTAGTAGAGATGGGGTTTCACCGTATTGGCCAGGCTGGTCTCGAACTCCTGACCTCAGGCAATCCACCCACCTTGACCTCCCAAAGTGCTGGGATGACAGGCATGAGCCACCATGCCCGGCCTCATTTCCTCTTTCCATCTCCGCAGCAGGCCTGCAAGATGTGTCCTATACTGTTCCCATTTTACAGCTAAAGATTCTGCAGCACTGAGAGGAGGACGGTGCCCAAGATCACCAACCTGGAAGGGGAGGGATTGGGTATGCTGCCACACAGCCCCCAGGGCAGGCCCCCAGGAGGCGTGGTGCAGGAGCCCCTGGCCCACCCCTGGAGCTCCAACTGCCCCTCTCTACAGGCAGCTGATTCATAGCTCGCCCAGCTTCTCCGTGGCCCTACCCAGGTGCTCAGGAGCTATGAGTGCCCTAGTTCCCATAGAAACTGCCACTCCACCCTGGCACACCACCTCCTGGTCAGTGGCCTCTCTGCCCTCAGGGCCATCAAATGAGGTTCTGACCCTGGCCAGTGAAAGTCAACAGCCTCGGTCGGACACAGTAGCTCACACCTGTAATCCCGGCACTTTGGGAGGCCGAGGTCGGCAGATCATGAGGTCAAGAGATCGAGACCATCCTGGCCAACATGGTGAAACCCATTCTCTACTAAAAATACAAAAATTAGCTGGGCGTGGTGGTGCACACTTGTAGTCCTAGCTACTAGGGAGGCTGAGGCAGGAGAATTGCTTGAACCCGGGAGGTAGAGGTTGCAGTGAGCCGAGATCACACCACTGCACTCCAGCCTGGTGACAGAGCAAGGCTCAATCTTAAAAAAAAAAAAAAAAAAAGAAAGTCAACAGCCTCATGTAGGAAGGAGCCCCTGCTTCCAGGATCAGCAGGCAGGAGCCAGGGCACATGAATTCTAGGCTAAGGTCCCCACCTGGACCCCTGGGTCTCTGTCAAAGCCTGAGCCCTAACTCCAAACCTCCATCCTTTCTGGCAGGCCTGGGTCATGATACCTCCTTCCTCTGCCTCTCCCTGGCTCAGGCTCACATCTCCTCCTACCTGGCCCCAAAGCACTAACCTCTCACTGGATGTTTCTCAAAGTATGGTCCCAGCCTCTACCCCGTCATCAGAATCATCTGAGAAAGCAGGTGCTTCTCAATAAAGCAGATTCTTCCATAACCATTGCTTGGTCATCAAAGAAAAAAGAAAGAAAGAAAGAAAAAAAAAACAACACAGAACCAAATTCCCAGCTCCCGGTACTCTTGAATCAGAAAGTCTGGGGTAGGACATTTTTCATAGTTGGCCCCAGGTGCTTTGGAAGTGTCCCTGCTTTGATTGCTTTCCCTGTCTCCAATGCTTGCTCAGCCTCAGAGTAATCTTTCTGAAGTCACTCCCCTGCTCAATCACCTTCAATGGCTCCCCATTGCCTACAGCTTAGTTTCCTAAAGTCAGGCCCCAACTTCTCTAGTTTTATCTTCTGCATTAAGGATGCTGGGCTCCAGATTAGCTGAAGTCCCACCACTCTCCTGTATGCCACACTTTATTCCCTCTACTGGGATTGCCCCACCTCATCACCAGTTTGAGACCTCAGGGATCTCAAATCCAAAGGCCTGCCCAGCCAGGGTGATGATGTAAACAAATGAAGAGGCAGGTGCCACCTGCCTTCAGGTGCCAGCAGCTGCCCAGACTGTCCTCACAAGCACAGTGTGGGCCCATGACAGCCAAGTCCACCCAGTTTTCAAGAGAAGCCAGATTTTTCCATGTAAAGCTACCTGATTTTTAAATGTTGGCAATCAATTCTAATTTTTAAAATCACTCCATGGCCCAAACAAAGACACATGTGGGCCAGCTGGGAGCCAGGACCCCCAGCTCAGGACCCCTGGCTAATTCCTCTCCTCCTGCAACCCAACACCGCAAGCCCAGGGCTATTCAGTCCACCCACTTTTAAAACCTAAACCCTTCTTTTAGCTTTATCCTAAGCAATAATATCAATGCAATCACAGGTTTGATGTGCTCATTTACACTCTTTTAATGTTAATGAAAACATTTGTTGCTGCTCATTGGTGTCCCCAAGCCTTGGAAGGAGAGAGTGTGGCCAGGCCTAGGGAGAACCTCTTCTGGGAAAAACTGTATCCTGTCGAGGTGCTGACGGTGCCAGGTACCACACTGGGGGCTGTGCACGCGTCCTCTCAAAGAGATGCTCAATACTGAGTCCTCCATCCATGGGGCTTTTTAATTTATTAATTTAAAAAAGGTTTTTTAGAGACAGGGTCTCACTGTGTTGCCCACGGTGGTCTCGAACTTCGGGGCTCAAGCAATCCTCCTGCCTCAGCCTCCCAAAGTGCTGGGATTACAGGCGTGAGCCACCACGCCCGGCTATGGGCCTTTTCCACAGCCCTCTGGGGGTAAGTCCTGCTGTCTAGCCTAAATCTTGCAGGCTGCCCATGGCTGGCCTTCCCCTTGTTCTGGTCTGGGAGGCTCTGGGGCTGGTGCAGGTGACTCTGGCTCCCCTTGTCCTGCCTGGGAGTGTGTGGAGAGGGAGGGGTTCGCTGTTCAAATAGGGTGGGGTGTCAGTGGCCACCTCCCCCGGGAAGGTCTTCTCTTCAGGGCATCCTTCTTTCCTTCCATCCATGTGTCCATCTGAGCTCTCCCAGATTCCCTTCTCCCTTATTTCAGAGACCTCCAGCTCCCATCACCCCTGAAACAAAGGAGAAGACAGGGTGGGTGGCTGGGTGGACAGGCGGAGGGAATGAGTGAGTGAGTGAGTGAGTGGATGAGTGAATGAATGGGGAAGGTAAGGGACACATATCCCCCAGCCTCTCAGAGTCTCCCCATGACATGGGACGTGAGTGGAATGGTGTCTCCCAAAAAGATAATTGCAAGTCCTAACCCCATTACTTGTGAATGTGACCTTATTTGGAAATAGCTTCTTTGCAGGTGTGATTAAGTTAAGGATCTCAAAGTGAGATCATCCCGGATTGAGGGTGGGCCCTAAATCCAGTGACTGATGTCCTTTTTAAAGAACGGAGAGGGAGGCTTGACACACACAGACACAGAGGTAAAGGCTGTGTAGAGACGGAGGCGGGCACTGGAGGACAGCCAGAAGCCAAGGTTTGCCAAGGACCGCAAGTGGCCACCAGGAGCAAGGAGAGCAGCATGGGCATGTCTCGCTCAGAGCCCCAGGAGGAGCCAACCCTGCTAAAGCCTTGACCCTGGACTTCTGGCTCCTGAACTGTGGGAGAATCAGTGTCTGTTGTTCTAAGCCGCCCAGTGTGCGCACATCTGTTACGGCAGTCCTAGAAAATGAAACCAAGCCAGCTCCTCTCCCTGTCCCCATGAGCCTGCCCCCATGGCCACCCAGCGTCCACCCATAACCCATATGCTCCAGGCATTGCAGGGAGGCCCTGGCCACAGCTGGCGGGGAATCCTGCCTCCTTCCAGAGGGTTCTGATGCTCCATCCTCAGATGCAGACCCTCTGAAGGCTCTCTGCCCCAAGGAAACGTTTTTAGTTCCTTTAAGCTGTGGCTGCCAGGCCAGGTGGACTCGATTTGCTCTGTGACCCTGGGCAGGTGCTTTTGGTTCTCTGAGCTCTGCCCACTGCCTGCCCCAACAGCCATGAGGGTCTCTGCTCTGCTGCCCCAGGTTGGCCACGAGCTTCCATGAGAGACTGCTTATGCCCTGCTCTGAGACAGGCCAGCTCTCCTCCTCCTCATGTCATCGCCATGATTACCATCAACCCTAACGCCCCCCACGCCTCTCCATCAGACCTGAGCTCCACAGTCCACTGGGCTGTGTGTGCTCCAGGCCATGGCGGCCACCCCCGGCTTCAGGGCACTCATGGAGACCACCATCAGACTAGCGGGGCTGGGGCTGGACACAGCCTTGCAGACACAGGGCAGAGCTCAGAGCCCTGGGACAGCCTGAGGCCTGTGGTTGAAGGGCTTGTGTTCAGGATGGAACAGGGGATGCCACCACCCACAGCCCCTGAACTCTGCTCACAACTAGAACCCATCACAGGCCTGGCACATAGTAGGCTGTCCTTAACTATGTATTGAATGAATGAATGAATGAATGCCTGTCCACCGCATGCCTCTCTAGAGGCCATGAAGTGAAGAAAGAACAGATCCTGCCTCCAGCCCCTTCCTGGTCTCAGTCCTCTGTCCCCGATTCCTGGCTCAGGGCTGGGATAAAGGGCATCATATGCCTCCCCAACCCAGCTGCAGGTGACAGGGACCCCCTCCAGCTCAAGGGAGCTGGAGGCTGTGGAGCCTGGTTCTCCCAGTGAGACCCCACCCCTCTCCCTTCAGCTTGGCCAAACCCATTTGCCAGGGGATGGGGGAAGCTCTCTGGGCATTACCAGCAGGAAGGAGAGCTCATCTGACTTAGCCCTGGGACTGTTTTCCCTGGATAGAAGCTGGACACTGGGCTCCGGGGGCCTCCAACCACCATCTGGCTCTGGGCCAGGCTCTGGCTACCTGGCTACCTGAACAGAGGTAGGGCCTGCAGAGCATGGGGCTCTCTCAGCTCCAGCCCAGGAGACCCTAACTGCCCCCCTGTGTGAGTCCAGGTCTGGCCAGGGACAGCCCCCCTGCCCACATACAGTCAGACCCAAGGACACCAAGCAACCCTTCCTAATATGTACATGGGGACTCAGTAATGTGTCACTTACTGGTCTGCACATCACATATCCCAGGGGAGTCAGGCTCCTGCATGGAGAGAGAAAAAAGGGAAAATCCTGCCACGGCCTCTTCACCAGCCTCCCCGTTTCAGCCACACCTTCTAGCACGTGACCTTGACCCACCTCTCCGGGCCTTAGTTGTCCCATGGGATGGAGAAGAGAGTCCCTGCTGTGCCCAGGGCCAATGAAGGATTTGAGGTGGGGGGAGGGGGCTTTGAGAGCTCGAGCCTTGGCTCAAGTGAAGCAAGGTGGGGGTGACCCCAGACAGCCACAGCAGCGGCACCTGCTCAGAGGAGCCAGGCCGAGCTCTTGAGTGACACAAAGGCCCAGGACCTGGCCAGGCCTTCCTCTCTCTGGGGCCTAGACAGCTTTGTTTACGGAACTCTTTACCTCCATTCTCACAGCCCTGGGTATGAGAATGCAGGTAAAGAGTTCTGTAAACAACTGACCATTGGTCAGCTGGGACAACTGCAGTTCTGAGAGGGCCAGAGCTGAGGCCACACAGCCAGGAGAGAGATTAGGCCTCCCACCTCCCAGTTCCAGGTGCTTCTATAAAGACGTCCAATTGCACCCAAGAAAAAAGGGCCAGGTTCCCGGTTCTTGAGGAAGGAAAAGAAGGGGTGACAGAGCTCATGAGCGCTCCCCCTGGCCACTCATGTTGGAGCCCTAGGCTATCAGGAATGCACATAGGGCTGCCGGCTCCTGTGAGCCTTACTTCTTCCCAGAATCTAGGTATCTCTCATTTCTGGACCTTTGCACATGCTTGGAGGCCACCTCCACTGGGAAGCCCTTCTTGATGCTCCCAGGAGGCTCCACTTCTGTGCCCCATATCCTCTCTGCTCCCCCACGGAAGCACCTCCCCCGCTGACTGTGAACTCCTGGCAGGTGGGGCTGGGCCAGCATGTCTCAGGGAGTGGGTGGAATGAACGTGGGCCATGCAGACAGGAAGGCTGGGGGAGCTGGGCTTCTGCCACAGGGCCAACCATCCTCCTCCTTACCCAAGTTCCCAAGACCCCTCCCACCACCACCAGGGCCACCACTCCATGAGCCCAGCACTGACCTGTTCCCCTATTTTCCCATGTAGCACTGGCTGCGGCAAGGCCATCTCCAGCCTGTGCAGGACCCATGCCACCAGCCTGCAGGTGGGAGAGAGTGTGCGGTGTCCAGGTGGGAAGGGTCATGGGTAAACTGAGGCTGGAGTCAGCTCGTTCCCAAGGCAGAAAACAAGCCTGCCAAAAGGCAGAGCCTGCCAGGAGCCAGAGCCCAGGTCTCCAGCCCTGAAGACCATTCTCCCCCCTCTCCACCCTCCCTCGGTGCTCTGGCTATTGTTCAGGCCCTAGCAGGTAGCTCGGCCTCCCCCCACCCTCCCACCCGTTCTCGGAAGGGAGTGCACTTTGGGCATCTCACACATGGAATGTGGCAATACCTGTCCCGATTTCCTTCCCTCCTTCCCTTCTTTTTTCTCCCATCTTTCTTTCTTGACTTGGTGGCCCAGGCTGATGTGATCATATCTCACTCCTGTCTCAGCCCCCTGAGTAGTTGGGACTACAGGCACATGCCATCATGCCCAGCTTTTTTTTTTTTTTTTTTTTAATTTTTTGTAGAGATGGAGTCTTTCTATATTGCCCAGGCTGGTCTCGAACTCCTGCTGCCATGGCTTCCCAAAGTACCGGGATTACAAGCATGAGCCACTGCACCCAGCCTGTATCCCATTTTAAATATATGTATCCTTTGGCCCAGGAACTCCATTTCCACTTATTTATCCTCCAGATTTACTTGTGCGTGAACCCAATGATGCATGCACGGGTTATTGACTGTGGCAAAAGAGTGAAAACAAATGTAAATGTCCACTGAGTGGTTAAATAAAAACTGGTGCATCCATTTAATGCAGCTGTTCAAGAAAGAATGCAGTAAGACCTGTGTGAATAAAAGCACTTCTAAGACACATTTTTCAGGTTAAGAAAAAAAAAAAAGAGGAAGCAGGCCAGGCCGGGTGGCTCATGCCTATAATCCTGGCACTTTGAGAGGCCAAGGCGGTCAGATTGCTTGAGGTCAGGAGTTTGAGACTAGCGTGGCCAACATGGCGAAACCCCGTCTCTACTAAAAATACAAAAGTTAGCCGGGCACCTGTAATCCCAGCTACTCAGGAGGCTGAGGCAGGAGAATCACTTGAACCCAGGAGGCAGAGGTTGCAGTGAGCAGAGATTGCACCACTGCATTCCAGCCTAGGAGACAGAGCGAGACTCGGTCTCAAAAAAACAAACAAACAAACAAACAAAAAAGCAAAGTGCAGACGAGTATGTATAGTTTGCTCCTGTCAGGTGTGTGTTGAAGAAAAGAAAAGTACCCAAAGCTTGAAAGCTTGGACGTGCATAGAAAATGTGGGAAAGGGCACGAAGCTGATGTGGCTGCCTTGGGAAGGAGGCTGCACACATCCAGTTGAATTTTCTTCCAGGTTTCCAGGAGGTTGGGTGTTAGGCGGGGACAAGGTGCTCATCCTGCTCCCTGGTGGGAGGCGCTGCATTGAGGGTGGCTCACCTGGCAGGGTCCCTGGTTGGTGGCAGGGAGGAGGTCTGGGCCTGGGAGCCGGGCTGGGGCTCTGGAGCTGGTGCCTCCTTGGGTTCCTCCTTGGGCTGCAGGGGGATGGGTGTGGGCAGGGAGGGGGTCTCCCGGGCCTGCAGCTTGGGCCCCATTTCCTGGGGGCGTCCTGGAGGCGCTAAGCAGCGGGGAAAGCAGGAGCTAGAGACGCCATCCCTTGAGGGCTTCCTCCAACCCCTCAAGGGCACGGGGCCAGATTCGAGTCGCTAACAGGACTGAATGGGGAGCCCTTTGGGACCACCTCACCCATCCCAATCCTCAAACAGACCAGACAGACAAGGGAACTGAGACCCAGGGAGGGGAAGAGACTTACCCAAGACCCACAAGTCTGTTCCAGGACACTGGCTTCCCAGCCTGGACTGGGGAGGGGATTCTGGTGTCCCCGCCAACAGCCTGCTCCAGGCAAGCCCTGAACCCCGTCCTAGTCTGGGTGGGGGCTAAGGGCCTCTGGGGGATCCTCCAGGGCCCAGTTGATCCCTGAGCCCAGCCCGTGACCATCCCAGGCAGCCCCCTCCCGAGCTCCCCTCCCTGTACCTGGGTCTGAGGCAGCACCTGTAGCAACTGCAGGCTCATCTCTCCAGACCTGGGTGACAAACAGGGCGCAAGGTCATGGGCCATAGCAAGCTCTGTGCGCTTCCCCAACCGCCACTACCAGCTGTGTCCTGGCCCAAGGCGGGTGAGCCGGGGATGGGGGTGGGGGGTGTCTCTCCTTCTGAATCCCGGCCCCCTCTCACAGTCACTCCTCCCCATAGAGGACTCTCCAAAGTGGGGCATCGCCCCCTCATGAGTTCTGGGGTGGGTGGGGACAGCCTGCTGGAGGAGGCAGTCCCTCCTGGGGCCCCAGAAGCCCCCCCATATACTCAACTCCCTGCCTCTCCCTTCCTTGGCTCACCTCAGAGGATTTGGGGGGCTGAGGAAGCACTCTTTCCAGATTCTGCTCCAGCCACAGAAGCAGCCGCAGCCCAGGCCTGCAGAGGGGCCAGTGATCAGCAGAGTGCCCTGAGGGAACCGGCCAGCGCACTAACAGCCCACCTCGGGGCCAGGCCTCAACCAGCCATTCCGTGCCCTCCAATCCTGTTCTGCACAGTGGGGGCCTTGTCCTGGAAACTCTCAAAGGGCCCCAAGCGGGTGGGGAAATCCTGTCAGCCTCCATTTCTGAGCCAGGGCTGGACCAGGCTCTGGAACCACAGCCATGGCCTCCTGGGGCAGCAGGGGAGAGGCAAGAGCCGCTTGAGGACCTGAATGCAGCCCTGGGGGCTCCCTGTGCTGGAACAGACAGGGCTGGCTGGCTGTACAGGAGTGTGACCTGTGCCATCACACAAAGCCTTAGACTTAGAAGGACCTGGTTTTGGTTTCATACTCTGCTGTCACAGTCTGAAAACATTTTAAACAAACTTTTAAGGGGCCTGCATTTGCATTTTGCCCTGGGCCCCACAAATTATGTGGCTGGTCCTAAGATCAAGCATTGGATCCCAAATCCATCTGGCCTCTGGGAAGCTCCACTCTCTTCAGAGAAGCACCATGTTCCCAGGACAACCGGTTCCCCCAAGTATGGCCCAAAAGAAGGCTGGTGAGTCCTCTAGGTGCCCTCATCCTAAATTGCTTTAGTGGTCCCAGGAATCAGCTGCATATGTCTCAGAAGGAAGTAGAGGACCAAAAGACACAGAGAGAGAGCTGCAGCAAGGAATGAATGAATGAATGAATGAATGAATGAATGAATGAGTGAATGAAGTGTGTGATTATATATACGTGTGTTCATTCATGCATTCATTTGTCCCATGTGTGCTGAGTCCTCACTCTGTGGCAGGTGCTGTGCTGGGCACCAAGGGTTCAGTAGTGACCAGGACAAAAGCCCCTGCCCTCAAGGAGCCAGCAGTCTAATGAATGAATGAGTGAAGGAACGAATGAATGGGGTGAATGGAAATGAATGCATGTCTCTGGATTTCCAGCAGAAACTACAAACTGGGAGCTTCAAGCTTACTTTGGAAGTCTACAGTGTCCTGAAAACTTCTTGACTAAAAATTGAGGGTTTTACATAAAAAGCTAGATTTCTAGCTTCTCTGGAAAACCTGGAGGATCTGGCCACACAGGGCCTAAACGCCAGCAAGGAAGAGGCAGTTGAAACCAAGCAGGGCCCCTTCTCGGAGCTCCCTGGCTCCCCTCTTCGCCACAGTCCCCCTGCCAGTCTGCCACCCTTACTGATGGGGCAGCCACCCCTCCCTGAGTCAGCTCTGAGAACTCAGACACTGAGGCCAGCCCAGGCACCCTGATGTCCCCCACAGTGATCCAAGCCCTGCTTCCAGGCTCCACACGGAGCCTACCTACATGAAGCCCACCTGTGAGGAGCTCATCCCTGCCCCTCCCTATTCTCAGAGGGTGGCCCCACCCAGGGACCTCTCAGTCATCCCTGGGAACACCCAGGGACATCCCACCACAAACCATGAGCAGCACACGGTCCACTGTCCCCATTCTATGGCTGGAAACAGGCCCAGAAGAGACGGGAGGCATGTCCAAGGTCACACCCTGAGGTGGTAACAGACCCTGCTCCTGAAACCAAGGACCTGTTCCTCCCACCCACACATACAGACAACAGTGACACTCAGGGATAGGGACTCACCTAGTGTCTTGGGCCTCAAGGGCCTCATTGGGTTCATCTGTGCACCCTGCAGGGTCAGAAAATACAGAAAGGCAGTCAGCAGCGGGAGACCTGCCCCAGCCCCCTGGGCAGCCTGGAGTGGGCACCGAGAGCTCAGCTCAACCCCAGGTTCAAAGCAGGGTCAGTCAGGTGAGAAGATCCAGCCTGGGCAGAGGCTCCCAAGGGGCAGGGCCCATCCCAGCAGCCCCTCAGCCCCTCAGCCCTGCTGCTGAAAAGCCATCCTGCCCCTTGTTCTTACCTGTGTCCCCAGTGCTGCCATGCCCCAGGATCTGCCAGGGACAGACAGACAGACATGGGCAGGGAGCCCAAGGGCAGCCTCCCCACAGCCCCTCTCCAACCCGGCCCCTTCAGCCTCCAGCCCCAGCAGTACCTGAGCCGGGTCCTCCGTGATGCTGTGAACAGGCTGCGGGATCACCTTCTCTACGCCCTTCATGAGCCAGGTCAGTACCCTGCGGCTGGGACTGCGATGGACAGAGACACCAGCCCGCCCTCAACTTCCCCTAGCTCAATGAGGCCCTCGAGGCCCAAGACACTAGGTGAGTCTCTGTCCCTGAGTGTCACTGTCATCTGTATGTGTGTGGTGTGGTTATTGGAAAGTACCTACATGTACCACTGGCCCAAGGCCAGTCCAGTGTCCAAAAGAACTTGGCTTGAATCCTAAACCACTGTCTCCCCACTGTGAGACTTCAGACCCATCACCTCCCCAAAAAGCTCCACGTCCTTCTCTGAAAAATAGGGGATGCTGATGCTTCATGAGGCCAGGCAGACCGGGTGCCATTCAGAGCCCACCCTCCATGGGATGCTTAGGACAGAGCAGCTGACTTCCCTCTCCTCCTGCCTCCTGCTGTCCTGCTCTGAGCACACATCGTGCTCCCAAAGGGCCAAGGTTTGCTGCAGGTGTAATGCTGTGGCACAGGCTGAGCAGCCTAAATGTGAAGGTCACAGCCTCCCTGCCTGAGGCCAGCCCAGCCCCAGCCCTGCTCAGGCCCCAAGCACCATGGGCTGAAATGTCTGAGCCAACTGGGAGATTCCATGCAAAAGCCTGGATTTCTGGCTTTTCTGAGAAAAGCAGAAGCTCTGACCCCATTGGGCCTGCATCTCACCCAAGCACTGAGAAACGTCCGGCCCCCTGTACAGGGGCGCTCACTATGCAGCTCTGACCCACTGTTTCTTTTGGTCACATTGCCCTGCCCTCAAGGGGCTAACAGTCTAATGAATGAATGAGTGAATTAACAGTCTAATGAATGAATGAGTGAAGGAATGAATGAATAGGGTGAATGGAGATGAATGCATGACTGGATTTCCAGCAGAAATTACAAACTGGGAGCTTCAGGCTTACTTAGGGAGAGCCCGCCCTCCACCTGAAGCTCACTTCAGCCAATTCCCAGGATGTCCCAGGGCTTTCCCCAGAATGACAGCAGAGCTAAGGGCAGTGCCCATCCCCACCCCCATCCCCAGGGCTCCCTAGCTGGGAGGGTAGTTGGGAGGCGGGCTGGCCCTGAAGAGAGGGGAGGGTGGTGCAGTACCTATTCATTTCAGAAATCTCAGCGCCCTGGGCCCGGAGGGATATGGTGGAAGTAAGGGCAGCCTCCTTGGTCTCTGGAAAAGAATCTCTCATCCTTCAGATCTAGGGCCTCAGACAGGCCCATTTCTACCCTGCTTGGGGAGATCAAGTCAGGGGAGAGGAGAGAGACCCCCAGGGGTCAGAAAGCCAGGCTCCAGCTCAGCTCAACTGAAGTCTCTGGGAGCCCACCCTTAGCTTCTCTGAGTCTCAGTTTCCTCATCTGTGAAATGGGTCCGCCAGCCTCGTGGGCTCTGCGGCTCCGAGGGGAGAATGCGGGCCCCCCTGCCATGCCAGCCTGGGCTTCAGCACTCGCACTCACCCTGAGGGCTTGGGTCTGCCACAGCCACTTCCTCCTCCTTGAATGACTCTTCGGGGGGCTAGAGGGTTCGAACAGGATCATGTAAGTCCTAGGTGAGACCAGCCTGGTTTGGACAGGGGCAGCCTGATTCTCCCTCAAGGGATCCCTGCCCCACAAAAGACCTGAACGACTCTTTCCTCAGGATCATCTCTGTAAATCCTGTTGGCCTTACCTTCCACCTGGGATACTCCCTTCCTCCTAGCCCCAGGGACCCCTCATCTGGGGCTGGGGGCCCTCACAGCCCCCAAGGTCCAAGGTGGCCTCCAAGCCTCCCAGGCCTACAACATCCCCAGGAGGCTGCCCCACTTCAGTGGCCTGAGAGGAGAAAGGACCATTTAGAGATAGTTATGAAGCCTTGGGGCTGGCTGAGGGGAAGAGGGAGGTGAGAGGAGCCCACGCCCCTCATCCTCTGCCAGTGCTCTCCCTCTCCTTCTGGCCCAAACTTTCCATTCCTCCCTAGTAGCTAGGTGGAGTTTGGTCTCTGCCATCTGCCTTTCACCTGCCTCTGCAGCCACACCTCCTGCTACTACGTGCACTTATGTGTATGTACAAACAAATATACATGCACATACATACACAGACACATAAATGTGTGCATACTCACTCTCATGCACATACATACATGAACAGACATACAATGTGAGCATATATACACATACATATGCATGTATACAATGACACACAAATACCAACATGCATATATACACACACATGCACAGACACAAAAATAAGTGCATGTGCACACACGTACAGGCAAAAACATATGTACATATACATGTGTATGTACATATGCATGCATGCCCCAACACATATATGTGCATACAGTCATATGCAAACGTGCATATACACACATGCATTCATACAGATACATACATGCGTATAACTGCCTGTGTACAGACACACAACATGCACATATGCATAGGTACATTGCAGATGTATACAGGTGCAGAAATATGAGTATACACACATATGCTCAGTCACACACATGTGCATATTTGCACATACACAGAAGCATGTCCATATGGACATGCATATACACACAGATTTCTGCACCTAAATATACATGAACATCCATGCACAGACACAAAATGTGTATATATACACATGTGGAGACAGGCAAATATGTGTATATACACATTCACAGATGCACAAACATGCAGATACATAGAAATACATGAGTACACTCACATACTCAGAAATATGTAGACACATACACACACATACACACTAGCATGTCACACAAGCACATGGAACCACAGACATACTAATACATGTGCACATAAACATATGTGCAAACACATATACATGCATTCATGTACATATACATGTTCACATACATTGTCATGTATACCCATTGTGCAAATACATGTGTGCACACACAGACATACCAAGGGCACACTACACACATATATGTACATATACGTGTATATACATGCAACATATACACATGCATACGCACACCCTATACCTGTTTCCTAAACACACCCTGCCCTTCTCTAGTAACAGCCTTTCCTCTGCCAGGAATGCCCAGCCTCTCCATCTCCCTCAGTTAAAATTCTGCTCCACCCTCTGCGTCTAAGAAGCTCTCCCCCATCAGCCTCCAATCTCCAAAGTTAAGATGACTCTCCCTCTTCTGAGCTCCCATAGTTTGGTCTGACACACTTATTTGGCTCCCCAAGAAGGGGAGAGTTGAGGCCAATGTTGAGACTCACCACGTTCCCTCCTCTCCACCTATGTCTCTTGGCAGAATGAACTGGCTGGGCTCTTGTCTGCTGAGTCCCCGGGGCAATGCCTATTCATCTTTATGCTTTCAGCACTGACCACAGGGCCTGGCATCAATTAGAAGCTAAATCAAATGTGTCGAATTGAGCTGCTGAATTAGTTGTCATCCAGCTCCTGAATGGATGGGTTGCAGAGGAAAAGTTCTGGAGAAATACTCCACAGTGTGGTCCATGGATCTGTGCCAGTCTGCAAACTGTTACTGGTCCATGATGATTAAGCAGTTTGCACCAGAATGTTTATCAATGCACTGCTTCCTTCATTGAGAAAGTCTTGGTACAAAATAAATAGCAACTAAACTAATCAGTGTACTTAGCTACAGAGTAGATTTACATTCTGGTACAAACTGTTTAATCATCATGGACTAGTAATAAACAGTTCATGGACTGGCTCCTGTGAGTAGCTCTGTTCTGAACTCTAGAGGTTGGCAAAATACGACCTGTGGGCCAAATCTAGGCTATTGCTTGTTTTTATAAATAAAATTTTATTGGAACCCAGCTATGCTCATTCATTCATGCATTACCTATAACTGTTTTCACACTATAATGGCAGAGTTGAGTAATTAGCAGAGATAGCATCACTCACAAAGCCTAAAATATTTACTATCTATCCTTTTACAGAAAATGTTAGCCTTGGGCAAGCCCTACCCACTGTCTGAACCTGAGTTTTCTCACTCGAACAAGTGTGGGACCCTGTGACCCCCACTTTTCCTTCTGATGCCAACCTTTTCTGCTGTAGAAAGTCCCTGGAGAGCAGATGGCCCAAACTGGGAAGACCCTGAGCAGCGAGGCCGGCCTGCCCCTCCTCCCGCTCTACCTCTCACCATGGACTCGGACTCTGTCTCGGCCTCCTCAGGATTCGGTTCTGGTTCCACCTCCGCCTCCATCTCTGGCTCTGGTTCCACTTCCTCTTCCTCCTGCATCTTGGTCTTCCGAGGGGTCCCTGGGGGCTGAGGCAGCACCCTCTGGACCCAGCCCAACATCCTGATGCCTGTAGGAGACAGAGTCCTTAGCCCTCCCTGGAGCACTCACAGTAGCTCCCGCCACTTATGGGCCACTCTTATGAGTTGTACATTTCCTTTTCCTTCATCAACTTTAAAAACATTTCGACTGGGTGCGGTGGCTCACACCTGTAATCCCAGCAATTTGGGAGGCTGAGATGGGCCGATTGCTTGAATCCAGGAGTTTGAGATCAGCCTGGGCAAGACAGCGAGACCCTCGTCTCTACAAAATATTTTTTAAATTAGCCAGGTGTAGTGGCTCACTCCTGTAGTCCCAGCTACTCAGGAGGCTGAGGTGGGAGGATCGTTTGAGCCTAGGAGGTCGAGGCAGCAGTGGGTCATGATGCACCACTGTACTCCAGCCTGCACAACAGAGTGAGACCCTGTCTCAAAAAATATATAATATATATACACATACATATATATATTTGATATACATATACACATACATATTACATATATACACACAGATATGTGTGTGTGTATATATTTCTGCAATTATATCTCTAGGTATTTACCTTATAGAATTACTCAAGGCCATAAATATATGTGTACAAAGAAGCTGGTTGCAACAATGTTATAGCAAAAGATGAAAAACACCCAAATATTCATCAAGAGGAGACTGGTTATTGGAAAGTACCTACATGTAACTAAATGTTCATCTCTAAGAGGGGCATGTATTAAATAAGTTACACTATACCCAATAATAGAATATTATGGGGGCATTAAAAAGAAAGAAGCAGTCTAATTGAGCTAGCAAGAAGATGTGCCTGCTCTGAAGTCAAGTCATGAGCAGATCAGTTAATGTCTCTGTGCCTCAGTTTGCTTGTCTGTAAAATGGGGATATTAATAGTACCTACCTCATGGGCTAATTGTGAGGATAAAATGAATTGATAAGTGTAACATACTCAGGCCAAGGGCAGTGGCTCACACCTATAATCCCAGCACTTTGGGAGGCTGAGGTGGGTGGATCACTTGTGGTCAGGAGATCCAGAGCAGCCTGGCAACATGGGGAAGCCCCTTGTCTACTAAAAATACAAAAATTAGCTGGGCATGGTTGCAGGCACCTGTAATCCCAGCTACTCAGGAGGCTGAGGCATGAGAATCTCTTGAACCCAGGAGGTAGAGGTTGCAGTGAACCAAGATCGTGCCACTGCACTCCAGCCTGGGTGACAGAGTGAGATCCTGTCTCAAAAATAATAATAATAATAATAAATGTAACATACTCAGAACAGTGACTGGCACATGCCGAGGGCTTAATAAATGTTGACTATGACTATTACATGGTATCAAATGAAAACACTAATTGTGTAATATGCATGTACTACATAATCTCATTATAAGTAAAAATATTCATTATGAGTAATTACATGAGTGGAAAATCTGTCTTAAGATAAACTTAACCTATGTTCATCATTTTTTAATTTTTAAGATAAAATGGGCTGGGTGCAGAGGCTCATGCCTGTGATCCCAGCACTTTGGGAGGCCAAGATGGGAGGATCACTTGAGCTCAGGAGTTCGAGACCACTGTGGGCAACATATCAAGACCCTGTCTCTATTTAAAAAAAAAAAAAAAAAAAGCCTGTTATGGTGGTGTGCACCTGTAGTCCCAGCTACTCAGGAGGCTGAGGCAAGGGGTCGAGGCTTCAGTGATCATGCCACTGCACTTCTGCCTGGGTAACAAAGCAAGATCCTGTCTCAAAAAAAGAAAAAAAAATGGGCCTGTTGTGGTAGCTCACGCCTGTAATCCCAGCACTTTGGGAGGTGAAGGCAGGCAGATCACCAGAGGTCAGGAGTTCGAGATCAGCCTAGCCAACATGGTGAAACCCCATCTCCACTAAAAATACAAAAATTAGCTGGGTGTGGTGGTGTGCACTTGTAATCCCAGCTACTCCGGAGGCTGAGGTGGGAGAATCACTTGAACCCGGGAGGCAGAGGTTGCAGTGAGCCGAGATCGTGCCACTGCACTCCAGCCTGCCTGGGTGACAGAGCAAGACTCCTTCTCAAAAACAAACAGACAAACAAAAAGGCTGGGCATGGTGTGGCTCACACCTGCAATCCCAGCACTTCAGGAGGCTGAGGCAGGCAGATCGCTTGAGCTCAGGAGTTCGAGACCAGCCTGGGCAACATGATGAAACCCTGTCTCTACCAAAAATACAAAAAATTAGCCCAGCGTGGTGGCACGTGCCTGTAGTACCAGTTACTCGGGAGGCTGAGGCACGAGAATCACTGGAGCCCAAAAGGTGGAGATTGCACTCAGCCATTGCACTCCAGCCTGGTCGACAGAGTAAGACCCTGTCTCAAAACTGAAATAAAATGCTTATAGTGCTATATTTTAAAAAAAGAAAGAAAGAAAAAGATAAAATGCCAGGTAAGACTTTTTTCATGATATACTGTGTTATTTCAGTCCTACCTTAAGTACAGGTTGTTTCTGGTTGATTTCTCCTTGGGGAATGGGGAGCCCCAGCCCTTATGACTGAACCCCTGCAGGATGGCCTGGCCAGTGCGCAGCGTGCAGGTCAGTGTGTGCTAACTCCTAGCCCTAGATGTGTTCTTGCCCCACATGAGTGTGCCCCACCCCTCTCCCAGCCATGGGCAACCCGGGCTTTGGCAGAGAGTCTGTATGCCCCTTTCTGCCAGGGACCCTGGCCCCAGCTGAAGAGGGCAGCCCAGGCCCAGGATCCTTGCCCCCAAGCCCAGCTCCCCAGAGCCCACGGCTGTGCTGCCTGTCCTCTACTTACAGCCCTGACCTCTGTTCCCACTCTGGCATCAGCAGCCCAGCCTCTCCCACGAGAGGCTGTGGTGGGAACACAGCTCTAAGTGTCAGATCCCTGGCTCAGCCTCCCAAAAAATGAACTTGGGCCAGACATGACCCCTCTGGTCTTCCATTTCCCTGAAGGTGGGGGCACAGACACAATGTTTTCCCAGGTCGGGACTGCCAGAGCTCACATGTTGGGATAGCAGATTTCACTGACCCCAGCCAGCCCCAGGCAGCCCCGAGAGCCAGGGCTGAGCTAAGTGCATTCTACCCATGATCATACTCATCCTCGCTCTCACCACCACGCCCCGCCCAGCCCCTGCACTCAGTAAAATAAGAATTTTCATTATGTAGCACAGAAAGGTCAACAGAATCGCCTGAAGCAGCACAGCCGGCAGTGGCCAACTTGAGTTTACACTCAGGTCTGCCCGATTCCAGCTGCCCCACATGTATTCCCAGGTAGTCGTGGCATTTGCCGAGTGTTGGCCTCTTCCGCGGGCCAGGCCTGTAGACCCTTCCCAGCAGGCAGCAATTCTCGCTTGCATTTCTAAACCTTCTGGAAATGACTAAGGAAGCCTCCCCGATCCCCCATTTTTCTTTTTCCTCCTAAATGAGAATTTTTGCAGGTCCCTCCCATCTTTCACCCGTGTCCCTGCTGACTGCACTTTGATGAGGGAGGCTCAGGTGGGAAGGGGGACCCACGAGTGGCAGCTCGGGGAGCCATGGTGTTGCACCACCAGCATTTCCAGAGTCTTCTGGAGAGCTAGTGAAAATATAGATTCCTAGGTCCCCCAAGTCCTCCTGGGGGACCTAGGAATTTGCATTGTACAAGCTGTCCTGAAAATTCTGATGCCCGCTAAAGTCCAAGCTCCACCAGATAGAGGGAAGCCACAGGTTTCCCACCGTGCCAGTTTGGTCCTACCTAAATGCCTTTCTAGAGGGAGAACATGGGGATCCCCTCGGGGTCCCACCGAGCCTCCACCTCACCCTGAGTTACCTGCTTAGATGCCAACCGCCAGCCAGGAATTGCCTTCTTGCTGCCACTCGTAGCTGGCCCCTCAGACACAAGGAAGATTAATTGGCAGTAGCTGGGCCGTGTGCAAAGGATTAGCAGGTGCTGAATGGGGGAGGGGGAGAAAAGAGGCTGTTGATGCCCAGGAAACCAGCAGCACCTCCCAACTCCCAGGGTCCAGCAAGGATGTGGGCCCCAGGGAAGGGCTCCTGCATGGCCCAGGTTTGGAGCACCATGGGTTGCCAGGGGACCTGCCCGGCTTACCAGGGGCCTGGCTTCCCATACACCTTGGCCAAGACACGGAGTGGCTGATGGGAGAATAACAGCTTGGAGTTCCCATGTGATGCCTGGAGACTCCTCATGGTAGCAGGGGCTTGTCAGCTCCCACTCAGCGGTGGCAAGAGGTGTACCCCAACTCTCCAGCCCCCAGGCCAGGACGCAGGCAGGTTCTTTCTGGCTTAGAGTCTTCTCTGGGCAGGGTCTCAGCAGCCCTGCCTTGGGCTCTGCCAGAAAGGCTGTGTCCCAGGCCTGGGCCTTGAGGATGGATCCAAGACCCGGCAGATGACTGAGGCATCTGACCTGCCCTGTGAACTGAGGCTGGACACTTGAAGGGATACAGAGATCTAGGAGGAGAGGGTGCAAGGGACAGGGCCCAAGGAAGAGGGGCTCAGTGTGGTGGCCCTGAGGGATATTTGGCAAAGGGCAGGACTTGACTTAATTATCCGCACCATTTCTAGAGTTCTTCCTTTCCTTTCCTTTCCTTTTTTTTTTTTTTTTTTTAAGCCACAGTCTCTCTCTGTCACTCAGGCTAAGTGAAGTGGTGCAATCACAGCTCATTGCAGCCTCAACCTCTCAAACTCCTGGATGCAAGCAATCCTCCTGCCTCAGCCTCTCATAGTATTGGGATTACAGATGTAAGCCCCTGCACCTGGCCTAGAGCTCTTCCTTTGTGCCTGGCAGTGTGCCAGCCTTGGCACACTGAGCAAGACAGACATAGGCCCTGTCCTCATGGAGCTTACATTCCAATGGAGGAGATTACTGACAAATAAAGAATATTGCAAATTATGCTAAGTGCCATAAAAGAAACAAACAGGGCAGAAGCATGTTGTGGAGGGCAGTAGGGGCAGGTAGGCAGGCCCCTATGACGAGGTGGATGTATATTTGAACTGAGACATGAAAAGTAAGAAAGACTCAGCTGTGAAAAAAGCTGGGTGAGTGGTGCTCCAGGCCAAGGACACTGCAACGAGAAAGGTTCTGAGGCTGGAATGAGCCTTGAGGAGCAGAATGGGAACCGGGGAGCCTGGAGCTTAACGGGTGCAGGGGAGAGTGGTGGGAGATGAGGTTGACAGAGGGCAGGGGCAGATGTTGTGAGACTGTAAGCCACAGGAAGGAGTGTAGTTTTAGATGATGGTTTTGAACAGGGGCTGGGCATGATCTGTGTGGCTCTGTGTAGCAGGCAAGCATGGAAACAGGAAACTGGTCAGGAGGCTGCGGAGGGACAAGCTGATTGGTGACTGGATGACCCCTGGCTTCCCCTCCAGTGTTGGGCTTCAAGACCTCTGATAATGCAACCTCTACATGGCAAGTGATTCACAAGAAAGTTCTTTCTGCCAGCAAGGCCAGACCCCAACGGTAAAGCTCAATGTACTCCCTGACCCTTCCCTACAAATATGCCAGGCTGCAGGGGTCAGAGCTCCTCCCCAAGGAACAGCAGCAAGCCCTTCTGCTCTGCTTGGGCCTGAGACTAACACAGGTGACATTCGCCCTTGCCTGCAGCCTGACGGGAGGGATGATGGGGCTTGGACTATGCTGGTGGGAGTACAGATAGAAGGGAAAGGGGAGGAAAAAGGCGGGCATTGAGGGGCTCACCCTGGGAAACTGGGTAGCTGGTTTAGTGGGTGAACCAGTAAACCGCCCCAGGCTGGTTTACACATGTACTGAAAAGAAGAAGCCTGAGGCTGGAAGTTTGGAGGAAGAATTTTGGAGGGAAAATCATGAGCACTACTTTGTTAAGATGTCTGAGAGAGGCTGGGTGCAGTGGCTCACGCCTGTAATCCTAGCACTTTGGGAGGCCAAAGCAGGTGGATCACCTGAGGTCAGGAGTTCAAGACCAGCCTGGCCAACATGGCAAAACTCCGTCTCTACTAAAAATACAAAAATTAGTCGGGTGTGGTGGCAGGTGCCTATAATCCCAGCTGCTCTGGAGGCTGAGGCAGGAGAATTGCCTGAACCCGGTGGGTGGATGTTGCAGTGAGCCAAGATCACACCACTGCACTCCAGCCTAAGCAAAAAAAAAAAAAAGTCTGAGAGACATCCAGGTTGAAATGTGTGTGTGTGTGTGTGTGTGTGTGTGTGTGTGTGTGAGACTTAGGGAGAGGTCTACAGGAGATAGAAATTTTGGAGGCCTCAGCTTGCAGATGATGCTTAAAGCCACAGGACTGACTGATATCACCTCGGAAACCCAAGGAAACAAAGATGACCAGAGGTGGCACCTGGAACACGGGCTCACTCAGAGGATGCAAAAAGAGCAGGAGCTGGTAAAGGAGCCTGAAGGAGCTGCCAGGGATGGGGATGGAGAAGCAGAAGCATGGGGTGAGGTGAAAGCCAAGAGTAGTGGCTGTGTTGGGGTGAGGGAATGATCCAAGGGGCCACTGTCTGAGCTGAGACTTGAAATGCGTCCTGAGATTGGGCAACTTAGAGGCAGTTGGAGCCCCTGCAGAGTGGGAAGGAGGGAAAATTAGATGAGCCTGAGGGAACAGTAGTGGGCTCTAGGGTGGGGAAAATGAGCAAAACACAGCCACACACAGTGGCTAAAGTTTGGATGAAACTCATGTGCATATATATGGAGAGAAAGAAGCCAGATTCAAAAGAAGACCCCAGTGATCCATGCATACAAAATTCCCAAAAGGCAAAATTAGTCTGTCCTGTCTATGGCTACAAACACAAGTACATTTGCCACCTCTAGTTTTCTATAAAGCCTAGAGTTGTTAAATAAAGTTTTCCATAGTTGCCCATAAATAAAAGCACAGGTTGTACTACAAGATGGGAGAGTGGTTCCTTCTTGCTGGGTTGGGGGTTGTAATTGGGAAGGTGTATGTGGAAGCTTCTAGGGACTGGCAGGGCCAATGTCTTGCTTTCTTTTACTAACTTGGCTGGCATCTATTTTTCAAAACAAGCTTATGGGAATATATATGCCATAAAATTCACCCATGGTAAGTATACAACTCAATGACTTTTATATTACTTATTATTTATTTATTTATTTAAGACAGGGTGTCACTCTATCACCCAGGCTGGAGTGCAGTGGCGTGATCATAGCTCACCGCAGCCTCGACCTTCTGAGCTGAAGTGATTATCCCACCTCAGCCTCCCAAGTAGCTGTGACCACAGGCACATGCCACCATGCCCATTTAATTTTCATATTTTTTGTAGAGACAGGGTTTCGCCATGTTTCCCAGGCTGGTCTCGAACTCCCGGGCTCAAGCAATCCACCCACTCGGGGTTCCCAAAGGGCTGGAATTACAGGCGTGAGCCACCGCCCCGGCCTAACTCATGATTTTTAACACATTGACTGAACTGTGCAACTCTTGCCACATCTGGTTTTAGAACATTCCCGTTGCCCCAGTAAGACCCCTCACACCAGATGATAACCACTCTTCATTCGTACACCCCAGTCCCAGGCAACCACACATCTGCTTTCTGCGTCTATAGATTTGTCTTTCCTGGACATTTTATATAAATGGGTCATACAATATGTGAGTTTTCACATCTGGCTTCTTTGATGTAGCGTAATGTTTTATGAGGTTCATCCACCTCGTAGCTTGTATCAGAACTTCATTTCTTTTCATTGCCCAAGAGTATTGCATGGTATAGACGCACCACAGTTTATCCACTCATCAGTGGACACAGGTTGTTTCCACTTTTTGGCGATACATCATGTTGCTATGAACATTTGTGTGCAAGTCTTTGTGAAGATATATACTTTTTTTTTTTTGAGACGAAGTCTTGCTCTTGCCGCCCAGACTGGAGTGCGATGCTGCGATCTCGGCTCACTGCAACCTCCGCCTCCCAGGTTCAAGCGATTCTCCTGCCTCAGCGTCCTGAGTAGCTGGGATTACAGGCTTGCACCACCACGCCCAGCTAATTTTTGTGTTTTCAGTAGAGACAGGTTTTCACCATGTTGGCCAGGCTGGTCTCAAACTCCCAACCTCAAGTGATCTGCTCACCTCAGCCTCCCAAAGTGCTGGGATTACAGGTGTGAGCCATCGTGCCTCACAATATACTTTCATTTCTCTTGGGAAGCCTCCTGGGGTAGAATCTTCCAGATGACCCAATCATATGGTACATTTCTGTTTCATTTTTTAAGAAACTGATAAACTGTTTTAAAAGTAGTACTCCATGTCTTGACCAGGGTGGGTGGTAGTTATACGGGGTCTCATTTTGTAAATTATTAGTTACATTAGATATTTATTCACTTTCTGTATTTCTTCTATTTTATAACTTTAAAAGAGTCAAGAAATAAATTGGGGGTGGGGTGGTGAGTGGAGTCAACTCTGGGAAGGTTTTTTGTAAGGGGTAGCAGTTAGGAATGCTGTTCTGGAAGCTGTATGGAGCACTGGAGGAGGAGCAACTGGGGAAACAAATCCTACAAGAATTTCACAGGAGGGGCTCCAAGACCCATCAGGTTCAGCCCCTGGGCAGGTATATGCAAAAGCACATGCCAATATATGCAAATAAGTTAGGATCTCCTGGGGTTTCCTCACCTTGGGGGTCTGTCTCTAATGGTTGTGACCAGGATGGTGGGCAGGCCCCAGGGCTTTGGGGTGCTGGCCTTGGGCACTCACAGCCTGGCTTTTCTGGGAGCCTGCAGTCCTGCAGGGGCTGAGGGTGGAGTATCATCTGCTAATCCCTGGCCTGCTGAGTCCACCACTCTCCCTGATCCCCTCACGCTTACCCTGGATACTGGCCACAGCTAATCTCCACTCCTGGAGACTCAAGGGCTGGCAGACAGTGCAGTGCCCTCTTCCCTGAGGGTTCCAGGGAGGGGAGATCCCTCTCAGCATCCAGATCCTCCTAACGGCAGATCCTAGAGTCCTTGCCTAACACAGAGGAGAGCCTTGAGTCCCAGAGAGAGGCGGTAATTAGCCCAGGATTACACAGCCTGCAGTGGGCTCAGTAGCCATTTCTGGCCTGCCTTGGCCTGACTACCTCCAGGGAACCCCAGCTCCCCATCTGACATTTCCCAAGATGCCTGGCCTGTGCTAAGGCCTGGGAGACCACAGCCTTCAGGAAGGCTGGAAGGGAGTGGCCAGAGCACAGGAATTCTGGCACAGGCTCTTGTTAGAGCCTGTAGTTGCCAGGGTTGCTAAGGAGTGGGTGCCTCAGAATCAGGCTGCAATGGGCATTGTCTGTGCACAATGTTCCTTTATTCTGCTGCTGTCCATAATAAGGGCTCGTCCACCTCCCTTCCTCTTCTGCCCATTGAGCAGTCAAAGAACTGAAAGTCCTTATAAGCCTGTGCACCTGGGCCTGGGCCCTACAGATAAGGTAGCTGCTATTGGTGAGTCAGAAGCAGGGAGCCCTTGCTCTCTTCCCCATATCCGTGATCCCCCTCCCTGTCCCTCCCCAGGCAGTCACATCCCCTAAGGCAGCTTCCCCATGCCTTGTCACCATGCCCCCTCCCTGCTCCTCCATGATCTAAGGTCCTCTCTCCTCCTGCCACCCTAGCTTCCACCTCCACCTCTCACCTCTAACTCAGGGTCAGGAAGAAAGCAAGCTGTCTCAACAAATTCTCACTAAAGTGTAAATGACTGAAAGGCTCCTGGGACTATCTGCTTTTTAAAGGGAGGCACTGGGTATCCAGTAATGCTTTTCTAGTTTAAATATATCATGTTGCTCCCCTTCCTGAAAATCTTTCTGAGTCAATCTGTAGAATTTTGGGTAAATAGCTAGGGCAAGTCCATAATTATTCACCCAGAGGTATACGGCATACTAAGCTACATTCTGAACCCGCTTGCTGCTGCACTTTCCTGCTTATTATTTAAGAATAGACTCGCCAGGCAAGGTGGCTCACACCTGTAATCCCAGCACTTTGAGAGGCTGAGGCGGGTGGATCACTTGAGGTCAGGAGTTCGAGACCAGCCTGGCCAACACAGTGAAACCCCGTCTCTACTAAAAATACAAAAACTAGTCACATGTGGTGGTGGATGCCTATAATCCCAGTTCCTCAGGAGGCTGAGGCAGGAGAATCACTTGAACCCAGGAGACAGAGGTTGCATTGAGCCAAGATGGCGCCACTGTACTTCAGTCTGAGCAGAAGAGTGAGACTGTCTCAAAAAAAAAAAAAAAAAGAAAAGAAAGAAAGAAAAAAAAACGAATAGACTCAAATACCACCTCTTTTAGACCATTCCTTGAATGTCCTAACCCCAGCCTCCCCAGAAACACACACTCTGTACTGACCTCCCTCACAGCCATGGCACAATGTGAGTGTGTGTGTGTGTGTGTGTGTGTGTATGTGTGTGTTGGAAGGGGAGTGGGAGGGTTGTCTCTGTTATCTTCTGTTATCTGAATGTTCCTGCCACCTCATGCTGAGCTCCAGAAAAATGGCCTGGCACACAGTAGGTGCTAAATAAATGTTTGGCAAGTAGACATCGGCACTGGCCAAGGTTGTTTTCATGCAGAGAAGGGTGTCTGGCCAGCATGAGCCCAGGGTGAGCCCCTTAGAACCCTCTGCCCCCCAGCTATGGCCCGCATCATTGACCTGGTGCCCTGGGACGATGGCTCCACACATGTGTATGCCTCCCCGGCCATCCTGCTTCCCATGGAGCGGCAGCGCAACCAGCTGGCGGGCGTGAAGCAGCAGCTCTACCACCCAGCCCTGCCCACCCTGCGCCACATGGACAGGGACACCGTCAAGGCCTGCCTTCCTGATGAGCACTGCCAGTCCACCACCTACTGCCGCAAAGGTTAGGACACCAGTGTAGGATCCCCTTTGGGGAAGGGGCAGATGGTTTCAGGAAAGAGGGAGACAGATGCAAGGATGAAAGAGGCCAGTCCCAGCTCTGCTGCTCCCTGCCCAGGACACTTTGGCCAGGTCTGAGCCTCTGTTTACTGCTCAGTACAATGAGGATAATTGACAAGGCCTACCTCAAAGTGTTGTTGTGGGGTTAGAAGGAGATAAGGCACAAAAAACACTTAGAGGCTGGGCGCAGTCCCAGCACTTTGGGAGGCCAAGGCAGGCTGATAACCTGAGGTCAGGAGTTTGAGACCAGCCTGGTCAACATGGTGAAACCCCATCTCTACTAAAAATACAAAACTTAACCAGGCGTGGTGGCAGGCACCTGTAATCCCAGCTACTTGGGAGGCTGAGGCATGAGAATTGCTTAAACCTGGGAGGCGGAGGTTGCAGTGAGCCGAGATCACATCACTGCACTCCAGCCTGGGCAACAAGAGTGAGTCTCCGTCTCAAAAAAAAAAGCACTTAGAGTAGTGCCTGGCACATAATATGTGCTCAAAAAGTATTGCTGATGCCATTGTTGTTATTGTTGTTTTGTTTTTTGAAGACAGTGTCTTACTCTGTCGCCCAGGCTGGAGTGCAGTAGCATGATCACAGCTCACTGCAACCTCGACCTCCCAGGCTCAAATGATCCTCCCATCTCAGCCTCCCGAATAGCTGGGACCACAGATACGTGCCACCCTGCCCTGCTGATTTTAAAAAATTATTTGTAGAGACAGGGTCTCCCTATGTTGCCTAGCCTGGTCTCAACTCCTGGGTTCAAACGATCCTCCTGCCTTGGCCTCCCAAAGTGCTGAGATTACAGGCATGAGCCACTGTGCCTAGCCTGTTGTAATTAATGGAGAGAGAACTGGGCAGAGGTTGACAGGTGCAGTGGTAGGAGTCATAACAGTAGTAACTTCTGCCCAAGCATCTCTGTATGTGGAAAAGAGAGAGAAAGACCTCTCCTCACAGCCCCCATGCAGGAGAGGAAGACGTGTGGGCCTTCAGGGCAAAAGAGCCCCACGGGCCTAGTGAATAACCCCGCATGGACTGAGGAGCTTGCGTGTGGAGGGATTTAGAAGGTATTTAGCAGATAAAGTCAACAGGAGTAGGTGCAGGCGGGGCAGGGTAGGAGGCCAAACAGGGGGAGTGCAGGCCCATACCTAGGCTCCAGCTTGGGTGACAGGTGGGCTGAGGGTGTCAGAGACCGCACGGAGATTACCAGAGTTGCCACATGGGCCCTAATGGGAAACACAAGTGAGGGAAGTGGGTGGGGAGGCCGTGGGGAAGGAACACTCCACAGGGAAAAGGGGCACCCACACCTGCCCTATTTAAACGGCAGCCACGGGGTTCCCCACAGACTGTGCTATGTTGGAGGGGCCAGCCAGGTCACCAGTTCTTCCAATTTCCCGCTTCTGAGAGAAGCCAGGAATCTAGATTTTTAAGGAAAGCTCTGATGTAGATATGTATTTTATTGTAAGCATATGCTTTAAGTAAAAGTAATAGTCAGAACTTCAAAGCTCAAAATGCTATAACAATATGCACAGCAACAAGGCTCACTCCCACTGCCCCCGCATACAGGTAACCACCCCCCCACCACATTCTTAGTTTCTGATGTCTCTCCCTGGTTTACTAATGGGAATATAAACACATGTTATTTTGCTCCCCAACTTTTTATTACTGTTAACTGAAAACCCAGAAATTTGTAAATTTAGGCAGGGTACGGTGGCTCACACCCACAATCTCAGCACTTTGGGAGGCCAAGGCAGGCAGATCACGTGAGGTCAGAAGTTCGAGACCAGCCTGGCCAACATGGTGAAACCCCATCTTCACTAAAAATACAAAAATTAGCCGGGCGGGGTGGCGGGTGCCTGTAATCCCAGCTCCCAGGCTGAGGCAGGAGAATCACCTGAACCCGGGAGGCGGAGGTTGCGATGAGCCGAGATGGAGCCACTGCACTCCAGCCTGGGTGACAGAGCGAGACTCCATCTTCAAAAAATAAAAATAAATGTATAAGTTTAGAAAAGGAGACTTTATTTCTTACAAGGGGTTATAGCTGCCAGGTGGCCATCCCACAGGCTGGAAAGTGTGCCTCCAGCTTAAGCCCAAAGATAGGCATGTCAAAGGAGGAGGGGTTGGGTAAGAGCTTTATGTTCAAAGGGTTGGCTAAACATACATATTCAATAGTTTATAGGAGGAGCTATGAATATTCATGAAGATAGTACTGACATGGGCATATTGAACAAACATGCATGTAACATACAACCCATGTTCGCTTTGAGGTGGAGACTTAACCTTTAAATGTATTACAATTAGTCCCTATACGTCAAAAGTTCTTTTCAGGACGCGAAGCCCAGCAAGTGAGCAGCCTCTGTATGCTGGGCAGGACCAGTCCATGGTTGGTGGTCTTCTTACCTGGAGAAAGTTACTGAAATCAGCCTCTTATGCAATCAAAGGCATAGCTGTGGCTGGTGGATCAGGGGGTCAGTTCATCAGCATCTGTGAGCTGTATGAGTTGTAATTGTTTTAATATTGCTTATCTCAAGTCCAGGGCTAGAGAAAAAGAAAAACCTCATGGCAATTAAAACATAGCTTATTTATTTTTGTGTTTTGCTTTTCGTTTTGTTTTGTTTTGTTTTTTTAGACAGAGTTTCTCTCCATCACCCAGGCTAGAGTGCAATGTCAAAAACATGGCTCTTTACAGCCTCGACCTCCCAGGTTCAGGTGATCCTGCCACTTCAGCCTCCTGAGTAGCTGGGACTACAGGCACACACCACTATGCCAGGCTATTTTTGTTGCTGTTGTTGTTGTTTGTTTGTTTTGTGTGGAGACAGGGTTACACTATGTTGCCAGGGCTGGTCTCCAACTTCTGGGCTCAAGTGATCCTCCAGCTTCAGCCTCCCGAAGTGTTGGAATTACAGGCGTGAGCTACCACGACCAGCCTGTAGTTTATTCTTTAAGTGTAGGGGTGCGTGACTTAACCCTTGCCTGGCATGGCCTTAGGTCCTGTTAATAATCTGGTATCTTGGCCGGGCGTGGCGGTTCACGCCTGTAATTCTAGCACTTTGGGGGGCCAAGGCAAGTGGATCGCCTGAGGTCAGGAGTTCAAAACCAGCCTGACCAATATGGTAAAACCCTGTCTCTACTAAAAATACAAAAATTAGCCAGGTGTGGTAGTGTGTGCTTGTAATCCCAGCTACTGGGAGACTGAGACAGGAGAATTGCTTGAACCCAGGAGGCGGAGGTTGCAGTGAGCCGAGATCGCGCCATTGCACTCCAGCCTGGGCAACAGAGTGACACTCCGTCTCAATAATAATAATAATTATTATTATTATAATAATAATTATTATTATTATTATTATAATTTGGTATCTTATTGCCACAAAGAGTCTGTTCTCTTAGTCTTGTAATCTCTCTCTCTCTCTTTCTCTTTTTTTTTTTTTTTTTTTTTTTTTTTTGAGACAGAGTCTCACTCTGTCACCCAGGCTGGAGTGCAGTGGCGCTATCTCGGCTCACTGCAACTTCCGCCTCCCCGGTTCAAGTGATTCTCCTGCCTCAGCCTCCTGAGTAGCTAGCTGGGACTACAGGCGTGTGCCACTACGCCCAGCTGATTTTTGTATTTTTAGTAGACATGGGGTTTCACCATGTTGGCCAGGCTGGTCTCAAAATCCTGACCTCAAGTGATTGGCCTCCAAAACCACTGGGATTACAGGCGTAGCCACCGCACCTGGCCTTGTGATTGCTAGTTTAACATTAATGCTGGTCATTTATTGTGTCTAAACCGCAAAAAGGCAGGGGTGGAATGAAGCATGTCTGACCTCCTGTCCCATTATGGCTGGGAACTCAGTTTTTCAAGGTTTTGGGGGATCCCCTTAGCCAAGAGGGGGGTCCGCTCAGTCAATACATTGCGGAGACCTCAGGATTTTATTTTTAGTTTACATGATAAACATTTTCAAATGGAGAAAAGTTGAAAGAATACTACTATGAGTACCCACCACCTTCCTCCTGCTTCAGTTGATTTTTGCCATATTTTTGCTTCTCTCGCCCTCTCTCTTACATTCTTGGACACCCTTTAGCAAGCAGCTCCCAATGACAAAAACATCCTTCTACATGACACAATACCATTATCACACCTAGGAAAGCTAACAATACTTCTACAACATCTAATATCCAGACCATATTAAAATCTCCCCAATTGCCCTCAAAGATGTCTTTTCTGGCTTTAAAATGATTTTTTGGAACAAGAATTCAATCTAGGATTACGTATTTCAGTTACTTGTTATGTCTTTTGTCTTAGTCTAAAACAGTCCACCCAGTTTCCATTGCCCACCATCATACTGACTTTTTAAAGTCTCTAACAGTTGTGTTGTAGACAGTCCCATATGGTGAATTTGAGCCACTGTTTCTTCATGGTGTTTCTTATCTTGTTAATCTATTTTCTGTAAACCAGCAGCTAGGTGTAGAGATCTGAATCACCAGGTTAAACACTGCTGGCCAGAATCTTTCACAGGCGACAGATGCCGTGTTTGCCATAATGCTGCAGCAGGAGGCACAGAATTTCATTATCACATTATTTGTGATGCTAAGTTTGATTATTTGGTTAAGGTGATGACCTGAATATATATTCTCTGTTTCCAACAGTCTATGTTTAGTCTACCATTTTAAAGCAAACAGTAGGCCGGGCGCAGTGGCTCACGCCTGTAATCCCAGCACTTTGGGAGGCTGAGGTGGACAGATCACTTGAGGTCAGGAGTTCAAGACCAGCCTGGCCAACATGGTGAAACCCCATCTCTACTAAAAATACAAAAATTAGCCAGGCATGGTAGCACGCACCTGTAATCCCAGCTACTCGGGAGGCTGAGGCGTGAGAATCGCTTGAACCTGGGTGGCGGAGGTTGCAGTGAGCCGAGACCGCGCCACTGTACTCCAGCCTGGGCGACAGAGCGAGACTCTGTCTCAAAAAAAAATTTTTTTTAAAGCAAATGGTAGCATATTGTATATACCCATCTGCACCTTGGAGTTCTTGTATAGAGAAATTCCTCAACTTGTTAATTTATTTATTAAAAACAAGGTCTCGCTATGCCACCCAGGCTGGAGGGCAGTGGCATGATCACAGCTCACTTGCAGCCTTAAACTCCTGGGCTCAAGCAATCCTCCTGCCTCAGCTTCCTGAGTAGCTGAGACTACAGGCTCGAGCCACCATACCTGGCATTTTTTGTTTTGCTTGATTTCTAGGCACTCTTTCAATATTAAGGAATATTAATTAATATTAATATCTGTAAAATAAGTGGAAATATTTTTTCCATTTGTTTTTTGACATTTGTTTTTGCCATGTAGAAGTTTATTTTTATGTATTTAACTTATCAATCTTTTCTTTAAAGCTTCTGGATTTTTAATTAAAATTATTAAGGCCTTTCCCATCCCAAGATTATAAAAGAATTTGCCCATGTTCACTTTTTACATTGGAATCTTTGGAGTTTTATTCTGTTGCAAAGGTAAGATGTGAATACTATTTTATCTTAGATTTTTTTTAAGTTGTCAAATTAAAAAAAAATTTTTTAAGAGAGTCTCGCTCTGTTGCCCATGCTGGAGTGCAGTGGCGCAATCTCAGCTCACTGCAACCTCCACCTCCTGGATTCCAGTGATCCTCGTGCCTTAGCCTCCCTAGTAGCTGGGACTACAGTCGCGTGCCACCACACTCAACTAATTTTTCGTATTTTTGGTAGAGATAGGGTTTCACCTTGTTGCCCAGGCTGGTCTCGAACTCCTGAGCTCAAGTGATCCACCCGCTTTGGCCTCCCAAAGTGCTGGGATTACAAGTGTGAGCTACCGTGCCCAGCCTTTTTTTTCTTTTTTTGAGACACGATCTTGCTCTGTCACCCAGGTGGAAGTGCAGTGGCATGATCACTGAAGCTTCGACCTCCTGGACTCAAGTGATCCTTCTGCCTTAGCCTCCCGAGTACCCGGGATTACAGGTGCTCGCCACCATGCCTGGCTAATTTTTGCATTTTTAGTAGAGATGGTCTTTCACCATGTTGGCCAGTCTGGTCTGGAACTCCTGACCTTAAGTGATCCACCCGCCTCGGCCTCCTGAAGTGCTGGGATTACAGGTGTGAGCCATCGTGCCCGGCCTCAAAAAATTTTTAAAGTACAGTGTGGGCCAAAGTTCTCCTATGACCTCTGACCACTGGTGAAGGAGACACCTCTTCTCCCTTTCTCTTGTTTCAACAGATGAATTTGACAACGCCCATTTTACACTCCTTGGGGTCCCCAACAAACCCCTGCAGTGTTTGGTGAGTGTCCTTTGCCCTGCCCTTGGGTTTGCTAAGGGGCACCAGCCCCAAGCACCTCTGGTCCTGGGATCTACACCCCGCGCACCTTCTCAGGTGCCTGCTTGGGACTCCCGCTCCCCACATCACCCCATCCGGGTTCACGACTTCGGGCGCCCCCTCGGTCCAATGCACCGGGCCACTTGTCAACTGAGGCCTTTGGGATGGACTGGGATGGCTTCCCTAGGCTCCTGCGGCTACGGCCGCGCGGGCCTGACCCCCGTGGCCCTGTCAGGACATCACCGCCACAGGCCAGAAGCTTCGCAACAGGTACCACGAGGGAAAGCTGGCGCCCATCGCGCCAGGCATCAACCGAGTGGACTGGCCCTGCTTCACGCGCGCCATCGAGGACTGGTCCCACTTCGTGTCCTCGGCCGGGGAGTTCAAGCTGCCTTGCCTGAGGAAGCGAGGTCAGTCTACGGGCCGCTGAAGGAACTGCCGGGCAGGTGGGCCGCGGGGCTGGAGCAGGGAACGTGGACTGCGGACGGGAACGCAGGCGGCGGGCCAGGCAGAAACAGGGCGGGGCCGCTGAGATGAAGCTGTGGCACTTGCGGTGGGTGGAGCCGAGACGTGCGCGCGGATCTGGAGGCAGGACTGCCCTTGGGGAGGGGGCGGAGCCAGGCGGAGCCTTCGGGCCGGGGGCTTTGCCCTGGTGGGGCAGCGGAGGCGGGACCTGTTCTCCGTACACGTGTGGGTGGGGCTGGATTGTGGGCGGGGCTGGATTGTGGGCGGGGCTTAGATGAGGAGGCGGGGCTTGTCCTGGGGGGGGGCGGATGAGCGCTCGAGAGGGGCTTTCTGTTCGCAGCGGAGGGTCTCAGCGGCTACGCGGTGCGGTACTTGAAGCCCGACGTGACCCAGACCTGGCGGGTAGGGAGCGCTGCGCGCAGACCCGTCCCTGAGCGGGGAGCGGGGGTCCTGGTGGGGAGCGGCTTAAGCCGGGGGTTGAGGGGGGAGGAGACCCAGAGCAGGGCCTCCCAGTCTTCAGGACCACGGTCTCTAGCAGGAAGCCCTGTGTGGGGCGTGGGCAGGGCGTCCGTGCTCCCCCGACTCACCGCGCCCCTATCCCTGCTGCCCGCCTCAGTACTGCCTCAGCCAGAACCCCAGCCTGGACCGCTACGGACAGAAGCCCCTGCCTTTCGACTCCCTGTAAGTGACGCCACGCGCCCGGGGACCCCATATCTGGAGGAGGGAGGATGAGGTCTGGGCCGCTTTCCTAGCGCACAGGCAATGCCCCTTGAAAACGTGAGAACTGGGAAAAATTGGCTCCAATACACCAGAAACAAATTGCAATTTCAAATGAATACATGTGTAATTCCTACTAAACGGAGCACCTTGCCCTCCCTGACAACTCCACCCTTGCGGAGTGGAGGCGTTCGCATTGGGTGAAGGCGCCCTGGAACCCTTCAGGAGGGATGGCGGGGAGAGGGGGTGGCTCCCGAGGTCGAGTGAGGCGCCCAGAGAGGGTCGCCCCTTCCCATCTCGTGCTCACCCGCCCCGTTCTTTCCCAGGAACACTTTCCGAAGCTTCGGCTCCAGCTACAGGTAGGGGAACGGTCCTGTCCCGCCCCACAGCCAACCACGTTCTCATCCGACTGCTGGGGACAGCCTCGGGGCTCCCTGACTCTGAAACCCCCCTGCCCCAGCGAGGCCTGGCGAGGAGGAGGGGCCCTCCTGGGAGGGCGCGAGCTGCTTCGCTCTGGAGAGATCCGCCCCTGGCAAATGTGCAGCCCACTGGGGTGGGGGTGGACGCGGGAGGGGGTCCACATCCCACCAGGTTTGACTGGAGGAGGCCAAAAGGATAGGGCGAGGATGTTAACTAGAAGGAGAGAAAACAGACAAATAAGAAACACAAGGGAGAGAGCCGAGAATCTGCCTTTTAGGGTGCGGAGAGGCCCTAAGGGAGGGGGCTAAGTGGTCTTCCCGGCAGGGTCGCCCCACAAGTAAAGAGATAAGATAAGAACAAGAGTTCTTATCTCCAAGATAAGCACCTCTTGCAAGAGGTTGCAGGATACTCAAACATTTTCATAACTAAGCCATCTCTCACCCTCCCGGCCCCACTTTGTACACTCCAGCCAGACTAGACTCCCCCGAAACCCAGCAGACCAAGCACTCTTCACACCTTTGCCTGTGCTGTTTCAGCGCCTAGATGGCCCTTCCTCCTCTGCCTGGAAAACTCCTTCGTGCCATTATTATTATTATTATTATTATTATTGAGACGGAGTCTCACTCTGTCGCCCAGGCTAGAGTGCAATGGCCTGATCTCAGCTCACTGCAACCTCCGCCTCCCGGGTTCAAGCAATTCTCCTGCCTCAGCTTTCTGAGTAGCTGGGATTACAGGTGCGCATGACCAAGCTTGGCTAATTTTTGTATTTTTAGTAGAGATGAGGTTTCACCATGATGGTCAGGCTGGTCTCGAACTCCTGACCTTATGATCCACCCACCTCAGCCTCCCAAAGTATTGGGATTACAGGCGTGAGCTACAGTGCCCGGCCTCCTTCATGCTCTTCAAAGCCCAGCCCAGATGTGCCATCCTCCTTGAAGTCTTCCCCCACCCTCTGCCTCTCCCCACCGGCTCACACTCCCTCCCATTGGTCACTACCTTTGTGTCCCTGAGTATCGAGTGCAATACTCAGACTATTGCACTGTCATTATTGACAGAAACCAGCCTTCCCGTCTCCCACACGGGGAAACGTTTCTGGGTTTTGCTACCATATGATGCCTAACAGAGTAGGTTCACTAAATGATTGAAAAATGGGTGAAGCTGTTCATAGTTAGGTATCAATGGGAGAGAAGGATGAGGCACAGTCAAAGGAGGGAGGTTAGCTTGAAAGCTAAGGAGGACAGCTGAAAATACAGAAAACAGGGAGCCACTGAAGTCTCCTGAGCCACATAGAGGCTGGCTGGAAGCTGTGTTTTCAGATCCTAGAGGGGAAAAGCCTGATTTTTCCCCTAGGACACCCTGGAAACCCCCACCTCACCCCTACTTCTCTCCACAGTCGTGTCAACTACCTGACCCCCTGGCATTAATCTCTGGAAAGGAGGCTGACTCCCAGGCTGCCGGACGGTGCCACCTCAGGTCCCCTGGCCAGACAGAGGACTTATGGTGGCACCAGCCATCTCCCCAGGAGTTCAGCCTAACTAGAAATAAACCTAATGCTCCCTTAGAGACACACGCAATTGTCTCTGTCTGTGTGTGTTGCACAGCCTGGGAGAGGGTCAGGGCCACAGGATGACAGTATCTTACCCTTGCCCGTCCCCGGCCAACTCCTGGAGGACTGGTGGGGGGTTGGAGAAAAATGTCTGGTGACCTGGTTTGAGAGTCAGGGTGTAAGCCGCAAGGTCCAGCCAGAATTGAGATCCAAGAGCAAGAGATGTGCTCCAGCCCCTTGCCTGCAGCCCCACACCCAAGCCCCCTCCATTTCAGATCCTGAATTTGAGCCCTAAGAAGAAAGGGAGAGGGCTAGAAAGCTATTTTTAGGTGCCTTTTTGAAGCTCTTGTCATACTGGTGTGCTCTGGGGGGCTTCCCTGTGCCTGGGGTCCCCCTGAAGGTGTGGGAGCAGGCTGGGGCAAGGGGAGCTGGCCAGGCCTATGGCCTTGATTCCTGTGACGCAACAGAATGTAGAGTCTAAACTTGCATGAGATGCATGAAGCCACTCAGAGAAGAAAGTTCCCCGCTCTCCAAAGCACCACCAATAAACATGTCATTTAAGCAAAAAGTCCTCTGCTCTATCCATGAAGCTTCAGGACTAGCCCTTGTCTACCCACCAACCATCCATTCCAAGCCACTCCTGTGAAAGGAAGGTATGATGTCCCGGGGACAGTGTGGGGACTCCTGGCCCAGGTCTGGAATAACGCCATCCAGGGGGCTAGGGAAGAGCATCTCCAGCATGGTAAGGGGGTGTATTAGTCTGTTTTCATGCTGCTGATAAAGACATACCCAAGACTGGGAAGAGAAAGAGGTTTAATGGACTCACAGTTCCACATGGCTGGGGAGGCCTCATAATCATGGTGGAAGGCAAAAGGCACTTCTTACATGGTGGCAGCAAGAGAGAATGAGTGCCAAGCGAAAGCGTTTCCCTTATAAGACCATCAGATCTCGTGAGACTTATTCACTACCACGAGAACAGTATGGGGGAAACCGCCCCCGTGATGCAATTATCTCCCACTGGCCCCCTCCCACAACATGAAGGAATTAAGAGCGCTACAATTCAAGATGAGATTTGGGTGGGGACACAGCCAAACCATATCAGGGAGTTAGGGCTGCTAGCATCTGTGCTTAGCTCCAGGACCTTTCAGATACCCTACTCCCATCCCACCTGTGGGCAGCTGGCAAGCATGGACCCAGATCAGGATAAATAGCTACCAAGCTAAAAATCTACCTGCATAGGACTTCTGGTCCTGAAACCTGGGGCTTCAGGGACCCACAGACCTCCTGAAATCATGTACAGAATCATGTGTCCACTTTGGGACTGCACTTGGGAAGCCACTGGCAGAGCCGCCTGGAGTGTCAGAGCCACATTCTGTGCCACCCAGTGTCCCCTCCAAATGACAACTCAGAGAAGAGCTGGACTTGCCCAGGGCTCACAGCAGGGATGCTAGAATCCTGGCCTGGGAGAGGTGGGCCAGCCAGAGAACCCCAGCAGACATGCTGAAGCCTGCCAGATGGCATCAAGTGACTGGGGTGTTTTTCCTGGCCCTGCTTCCTTGAATGACTGGGCAAGTCCCTGCCAGAATACAGCCCAGCGAACACTAAAGAGCTTTGCCTGGGCCAGGCCCTTTGCTGGTGCTGGGAGGACACAGACAAGATGCCCTCCCTGCCTTTGAAGTGCCTCCAGCCCAGCAGGCCCAGCCAATGAGAACCTGAAAGTAGAGGTGATCACATGAGTACACACATAGACCATGTTCTCCCAGCCCAAACCCCATGAATGGCAACCCACACCAGCAATTTAATTAAAGCTTCTTGCCCACTGATTGTAAATTTAATCCTGATTTCAATAATATAAATAGATTATAAAATATATAAATATAAATATGTATATGTATATATGTAATAATATATATTTATATAAAATATAAATATAAAAAATGTGTGCCTAAGAATAAAGGAAATGCAGAGTACATAAGCATAAATGAGTCTGCTTTCACGTACAATTTCTATTTTTAAGTGGAAGGCAATGCATTAACCATCTTGCAGACCCCATGAGATGGGTAATTTTACACCCATTTTACAGATGATGAAATGGACTCAGGAAGGTTAAGCGGCTGGCCCAAGATCTGGTGATTGGCAGAGCTAAGAATTGAAGCTGGCCTGCCTAAGCCCCCCATCCCCATCCCCCGCCTCTGGCCACCAGGCTCTACTGCCTGCCTGCTACCAGACAGATCCAAACCAAGAATGGGGAAGAAACCAAAGGGGGCTTCCTGGGGGTGGGGGCATCTGACCAGGGCTTAGAGGGAGGATAGGACGTCCCATCAGAAAGCTCTCTTGGGGCCGGGCAGGCTGGCTCACACCTGTAATCCCAGCACTTTGGGAGGCCAAGCGGGCGGACCACCTGAGACCAGGAGTTCGAGGCCAGCCTGGCCAACATGGCAAAACCCCATCTCTACTAAAAATACAAAAATTAGCTGGATGTGGTGGTGCACACCTGTAATCCCAGCTACTCTAGAGGCTGAGGCAGGAGAATCACTTGAACCCAGGAGCCAGAGGTTGCACTGAGCCGAGATCGAGCCACTGCACTCCAGCCTGGGCATCAGAGCAAGACTCCATCTAAAAACAAACAAAAACAAGAAAGCTCTCTTGGAGTTGCTGGCAGTGGCAGAATCTGCAGGTTGAGAATCCCACCCAGAGGCCAAAGGCCAGAGGCTGAGAGATGGAAAGCAGCCCATCCCCTCCCAGATGGGGCCATTGTGTCCCAACATGCTGACACCCCCTCTCAGTCTCCAGGGACTCTTGGCTCATCAGAGTATCAGAGCCACATTCTGTGCCACCCATTGTCCCCTCCAAATGACAACTCAGAGAAGAGCTGGACTTGCCCAGGGCTCACAGCAGGGATGCTAGAGTCCTAGATCACATCGGAAATCTTCCCAGCAGCCATGGCCTTGGGGACAGTCCAGCCTCCATGGCCTCACCTCTAGGCCTTCCGGGGCCTGACCCCAATCCACTACGGTGGCCCTTTATCCCAACATGAACCCCCCTACAGCCTCCTTGCAGTTCCAGAGGCTCTGGGCTTCTGTCTGCCTCCAACCTTTGTTCAGAGCCTTCCTCTCACCAGAAATACCTTCCCCCACCTCTTCCTACCCAAATCCCACCCTGCGTTCCAGGCAGGCTACTCTCAAGTCCTCCCTTCTCCCCCCAACTCTTCTCTCAAATCACAAAAACAGGGACCATAGCTGTTCTCATGGGCTAACTCATGCCCTCTGGCCCGCCCTGGGCTCATTCACTGGCTCTTTTTATTCTAACTGGACCTGGGGCTCAGGAATGGGGCCTGTGGTCTCTTCCGGAACCAACACACCAATCAGGACTAAATTATTAACTGCTACAGAGTTATAGCGGTGTCGATTACAAAGTTACCTGCAAAATGATGTCCTAACCCAGGGCCTGGGGCTGGCAATGGGGAGGTTCAGGGATAGGGTGAGGGTCCAAGCTGCGGGCAGGGGTGGGGTAGGGGTCAGGGAGAACTCGTGAACATCATATTTTGTACTAGATATCAGCAGTTTTGACATTTTTTCACTGTACCTTTTGATTCACAAAAACCTCAAAACCGTCTCACCTGAAGTTTGTGCCTTGTGCCCTGTAGCACCTGCTCAGTGCCTGGCAAACGGTAGGTGCTCAGTAATGCTTGTGGATGAACAAAGGCAGGAAGACAGACCCAGGGTGGGGATGGAGAGACACACAATAAAGAAGGAGCCCTCCCCTTGGCTCCATTTCACGGCCCTGAGGAAGACTGTGTATTCTGGCTGGAATCTTTGTAGATGAGAAAATCAATAGTGGCCAAGGCTTTTCTAGGAAGCACCACCTTCAAGGAACCAAGAAGCCATCTGCTTGAGGATTGGATGTGGAGCTCGTGAGAGAGTCTGGCCCTCCTTAGGCTGGGGGACCTAGGGCCTTTGTGGCGCTGCTTCTGTCCATCTGGGAAGATGGAGCACAGTGGGCTTTGATTCTTCAAGGAGTTGAGAGGGGGCCAGAGGGGTTGGCCACGCCGTCTGCCTGCTGCTGAAGAGCTTTCCTACTGCCCTGCCCAGCCCTGGACTGGTCCAGGCCATTGTTCCCGGCTTTCTGGCCAGCAAAGAGTGAGCAGGAGCTCTGCATGGCTCAGACCCCACTGCCTCTCCTTCACCCGTGTGCAGGTACCAGGCTCACCTGGCTAACCCCCACAATTCCAGGCCACTTTCATCACTGCGTGGCTGTGAACAAACCCTGGACCTCTTAAGCATCTGCCTCGCCCCCTTATAGGTATGGAGTGAGGCTCAGACCTGCTGGCGGATGGGAAAAGGTTTCTGAACGGTGCATGGCAGGCCGGTGGGAGGGCTGACTCTCAGATGGGAGGGCTGGGCTGGCTCGCTCTTGCCTCTGACCTCCCAGCGCTACAGTCCTTCTGGGTGGCTACTATATGCCAAACATGTCACACAGATCATTCCACTGTGCCCTTACCCTAAACCTCAGAAGAGAGCATTATTGACTCCATTCCACAGATGAGGACATTGAGGCTCAGAGAGCTTCAATGGAACCAATGAGTGGAGACGTGGGACTCTAGCCAGGGCTGCCTGTGGTGCTCTGAACCAGGACACCGCACTCAGTCTACTACGGTTCACGAGTACAGGTTCCACCCCCAGAAAGCGGCATCCTCTCCCCCGTCCCCTGCAGGGCCAAGCATAGAGCAGAGCCAGTGCATGGTGGGAGTTTGGAAAAGCTGTCAGGATGATGGGCTTCCTAGGAACATCCCCTTTGGTGGCCCAGCCTGCCCTGGCACCAGCTTCTAGGACCCAGGAGAATGGCCCCCTCCCCTTCCCACCCCTGGTGTCTCTTTCACTAGCCAGGGGGAATGACTACCTCCCAAAGGCAAGGCTGTGTCAGTCTCTCCCTCCTCCTTCCTTCTTCTTCCCAGCCCTAGCCCTCATCCAGATGTCACCCTCATCCTAAAGCACCACACTTCCCATCCTCCCAGTGGTTGAGCCAAAAGGAATGATTAGCCAGAGGCTGAAGATATAACATTAGTTTATACTCCTAGTCACGACATCTGAAGCTCCCCTTTAAGATGCTGTGCTTGGCTGGGTGCAGTGGCCTGTAATCCCAGCACTTTGGGAGGCTGAGGCGGGTGGATCACTTGAGGTCAGGAGTTCAAGACCAGCCCAGCCAACATGGTGAAAACCTGTCTCTACTAAAAATACAAAAATCAGCCAGGCATGGTGGCATGTACCTGTAGTTCCAGCTACTCAGGAGGCTGAGACAGGAGAATCACTTGACCCTGGGAGGCGGAGGTTGAAGTGAGCTGAGATCGTGCCACTGCACTCCAGCCTGGGTGACAGAGTGAGACACGGTCTCAAACAAGCAAACAAAAAAATGCTATGCTGTAAGTGAAGGAGACACTCATCAGGTTTGGGACACAGGAAATTGGCCATCCTGTAGGTCAGCATTCCTGGGCCGGTTGGTGGGAGAAGTACCTGTATGACCAGGTGCAGTGAGCAGCTGCTTAAGCCGGTTTGTGCTGTTTCTGCCACTTACAACCAAGAGAGGCTAGTCGGAGATACCAGAGGGGAGCAGGCTGGAGGCCAGGAGGGGCAGGGAAGGGAAAATGGGCCATGGGTTGATCCTGGCGCCTTCCCAGAATCAGAGCACCAGGCCTGCTTCAGATGGGGAACTGAGGCCTGAGAGGGGCAGACAGAGGCCTTAGGCCATGTGTTACCAAAGGGCCTGGCCCTGAACCCGAACATCTGGGCTCCCAGACCAGGGACCCATTGGCTGCCCTGGTTTAGGCCCAGGCTGGAGCCTAGAGGCTGAGGGCCTGGTGGGAGGTGTAGGAACCCCACTGCTTTGTGAGGCAGGTAGGGGTAGGGACAAAGGAAGAAGCCACTGCAGGCTCCATGTGAGCTCAGCCATGTCCAGTCAGGGCCCCTCCTGCCCTGGCCCATGCATGCTGTCACCCACTTACAAGGGACAACCTGCGGCAGTAATTATAAAGCCTCACACACACGCTAGCACTTTCCAGGGGCCTCTCAGGATGGGTGGGTTTTGCCTAGGTCACATGGCGAGAAAGCAAGCTGGGACTTGAGCCTGGCACGGAACCAAGGCCCCGGGCATCCTCTTCCTGGGAGGTAGAAGCCTGTGGGAAGGAACCACATGGTTTCTCAAGGGCAGGTTCCTCCCGTGACCACCCAGAGGGAGGAAGAAGAGCATGGGGACTGGGTCACATCTCGGTCCCCTGGCCTTTCGCACCTTCTGTACCCAGCTTTCGGGCCACCTGCAGTGTGGGCAGCTCCTTGTCCTTTTAACTCAGGGCAAGGTGCCCCTGCTGACCACTTTCACTGGCTCTCAGGTGCCCGGGCCTGGGAGGCTGTTTTTCCCTCTCTCTCCCCTACCTCTATCCCCACCTTTGAGCAACAGACAGAGCCTGAGTTGCAGCTGGGCCACGGGGGCAGGGACGGGGTGCAGGAGGAAAGGTGTGCTGGAGGGGCTCAGGTGGGAGGCAGCTGGGCTGACCATGCAGAAGGGTCACTGTGTGACAGGGTGGGTGGTTGTGGGGTGACAGCAAGTCCTCCCCCTCCTCTGGGGCAGGGCCGGGCTGGCTGCATCTGCTGCTGCTGCAGGCAGGCCCTTGGTTTTCCACTGGGGCTGCGCAAGCTCTCATGCTCACCAGGCCCAGTGCCTGGCTTCCAGGCTTCCATGAGCTGCTGCTCTCTCACAGGTCAGCTCCCACTTCGGGGGCTGTGGTTAAAGCCAATGGAAGTGAGGAGGTCTCAGGCTCATTCCTGAAAATCCCAGGTGTCCTGGAGTTGGTACTGTCAGCATCTTCAAACATCCCCACCAGGGACTTTCTATAGGGCTCTATTTAATTCTCACAACAACCAAGCAAGGCAAGGTGAACCTCCCCATTTTACAGATGAGGCAACTGAGTCCCAAAGAGGTTCCCAAGGCCACACAGCCAGAACGTTCAAAGCTCAGGATTCAAACCCAGCCCTATGCCCCAGTCTCCAAGCCGCCACTCAGGCCTGTGCCCCTCTCTGCCTCTCCATGTCCATCGTTCCCCTGTGGAAGAAGGAGCAGAACAAGCAGTGCAGTGGTCTGTGACGGTCAATGTCTTTACTTCTAAAGCATACATTGGACTCACTATATATTAACATCAAAAGTGGCTACCTAAAATGGAGTCATTCTTTTTAAAAATCCAAATCCTCACATTTTTATATAAGATCCAAAATGACATGAAATTAAACTCTACAATGTTATGAATAGTATAACAAACTGCTTTCAGAAAGCAAAATGAAAGGAAAAGAATTAGCAGTTGGGACGGTTGTAGGCCTGGGTTCCATGTCTTTTGAGGCATTGTGACAGAGAGCCAGCACCGAGGGGAAGGACCAGCCCCTCCCTGTGGCCACAGGAAGGAACTCAGTCAGACAGAGGAGGTGGGCGTGGCTGGTCAGCCTTCTTACGGTGACAGAGAAGCATGGTGGCATCTCCCTGCCCCTCAGGGCCCTTGGTGTGCCCACTGATTAGTCTTCTTTCAAGACCAGGGAGGGGTGGGGCTGGAAGAGGGCAGGGGATAGAGCAGGGTTCAAAATGATTATTTTAATAATAAAGGTCCTTCTGGGCTTCCTAAGGAGGGCCGTAGCCACCCAGCGATGTTGGTCAACTCCATCCACCAGGTCCCCCACAGGCTTCCTTAACCCACTTGCTCTTTCTGCTCCCTATGACTGGGATACCCTCTGCTTCATGAGCCTCATGGGCAGCCAGAGACCTAGGGGGACTCTAGGAGGACCCAAAGGACACTCTGGCCTTTGAAGTAGCTGGATGTTGTCCAGAACATCTTGGCTGTACCAGACCCCTGGGGTCCAGGCCAGCAGCCACATTGATGTAGGGAGGGTACTGGGGGGGTCCCCACCCTGGCCTAGTCTTGGCTCTGAAGCAGGACTGGGTTGAGCTGACTGGGGCTGTGCCCCAAGCCCCTGACGCTTTGGTTCACACAATTCAGGGGAGGACACTTGTTTGCATCTGCTGGGGAGATCCTAGGCCTGGTCCTGCTTCCTCCCAGCCTCAGGTGGGCTGACAATCCCTGCCTTTCACACCAGCAGTTCTGTCTGCTGAGAGCACGGCACATTCCCCACCACACCTAGGAACTGCACTACAAAGGTGGGAGGGGCGCTTCCAAAACCGGAGGATTTGCCCTTAGCAGAGACAGGCTGCTTTTCCTCCTGTCCCCAAGGATGGCACTGTCCCTTGGCTGAGGGTGTCACACGAACTTCTCAGCTTCCCCCTTCCCCCTGGGCCCACTGGTCTCCAGGCAGACCCAGCCCCAAGACCCACCCTGCACATCTCCCCTGCCAGAAACCTGGGGACACGTCGCCCCTGGCTAGAGCAGACGGAGAGGGCTGTGACTCACCCTCTGCCCTCCCAGTCCCCAGGCCTACGTCTTAAAGCTGGCCTTCTCCCCCACACGGCAACTGATGCCTTACACCTAGCCCACCTCTGGGGCCCCAGCCCCACCATGAGCCTCCGCTTTCCTAACCTATGTGGCTGCTAGCTTGAAAGATATGGGAAGGTTGGGCTGGCATCACACCCTCCTTAGGGCAGGGAGAAGCCACTTGACTTCCAGCCTGGCTCCAGTGCCCCGGAAATAAGGGGGGTGCTGATGGCTCTCAAGAAAGTGAATCTTGTCATGGGAAAGAGGTTTGTGGAATCAGGATGGGCCACAGCAATCTGGCCGCCCGCACTGCCCGCTGGTGCCAGGAGTACGAGCGGCACACCCTCTCCCTGCCTCATACCCCTGCGTCCTCACTCCCGAGGTCTCAGAACACCGAGCTGGGTGGGGCCCTTGGTGCAAGGCAGCTGTGAGGAGCTAGGCTGCGCGAGGCCTGCTGGGCCCACGGCGCCGACTCAGGTCAGGCTGGTAGGGGCCACAGCCGCAGAGTCAGGGCAGGCAGGCGGCTACCTGGTAGGCGCCCTCCGCTGCCGCGGCGGCGGCACTGTGCTGCGCGCTGTGCTCCTGCAACAAGGCCACGTCTAGGAAGCGCTCCCCGCACCATACACACTTGAACTGCTGCTCGCGGGCGTGCACGCCCTGGTGCTTGTTGAGATGCTCCCGCTGCTTGAAGGCCTTGTCGCAGTTGGGGCACTTGTAGGGCTTCTCGCCTGTGTGTACCCGCCGGTGCCGCTGCAGGTCTGACGCGTACTTGAAGCGTTTCTCGCAGTCTGGGCACTTGAGTGGCTTCTCGCGGGCCGGATCGCAGCGGTGCTGCACGAACTCGGAAGAGGAGAAGAAGCGGCGTTCGCAAAGCGTGCAGCGCAGGGGCTTCTCTGCCGCCGCACAGTGGGCCAGCTGGTGCTTCTGCAGGGCCGACGCGCGCTTGTAGGCCTTGTTGCACACAGGGCACTTGAAGGGCCGCTCGGCCGCGCCGGGCAGGCACTTGTGCCGCAGCAGCTCGGCAGATTGGTCAAAGCCTTTCTGGCACACGGGGCACTTGAAGAGAGTCTCGAGGGTGTGCACGTGCTGGTGGTAGAGCAGGTGGCTGGGCTGCCCAAAGCCCTTCTCACATAGGCCGCATTTGAAGGGCTCCTCGGTCTTGTGTGTGCGCCGGTGGCGCATCAGTGCGTACTGCTGCTTGAAGCCCATGGGGCACAGGTCGCACTTGAAGGGCCGCTCGGCGCTGTGTGTGCGCTCATGCTGCCGCAGGTCCGAGGGCCGCTTGAAGGCCTTCTGGCACTCGCCGCAGCGGAAGGGCCGCTCCCCACTTGGCGTGCACGGGTGCTGCAGCAGCTCCGACGACTCCTTGAAATGCAACTCGCACACGTTGCAGCGGAACAGGTGGTGCTCGCCCGAGTGCGCGTACATGTGGCGCACCAGGTGAGAGCGGTGCTTGAAGGTCTTCTCGCAGACTGCGCACTTGTAGGGCCGCTCGGAGCTGTGCGTGCGCTTGTGGTGCACCAGGTGCGACGACTGGCTGAAGCTTTTGTCACACAGCGTGCACTTGTAGGGCTTCTCACCGGTGTGGATCCGCTCATGCCGAGAGAGCTCCGACAGGTGCTTGAAGGGCTTTTGGCAGATGGGGCAGCTGTAGGGCTTGTCGGCCTGTTCAGCAGGGGTGACAGTGGAAGGCGCGGGTGCTGCGGGAAGCGACGGGGCGGCTGTGGTGGCTGGCTCCGCTGCCTCAGCTGGCTTGTAGGTCTTTTCACAGATGGAACACTTCACCAGGCCACTGTGGGAGCTGTGGTGCTGTGCCAGTGAGGTGAGTAGTGAGAAGCCCATCTTGCAGACCCCACAGACGAAGGGCTTCTGCTCAGCCTGCACGCACTGGTGCTCCAGCAGGTCAGTGGCCTGGTGGAAGATCTTGAGACACTGTGTGCACTGGAATGAGCGGTCATGGCCCGCCAGACACTGGTGCTCATGCGGACTGGACAGGTGCGCCAGGTCGTGACCACACACGCCACATTTGGGGCCTGGCTCTCCTGCTGCCTGCAGGGGTGCGTGTTGTGGGGGCTGCAGGCCGGGGTCTGGCTGCAGGAGGATGCCATAGACGGCACAGCCCAGGGGGTTCTCCGCCGTGCCCGGAGGCAGCGTGTGCTCTGCCAGGGCTGGCGGTGGCTCTGCATGGTGCTGAGGCTGCGGTGGCTGTGGCTGCTGCGGCTGCGTCTGTGGCGGCTGTTGCCAGCTTTCCGACATGCTTGGGAAGATGAAACAGGGTTTGGAGAGTAATGGCTTCAGTTTCCCGCTTCACGTGACCCAATCCAGAGAGAGAAGCTGCCCAATCACAGAGATGGACAAGGACCTCAGACAAGGCACAGAAGAGGGGCTGGTCAGACAGCCCGAGTCAGTAACCAAGCGGACAGACTACAAGGCTCTGCCTACAGGACATGGGGGCTCTTCAAGGGAGGGTCCCAGCAGTGCCGGGGAGACTCTGCCTTCCCCAGTGATCCGTTCTGTAGAGAAGAGAGAAAGTATGAGCTCGAGGAAGGAACAAGCAGCAGTTTCCTGGGCCTTCTCCCTGTCCTGCCCGCACTCACCACACCATCACAAACCACACATCGGGGAAGGCAGAGGTGCTCAGGGCTGCAGGACTCCTCCCTTCTTAGGCAATCAGAGAGGTCTGCAGCCAGCTCAGCTCCTCCAGGCAGAGGAAATGGCAGCGGCCTCCACCCCCACCCACCTCAGTGCCCCGCCCCTGGGCCAGGACATCCCAGCCTCCACAAGTCCCCTCCAGCTTCCTGCCAACCCTTTAGCTGAGACTCACAGGTGAGAGTCCGGGGTTATCTGCCTACAATACAGAATCCTCCTTAAGGCCCGCAGCTCCTCTCCTGTTGCTACCCTGAGTCTTAATACGGGCCACACCACTTAGAGCTAAGGAGGCCAGACCTCCCAGGTCTGAGAGCCCAGTGGCAAATGGCCTCTGACAGTCAATATTTAGGACAACTACGTGGAACCAAGGACCATTTCAAAAACTCTCACCTATGAGGGACTGACCACACCCCTTCAACTATCCCTGACCACAGGCCCATTCTCTCTCCGCGTGACAGGATGGGTGGCCCTACAGGAACCAGAGCCCATAGGTGATGGGGGCTAGATGAGAGGGCCACAGAACCACCCAGGCTTGATGTCCACACAGCAGAACTTCCTCACTCTGGTTCTCTCCCAGAACTCACACACACACACACACACACACACACACACACAAAGTCCTAAATCCTCTGAATCTCATAGTGTCAAGGCCTGCAGGAAAATGTAAGAAACTGCCCTGGTCTGCCTTGGCAATGCAGGATGCAGCATGCTAACCACAGAGCATTTCTCATCACCTCTCTAGAGACAACTCCATTCCCTTACTCCAAGCCTATAAAGTTCTGGGTAATTGTTGGAAGGTAAAGCCCACCCAGCCCAGGCAAATCTCTAACTCACCACTTTGTGGCAGCATGAGGTAATGCCAGCGAGAGGGAGGAACTTTCAGAGTCAGATGCAACCCACTTCCAGGTTCCCAGCTCATCTGCCTCTTACATTTAAAAGTTTGTAAGTTTTCTCCTGAGCAGAGGAAGAAGGAAGGAGAAGCCTTCACAGGACAGTCTGGCCTCTAACTGCTCTGCCAAAGAAATGTAAGAGTCAGGCTAAAAGCTGTCATCCTCAGCATCTTCCGGAAGGGAGGGAGGAGAGGAGCGGCTGCTCTGGGTGGAGGCAGCAGGTTGCTTGAGCAAGCAGGTACCACTCTAAGCCTTCTCGGGACAGAGAGGGGGAAGGTGGGCTTCTCTGAGCGCCTGTAGGTCCGCTGTGCCAACCCACTGTTTTGTTTGCTTTTTCTGGCATGAATGGCTGTCAGACAGTGTCCCCTGGCTTGGTCTGCAGCACCCCCTGCCCACCCTGGCCCTCCTGCAGCAAGGTGCAGCCAGGAAGCCTCTGTGATCACTCCGCAAAGGGGAGAGAGGAGGCAAGGAGAGGCAGGGGAGGCCCCCCACCTGCGCCCCACCCCGTCTCTTCTTCCTCCCTGAGAAACCGAATGAAAGCCGATCACCTCCCGCCGGCCCTGCCTGCAGGCCCAGCTGGGCTGCGTCCTGTCAGCCCTCGTCCGGGATGGCCCGGCCGCTGCGACCCGAGGGCGAGCCCCGAGGGCGGCCGGGCTGGAGAAAGGCCCCAGGGCTACAGGCCGGGCCCAGGAAGCGGCTGCGCCTCGAGGCCCGGCCTGGGCCGCCCAGAAGCTCAAGAGGCCGCTAGGTCGCGGCGGAGGGGCGCGGGGGGGCGGCCGGGCCGGCAGAGGAAGGGGTGCGGCGGGCGCGGGGGTGGCCCCCAGATGCGGCCCCGGGCGCCCCGCCGCTCACCTGCTCCAGGCCGCCTGCAGGGCAGGCGCGGGGCGAGCGGCGACCAGCTGCTCTCTCGGCCGCCCCTTTATTCCGGCTCCATCCGCGGCGGCGCGGCCTACGCGCGCTGCCAATCCCCGGCCTCGCGTAGCGGCTGCGGCCGGACCGGGGGCGGGGGACGGGCTAGCGGCGGCCGGAACGGAGGAAGCGACGCGCGCTGCCGGAGTAGCGGGGCCGGGGCGAGGAGCGCCGGGAGGGCGGGCGGACGGACCGATGGCCTTGCGGAGACGGGCGGACGGGCGGGCGGCGCGGGGGCCAGGGAGGCGGGGCCGGGGGAGGAGCGGCATCCCGGGCGGCGGCGGCCAATGCGGGAGGAGCGGGCGGCGCGGAGCGAGGCCGCCCCCTGCCGGGGACCCCGTGGCCGGGCCAGGTCGGACAAGCCGGGTGCTCCGGGCGGTTTTCGAGTCGCCAGGCCTGGGCGCCTCGACTAACCGAGGAAGGGCGCTCTGCTTCCGGCCACCCCGCTCGGGCTTAGGGGAGGGGGCTCCGGGTGACCGCCCTCGGCCCGGCTCTGCGCAGGAGAGGAGGGGCCTCCTAGAGGCTCTGGTCTGCCACAATTGATCCGCCCCTAACTGCTCAGCTTGGCTTTTAGGGGCTTGGACTTTGGGCTGGTTTGAGGAGGGGGCTCCAGGACCTCTGATCCTGGCCGGGCTCGGGGCAGGCAGGGGTCTCCGCTGGGTCTAGTGCGCTGACCCGGGACTGTCGTGTCTGGTATGTCTGGTCCCGGGTGGCTGCAGACAGCAGCGGGCAGAAAGGTGAGGGCCCTGAGCGATATATGAAATGGGTACACGAAGGCTGGGGAGGTCCCAGCGGGGTGCCGGGAGGCTGCAGGTGACCAGATCCGCGTGCGCAGCCGGCAGACAGCTTGGAGTCGGTGGGCTGAATCTTCACCACTGTCCTGCCGGGTTCCGCCCCTCCCGGCTCCGCCCCGAGGCGGTGCCAGCCCAGGCCCCGCCCCTGGGAGGGCGCTTCCGGCACAGCGGAACTCCGGGTGCCGGTTGAGGTTGCTGGTGGACCTGCTCTGGTGGTCTTGGATGAGGCCCCATGAGCGCGGCGCCCCTGGTGGGCTACAGCAGCAGCGGCTCCGAGGATGAGTCCGAGGACGGGATGCGGACCAGGCCGGGGGATGGGAGCCACCGTCGGTGAGGAGTGAGGAAGTCTCTCCGGAGGGCGCGCGCATTCACCCTAGAGCCAGACGGGACCCGAATGTCTGGGGGTGGAGTGGGGAGGGAGGATGCGGGGCGGCTCTGGGAAGGAAAAGGGGACGCAGGAAGAAAGGAGGATCCAGAAGATATACCCCTCCCCCCCACCCCAGACAAAGCTCCAGAGTGGCCCCACCTGGCTAGGGCCAAGTTGGGAGGCCAGACCTGGGTTCGGGTCCAGCCTCGCGCTGGCCCACTCTATCGCCTGGCACACATCCCTGTACCATCCTAGGTCCGTTTCCTGATTTGAATACAATTGCGATAGTAATACTTGCTAAAGCGTAGGGAGAGCCTTTTCATTCATCCAGTAAATATTCACTGAGCACCCACTCCCTGCCAGGCTGGGGTCTGGTAATTCAGTGGTGAACAAAACCGTCGGCCTTACTTCCTGGGGCTTAGATTCTTAAATGCTAGGCCTTATCTTTGCTGAGTGCTTTACAAGCAGTAGCTCAGTTGATCCCACAATTGCTCTATCAGGTAGACATATACTTTCAGATGAGGCATTTGAGGCCCAGAAAGGGGACATGACTTGCCCAAGGTCATAGAGCTAGAAAGTGCTACTCCAGCTGCAGCCTGTCCAGCTTGGAAATGTGACCCCTGAACCACATTGTTGCATGCCCTGTTGTTTCCCATGGGGACCTTGTGCCCCAGAGTTGGAGACCCCAATGAGACAATACTGGAGAAACAATTTCGCTATCTAGAAGCTGCTTCCAGCACCAGGCTGGAAACACACACTCAGAGCCACCATATATAAGGGGTTACAACTTTTGTGGTATATACAAAGGTAGAGAATGCTAACAGGATAAATGTACTCATTTTTCTTTTTTTCTTTTGCAGTGGCCAGAGCCCCCTTCCCAGGCAGAGATTTCCAGTACCTGACAGTGTGCTGAACATGTTCCCGGGCACCGAGGAGGGGCCTGAAGATGACAGCACAAAACACGGGGGACGGGTGCGCACCTTCCCCCACGAGCGAGGCAACTGGGCCACCCACGTCTATGTACCATGTGAGTGATGTGTGAAAGGCAAGTTGCCAAGACCCATAGACCCGTAGGTGCCTCATGAAGGGCAGAATCTGGCCCCAACTAGAAGGAAGAAACCAGAAACCTCTAACACTGGTGGTGGGAAAGTCATTGACTTAGCAGAGAAAGAGCAGGTTTCAAGAACTGGGGATTTTTCTGTCATCTTGGTTTTGAATTCGTAGCCTAAAATGTGTATTACCTCTGGGTATAATATTCTCCCTGTTCACGAGGAGGTGACCAAAGGAGAATCTGGAGCAGGGTGTCAAGGTCATGCCAGGCACTTTATTTCTGAGAGGGCCCTGGGTACGCTGGGTGTGCAAGGTTCAAATCCCACCCTAGCTCTGATCAGCAGGTGGAAGACAAAAAATGCCCAGGCTTCAGAGTCAGACCTCACTCCGCTGCCCACTACTCTGGGTGCCCTTTATAAGATACTAGACTTCTCAGAGCTTCAGTTTCTTCAAATCTAAAATGGGGGTAGCACTGGCTAGGCCAGGTGGCTCACACCTATAGTCCCAGCACTTTGGGAAGCGGAGGCAGGCAGATCACTTGAGCCCAGGTGTTTGAGACCAGCCTCGGCAACAGGTAGAAACCCTGTTTCTACCAAAAATACAAAAAAATTAGCCAGGTGTGGTGGCACACGCCTATGGTTCCCACTACTTGAGAGGCTGAGGTAGGCGGATTGACTGACCCTGGGAGGTAGAGACTGTGGTGTGCCAAGATCGCTCCACTGCACTCCAGCCTGGGTGACAGAGTGAGACTCCATCTCAAATAAGACAGTTTGGTGGCTTCTTACAAAACTAAACATACTCTTATCATAAAATCCAGCAATTACATTCCTTGGTTTTTGCCCAAAGGAGTTGCATTTGGTATTGACAGTGTTCTGGAGTTTAGCCATTCTAATAGGTGTGTAGCAATATGTCACTGTTGTCTGTTAATTTGCATTTCCCTGATGACATATGATCCAGATCATCTTTTCAATGCTTTTTGCCATCTGTGTATCTTCCTCAGTGAGGTGTCTGTTAAGGTCTTTTGCCCACTTTTTAATCATTTTTGTTTATTAATATTAATCATTTTTGTTTATTAATAAATTTTAATCATTTTTGTTTATTTAATATTATGATGTGGGTCTAATATTGGATCTTAAAATATTGAGTTTTAAGAGTTCTTTATATTTGAAATAATAGTCCTTTATCAGATACGTCTTTTGCAAATACATTTTTTTCCCAGCCAGTCGCTTGTCTTTTCATTCTCTTGACGTTGTCCTTCACAGAGCAGAAGTTTTTAAGTTTAATGAAGTCCAGCTTATCAATTATTTCTTTCATGGATCTTGCCTTTGGTGTCATATCTAAAAAGTTGTCACCAAACCCAAGATCATCTACATTTTTCTCCTATGTTATCTTTCAGGAATCTTACAGTTTTGCATTTTACATTTAGTTCTGTGTCCATTTTGAGTTAATTTTTGTGAAAGGTGGAAGGTCTGTGTCTAGATTCCTTTTCTTATATATGGATATCCAGTTATTCCAGCACCATTGGTTGAAAAGACTCTCTTTTTCACATTGTATTGCTTTTGCTCCTTTGCCAAAGATCGGTTGACTGTATTGATGTGGGTCTATTTCTGGGTTCTCAATTCTGTTCCATTCATCTATTTGTTCACCAATACCATTGGTGAACTGTTTTGATTGCTGTAACTTTACATAGTTAAGTCTCGAAGTTGGGTAGTTTCAGTCCTCCAACTTTGTTCTTCTCCTTCAGTAGTGTGTTGACTATTCTGGGTTTTTTGGGGGCTTTTTTTGGTTTTTTTTAGAGATAGGGTCTCACTATATTGCCCAAGCTGGTCTTGAATTCCTGGGCTCAAGCAATCCTCTGGCCTCAGCCTCCCAAAGTGCTTGGATTACAGGGATGAGCCACAGCACTTGGCCTGTTTTGGTTTTTTACCTCTCCATGTACACCTTAGAATCCGTTTGTCAGTATCACAAAATAACTTGCTGAGATTTTGACTGGGATTGTATTGAATCTGTAGATCAAATTGGGAAGAACTGACATCTTTACAATATTGAATCTTTCTGTCTATAAACATAGAATATCTTGTAGGGTCCAGCCCCACTGGGTCGGTGGGTTTTCTCCCTGTGTGCGGAGACGAGAGATTGTAGAAATAAAGACACAAGACAAAGAGATAAGAGAAAAGACAGCTGGGCCCGGGGGACCACTACTACCAAGACGCGGAGACCGGTAGTGGCCTCGAATGCCAGGCTGCGCTGATATTTATTGGATACAAGACAAAGGGTCAGGGTAAGGAGTGTGAGCCATCTCCAATGATTGACAAGGTTACGTGAGTCACGCCACTTGGACGGGGGCCCTTGCCTGCCTGGCAGCTGAGGCAGAGAGAGAGAGGGAGAGAGAGAGGACAGCTTACACCATTATTTCTGCATATCAGAGACTTTTAGTACTTTCACTAATTTTGCTACTGCTAGCTAAAAGGCAGAGCCAGGTGTACAGGTGTGAAGGCAGACTAGGAGCATGACCACTGAAGCACAGCATCACAGGGAGATGGTTAGGCCTCCAGATAACTGCGGGCGGGCCTAACTGATGTTAGGCCCTCCACAAGAGGTGGAGGAGCAGAGTCTTCTCTAAACTCCCCTGGGGAAAGGGAGACTCCCTTTCCCGGTCTGCTAAGTAGCGGGTGTTTTCCCTTGGCACTGACGCTACCGTTAGACCACGGTCCACTTGGCAATGGGCATCTTCCCAGACGCTGGCATTACTGCTAGACCAAGGAGCCCTCTGGTGGCCCTGTCCGGGCATGACAGAGGGCTCGCACTCTTGTCTTCTGGTCACTTCTCACTATGTCCCCTCAGCTCCTATCTCTGTATGGCCTGGTTTTTCCTAGGTTATGATTATAGAGCGAGGATTATTATATATTGGAATAAAGAGTAATTGCTACAAACTAATGATTAATAATATTCATATATAATCATGTCTATGATCTAGATCTAGTATAACTCTTGTTGTTTTATATATTTTATTATACTGGAACAACTCGTGCCCTCGGTCTCTTGCCTCGGCACCTGGATGGCTTGCCACCCACAACATCTCTCCACTTACTTAGTTCTTCTTTGATTTCTTTCATCAGAGTTTTATAGTTTTCCTCATATAGATCTTATACTTATTTTGTTAGATTTATACTTAAGTATTTCATTTTGCTGGGGGTGCTAAGGTAAACCCTGTATCTTTAATTTCAAATCCTACTTGTTCGTTGCTGGTGTATAGGAAAGCAAATATACAGAAGTTGACTTTTGTATGTTAACTTTGTACACTGCAACCTTGCTATATCATTTATTACTTCCAGGAAATTTTTTTTGGTAGTTCTTTTGGATTTTCTCCGTAGACAATTATGTCATCTATGAAGAAAAACACGCTGGGTGTGGTGGCTCACACCTGTAATCCCAGCACTTTGGGAGGTCAAGGTGGACAGATTACCTGAGGTTGGGAGTTCAAGACCAGCCTGACCAACATGGAGAAACCCCATTTCTACTAAAAATACAAAATTAGCCAGCCGTGGTGGGACATGCCTGTAGTCCCAGCTACTTGGGAGGCTGAGGTAGGAGAATCACTTGAACCCAGGAGGCAATGGTTGCAGTGAGCCAAGATTGCACCATTGCACTCCGTCCTGGTCAACAAGAGCAAAACCTCGTTTCAAAAAAAAAAAAAAACAAAAAAAAAAAACGGACACAGTGGCTCACACCTGTAATCCCAGCACTTTGGGAGGCCAAGGCGGGCAGATCACAAGGTCAGGAGTTCAAGACCAGCCTGGCCAACATGGCGAAACCCCCATCTCTACTAAAAATACAAAAATTAGCTGGGCATGGTGGCACATGCCTGTAATCCCAGCTACTTAGAAGGCTGAGGCAGGAGAATTGCTTGAACCCGGGAGGTGGAGGTTGCAGTGAGCGGAGAGTGCACCACTGCACTCCAGCCTGGGCAACAGAGCAAGACTCTGTCTTGGGGAAAAAAAAAAGAAAAACAGGCTTATTTCTTCTTTGCTAATCTGTATACCTTTTATTTCCTTTTCTTGCCTTATTGCATTAGCTAGGACTTCCAGTATGAGTTGAAAAGCAATAGTGAGAGGAGGCATCATTACCTTGTTCCTGATCTTAATGGGAAAGCTTTGGAGTTTCCTATCAGTTAGCTATAGGTATTTTTAGACATTCTCTATCAAGTTAACAAAGTTCCCCTCTATTCCTAGTTTTCTGAGAGTTTTTATCTTGAATGGGTATTGGATTTTGTCAAATACTTTTTCTGTATTTATTGATAGGATCATTTGATTTTTCTCCTTTAGCCTATTGATTGGATGGATTACATTAATTGATTTTTGAATGTTGAGCCTGCTTTGAATACCTGGGATAAATCCCATTTAGTTGTGGAGCATTATTCTCTTTATATGTTGTTGTATTCAATTTGCTAATATTTTCTTGAAAATCTTGCATCTCTGTCCATGAGAGATATGGGTCTGTAGTTTTCTTGTAATGTCTTTTTCTGGTATTGGTATGAGGATAATGCTGGCCTCATGGAATAAGTCAGGAAGTATTCTCTCTGCTTTTGTCTTCTGAAAGATTATAGATAATTGGTTTAATTTTTTCCTTAAATGTTTGGTGGGATTCTCTAGTGAACCGAACCCATCTGGGCCTGGTGCCTTCTGTTTTGGAAGGTAATTTTTGTTTGTTTGTTTGTTTGTTTGTTTTTCGGAGACAGAGTCTCACTCTGTTGCCCAGGATGGAGCACACTGGCATGATCTCGGCTCACTGCAACCTCTGCCTCCCAGGTTCAAGCTATTCTCCTGCCTCAGCCTCATGAGTAGCTGGGATTACAGGCACCTACCACCACGCCTGGCTAATTTTTGTATTTTTAGTAAAGACACAGTTTCGCCATGTTGGCCAGGCTGTTCTCAAACTCCTGACCTCCGGTGAACCACCCACCTTGGCCTCCCAAAGTGCTGGGATGACAGGTGTGAGCCACAGAGCCCAGCCGGAAGGTAATTATTTATTTATTCAGGCTGGGTGCAGTGGCTTACGCCTATCATCCAGCACTTTGGGAGGCCAACACGGGCAGATTGCCTGAGTTTGAGACCAGCCTGGGCAACATGGTGAAACCCTGTCTTTACTAAAAAAATACAAAAAAATTAGCCATGCTTGGTGGCGGGTGCCTGTAATCCCAGCTACTCGGGAGACTGAGGCAGGAGAATCGCTTGAACCTGGGAGGCGGAGATTGCAGTGAACCAAGATTGCACCACCGTACTCCATCCTGGGCAAAAGAGTGAGACTCTGTCTCAAAAAAAAAATAATAATAATTCAATTTGTTTAATAGATTTAGGCCTATTTAGATTATTTCTTCTTTTGTGAGTTTTAGCAGATCGGGTCTTTCAAGGAATTGTTCCAGTTCATCTAGGTTATCAAATTTGTGGACATAAAGTTATTCATGGTATTCTTTGATTATCCTTTTATTATCCATGGGATCTGTAATGATGTCCCATCTTTCATTCCTGATTTTAGTAATTTGTGTGCCCTCTCTATTTTTCTTAGTTAGCCTGGCTAGAAACTTGTTGATTTACTGATCTTTTCAAACAACCAGCTTTTGGTTTTATTGATTTTCTTTATTGATTTCTTGTCTTCAATTTTATTGATTTCTGCTCTAATTTTAATTATTTCTTTACTTCTGCTTACTTTGGATTAAATTTGCTGTTGTTTTTCTACTTTCCTAAGATGAAACTCAGATGATTGACTTTAGATCTTTTTCTTTTTCTTTTTTTTTTTTTTTTTTGTGAGGGAGCCTCGATCCGTCACCCAGGCTGGAGTACAGTGGCGCAATCTCAGCTCACTGCAACTTCCGCCTCCCAGGTTCAAGTGGTTCTCCTGTCTCAGCCTCCCAAGTAGCTAGGACTATAGGCACGCACCACCGTGCCCAGTTATTTTTGTATTTTTAGTAGAGACGGGGTGTCACCATATTGGTCAGGCTGGTCTCGAACTCCTGACCTCCAGTGATCCACCTGCCTCTGCCTCCCAAAGTGCTGGAATTACAGGCGTGAGCCACCATACCCGGCCTAGATCTTCTTTTCTAATATATGCATTTGATGCTATAAATATTCTTCTAAGCACCTTTTGCTGCATTCCACAAGTTTTGATAAGTTATGTTTTCATTTTTATTTTGTTCAAAATATTTATAAAGTTTTCTGGAGATTTCTTCTTTGATCCGTGTGTTATTTAGAAGTGTGTTTTTTAATCTCCAAGTATTTGGGGATTTTCCAGCTACATTTCTGTTACAGACTTTTAGTCTAATTTCATTGTGGCCTGAGATCAGACATTGTATGGTTTCTAGTCTTTTATATTTAAGGGGTTCTGATGCTTACTATTTTTCTTCAGATTGTATTTTTGCCCTTTAGTATGTCTTGTAATTTTTCCTCGATAGCTGGACATGAAGTACTATGTAAAAGGAACTGTGGTAAACAGGCCTGTATGAATGTGGTGGTGAGGTGGTGGGGGACAAGAATCCTTCTGTAGTCCTGTGATTGGGTGTCAATCTTTTGGTGAGCCGGTTCCTCTGGACTGGGAACTTCCCACACGCTTCTCAGAATTTTCCCCTTCCTAGGTGGGACAGGATGACCAGAAGGTGCTGCAGTTTGGTATTTCACTTCCCCTAGGTCAGTTAAGAGTCTGATAAAACACTTTCAGGTTAGGCTGTAATTCAGTAAGTTTCTCCTGAGGGTAGACCTTGTTAAGAAAAACTGGAGGCTGGGCGCAGTGGCTCACGCCTGTAATCCCAGCACTTTGGGAGGCCGAGGCGGGCGGATCACGAGGTCAGGAGATCGAGACCATCCTGGCTAACACGGTGAAACCCCGTCTCTACTAAAAATACAAAAAAAAAATATTATCCAGGCGTGGTGGCGGGCGCCCGTAGTCCCAGCTACTCGGGAGGCTGAGGCAGGAGAATGGCATGAACCCGGGAAACGGAGCTTGCAGTGAGCCGAGATTGCACCACTGCACTCCAGCCTGGGCGGCAGAGCAAGACTCCTTCTCAAAAAAAAAAAAATAATAATAAATAAATAAATAAATAAATGAAAATAAAATTATATTAGAAGACATAGACATAGGCTGCTGTCCAAGTAATTTTCTCCCCAAACCCAGAGTAATAAGGACTTCCCTCTGCCTTCTGGGCTTCTTCATTCAGCCATGGCACCTTGGCTGAGAGAACGGCCCGCCCTCTTTACTCCTCCCCTCCAGATGAAGCCAAGGAGGAGTTCCTGGATCTGCTTGATGTGTTGCTGCCCCATGCCCAGACATATGTCCCCCGGCTGGTAAGGATGAAGGTGTTCCACCTCAGCCTGTCCCAGAGTGTGGTTCTGCGCCACCACTGGATCCTCCCCTTCGTGCAGGCTCTGAAAGCCCGTATGACCTCCTTCCACAGGTGAGTGCTTCTTCCCTCTGCCTCTCCACTCCCTCCCCTCCATGGCTTCTCCTCCTCTCCTGAGCTACTGCGGGCATTACCCCAGCAGGCAGGCAGACCTAAAGATAGAACACGGCCCCTCTCCTGGGGCTGCCTGCTCTACTTCTCATCCTCCGTGACCTTGGGCATGCCGTGGAAGCTCTTGACACCCCTGATGCCGTATCTGCTCTGTAGGAAAAGCCAGCTGTTTTTCTGTAAGCTCTTGCTCAGTACTTCCAGCACTTCTGTGACCAGATGTGTTGAGTTTTTTTCCACACCAACAAATTATCCAACTCTCCAGACACCCACTGGGTGTCCTATAATCGAACTCAATTCTGACACTAATAACCCAGGGTTAGTGCAGACTTCATAGGTTAAGGACTCAGTCCCACAAGACTGCGCTCCTTGTCAGACACCATCTGCAGTGTTGAGCTCTCAGGTTACCCACAACATCTGTCTGATTTCACTACAAATCAGAGGTTCTGTGGACCCTCTCCTCAGGTTTGATCATTTGCTAGAATGGCTCACAGAATTCAGGCAAACAGTCCACTTACTAGGGCGCCAGTTTATTACAAAGGATATGTTACAGGATACACATGAACAGCCAGATGAAGAGATAGGTAGGGTGAGGTCTGGAAGGGTCCCGAGCATGGGAGCTTCTGACCCTGTGGAGTTGGGAGTGAGCCACCCTCCCAGCACATGGGTGCGTTCTTAATCACCAAGGGAAGCTCCTCAAACCCTGTAGTTCCAAATTTTTACGGAGGCTTCATCACATAGGCATGATGGATTATTAACTCAGTCTCTAGCTTCCCTCCCATACCGGGAGGGTAGGGGGTGGGGCTGAAAGTTCCCAGCTTCTAATCATGCCTTGCTCTTTCTGTGATCAGCCCCCATCCAGGACCTCATTGCCTCATTGGAACCAAAGATGCCCCTGTCACCCAGGAAATTCCAAAGGATTTAGGAGCTCTGCGTCAGGAGCCAGGATCACAGACCAGATAATAGAACAAAAGATGCTCCTAGCACCCCTGCTGCTTAGGAAATGACACAGGTTTTAGGATCTCTGTGTCAGGAACTGGAGGCTGAGACCAACACATATGTTATCATTTCACAGTGATAGGTCAAACAGGTCATGGTAATGGTGGGAGCTACCTCACTGGGGGCCTATGGGGGTGAAAGGAGATCATGGGTGCCCTCAGCACACCACTTGGGTGAAGGGTTAGTACCAGACCCCACTTCTGGTTTTGTCTGCCAGCCTGGGGCTTTTTTTTTCCCCTTACCTATTAGATTATTTCATAACTCTTTTCCTACCAGAAATGCATCTCCTGCTAGACTGGTCCAGATCAAAACCCTGCTCTTTCACTGAGGCTCTCCCGGTTGGCATATCCTGCAGAATCCCTCCGTCCAGAGATCAGTCGGTCCTGTGGTTGTTTCACAGGTGACTCCTCTGTCCAGAGATCAGTCGGTCCTGTGGTTGTTTCACAGGTGACACCTCCGTCCAGAGATCAGTTGGCCCTGTGGTTGTTTCACAGGTGACCCCTCCATCCAGAGATCAGTTGGTCCTGTGGTTCTTTACCCCTGGTGGTCATTTCACTCACCCTCATATGCAGTCGTTCCTGTGTCCATCTTCCTTCCTGGAGCCCACATTCCTCCAGGCCAGGACTGTGGCTTCTCTCTGAATTGCCCCACAGCTTTTTTCCAAGTGCTCTGCTCACAGTAGACATCAAATAGATGCTTGTTGAGTCATGGTGCGGGAATGAGGGAGCCTAGAGAATATCTTTCTGGATCCTCTACTGTTGATACTAGAAGGAGCCTAAGAAGCCACCCGGCTGATGGTTTTCTGACCCTGCCTTTATCAGCAGAGCCTTTTTTCAAATGAGGTGTTGCACAAAAGCCTGATGTGTGGCTGTGTAAAACAGAAATAAACAGTCTTCTAGCCAAAGCCCCATTCCCACAGTTCAGGGGGCCATAGGCCCAGGAATTCCATAGGATGTCACTGCCCAACTAGGAAACTGCTCAGTTAGCTGAACCCCTTCTGAGGGCCAGAGGAGGACAGGATTTGTCCCAATCCAGACACTCGGCCAGGGAATAAGGGCTGAAACTCATCTCTCAACCTAGTCCAGCCCTCCCCCTCTTTGGATTGTCATTATCAAGTTGATTGATTGTATATTATCAGGACTCTCTTAACCACAGGTGCCAGAAGCCCATGCCAGAAGCCCAACCCAAAGTGGCTTAAACCAAAGAGAAATTTATAGGCTGGTATAACTAAAAGATTCAGAGGTAGCACTGGCTCATGCATGAGTGGACCGGGGTGACAAGATATCAGATGGCACCTGACTGTCACCACCACAGGCAGACTGTTCACCATCTCAGCTCTGTCCCCTTCCTTTGTCACAATGACGAAGCCACCGCATCTCCCGGCTAATGGTGTACCAGCCTGGAAAGACAGCCTCCCTCTCTGATTGGCTTCAGCACAAGTCACAGGAATGACTGCCTGGTCTGACCCGTCTCCTGTGTGCTTTCTTTGGGAGTAAAGAGTTAACAGGCCCTTCCCCCTTCCACAGAGAGTGCTTCCCTTATCCTGCGGAAGCTCTGCCCCTGGATGAAGGAGGAGAGCGGCTATGTTAGTGCTGATGACTGGCACACTGCACTTGCGCTAGGAAGACAGCATGAACTGCACCCCTCCAGGGAAGCCACGGCCTGGGCTCCCCTGCATACAGTGGTTCCTTAACTGGGCACGAGTCCCTTGCTGGGACTTAGGAAAACTCTGCCTAAAGTCCATTGCAAGAAATACTGATCCCTGTGGGATGTATATGTGGCTGGTTCCCTTGCTCACTGAGAGACTAGAAAACAGCACCTGGACCCCTGGGCTGGTTCCCTCTGAGGAAAGGATCTGTGTCATGAGTGAAGCCCGGGCAGGTGTGGTCTGTTCAACTTTGATCATCTGGTTGAGCCTAAGGTGACCAAGAGTGGGCGGTGCACCCCTGATTCTGTTGCTGTGACTGAGGAAATGCTAAGCTCTGTTTGGCCAGGCCTGGGCAGCCTGCCTCTGGAGTAGGGGTGGAGAGCCATCCTGCAACACGAGGTTACCAGGAGAAGGAGTTTTGGTTGGGCACAGACATCCAGTGTCCACTCCAGGATGTTTGGGAGACACCTTGAGAACTCTTCCTAAAAGCTGCACTTAACCAAGCTCCTGGTGGTTCTGTGATCCCTTACATTTTCTCCAGAGGCAGAGAGTTGGCTGACTGACTTTTGCCCTTGGGCAGATTGTGAGGCTCTACCCAGCATGCTGGTATATTATGTTCCCTCAGATGGGGGTGAGACCCTTGGCCTGGGGGCTGTAAAATGATCTGTTTCTGTGAGGAGACTTTCCATGGTGAGATTGCTAGTGTCTCAGAGAATAAAGGACAGAACCAGTCCAAGTCAAAGCACTTACCTAGCTGAGCCTGACTCTTCCCGTGTTATTGATCTGAGGGGTGGGTGGGTGGGGGCATCTGTCTCGATTTCACACCAACAGACCTATTCCCCTCACGAAAGCGTCATAGGTGACAACAAGGACTCTGGAAACAGGCAGACTGACTGTTCCAATCCTGGCTCACCAAATTCAGCTTCACCATGCCTCTGTTTCTTTGTCTGTAAAATGGGCATAATTGTAGGCCTGCTCACAGAGTTGTGTGAGGATTCGAGAAACAGAGTGTGCAAAGGCTTGAGCTCAGCCCTGACACACGAAGAAATGTTGTCGTGATTGCTTAGATGAAATCGGAGTCATCTATTTTAAAAAACTGCAAGAAATGAATCAGCTGTTAAGTGGTCCATTATCACCTACTTGATCAATAAGGCTTTCTCAGTTCCCATCAGTGAAGTTGAGATAGTCTCAAATTGTTTATCGAAATGAACTGCTATTAACAAAGTAAAATTTTTACTAGCACCTGGATGATGTTGTGTGTTACTCGGGCTGGGTGATTTTAAGGTCTTGTCCAGCTCTAATGTTTAAGGTTCAGTATACCACCTGCATAATGGGGTGATAATATGAAGTGCAAAATGAGTTAACTATATTTTCAAAGTGCTGTTTTTTTTTAACATAAGCTATTTTTTCTGCTTTTTTTCTTACGATTTTTCCTGAAATATGGTCTTCTAAATTTCAGATTCTTCTTTACTGCCAACCAGGTAAAGATTTACACCAATCAAGAGAAAACCAGGTGGGTCCTCCCAACCCCCAATCACCATCAGAGGAAGATTCTTTGGTGCAAAAATTGAGTGCTTTGTTTCTGGACTTGTTTGTCCCATTTTTTGTTTGCTTTTAACCAACTCTATGACTATAAAGGCAGCTATCCCCAAATCTGAACCTTTCTTTAAGAAAAATAACTGGGAGATCCCAGGCACAGTAGCGCATGCCTGTAATTCCAGCACTTTGGGAGGCTGAAGCAGGTGGATAGCTTGAGCTCAGGAGTTCCAGACCAGCCTGGGCAACATGGCCAAACCGTGTCTCTATGAAAAATACAAAAATTAGCTGAGCATGGTAGTGTGTGCCTGTAGTTCCAGCTACTTGGGAGGCTGAGATGGGAGGATCGCTTGAGCCCTGGAGGTCGAGGCTGCAGTGAGCCAAGATTGCACCACTGCACTCCAGCCTGGGCAACAGAGTGAGACCCTGTCTCAAAAAAATAAAAGGCCAGGTGCGGTGGCTCACGCTTGTAATCCCAGCACTTTGAGAGGCCAAGGTGGGCAGATCACCTGAGGTCAGGAGTTCGAGACCAGCCTGCCTGACATGGCGAAACCCCATCTCCACTAAAAATACAAAAAATTAGCTGGGTGTGGTGGCAGGCGCCTGTAATCCCAGCTACTCGAGAGGCTGAGGCAGGAGAATCGCTTGAACCCTAGAGGAGGAGGTTGCAGTGAGCCAAGATCACACCACTGCACTCTATCCTGGGTGACAAGAGTGAAACTCTGTCTCAAAAATAAATAAATAAATAAATAAATAAATAAATAAATAAATAATGACTGGAGGAGCATGTAGTGGGGTGGTGCCCAGAGATTGAGAGAAGCATCTTGGTTTAGTGAAAACCTGTGAAAGTCAGGAAACCTGTTTCTGCCCAGCTCCATCCCAGTTGTGGTGTTTAGTCCGTGTCTTCATCTCTGTGACCTTTCATTTTCACACTGGCACACGCCTCCCAACATCCACTGTTGGGCAGTTGTAAGGCTCAAATGAGCCCCAAGGCCTTTGAAAAGTTAAAAGTATTAAAGTGTTAGATGAACATAAGAAGAAATGATTATCCTGCCTTCAAAGCGAGCCTCCCTGTCTGATGCACTCACTGGGCCACCTTCTCTGAGCACTTCTGAAAGGGGCCTCATTTATTCATTCATTTATTCCATGCTGCACAAGTTTGTTAAGCACCCACTTGTGCCAGGCATTTGCTGTACACTAAGGATTCATCAGTGAAGAGGTAGACACAGCCCCTGCTCTTTTCAATCTCATATTCAGAGGGGAGACAGATAATAAACAAGTAATGAGAGTGTTTGTTAATAACTGTGGTGTGATATGGTCAGGAGTGGGTAGTCCAGGAGGGTACCAGGGAAGTGGCCAGGGAGATGGCATTTGATGGTGACCTGAGAATGAGAAGCCAGCCTTGGGAAGAGCTGTTGCAAGAGCTTCAAGCAGAGGACATAGCAAACTAAGTGACTCCGAGGCAGGGAAGATTTCAGCATGTTTGAGGAGGCCAGTGAGGCAGACCCCAGAAAGCACGAGGGAGAATGATAGGAGATGAGATGGGTAGGGTTAGCCCATCCAGGGGCTGCAAGCTCAAGTAAGGAGTTTGAATTTTCAGTATAATGGAAGCCATTGGAGGGATTTGAACAGAGGAGAGGCATGACCTGATCTATATCTGGGGATGTCAGTCTGGCTAGTGGTGTGTCTGTGGCCATGGAGTCTGGGGGCAAGATAGAAGGGAGCAAGAGTGGATGCAGGGAAACCAGAGAGGAGCCAGGTGTCATTGTCCAGGTGAGGGACCATTGGTGGCCTAGATTAGGGTGATGGCCATGGAAGACCAAGAGGTGGACACATTGGAGATACACTAGAGGCAGAAGCAACCAAATTACCAATGGGTTGGATTTATGTGAAGCAAGGGGAAGACGAACATTGATTCCTGGGTTTGAGGCTAGAACAACTGGCCCCGTTTTCTGTGATAAGAGACACTGGTGGGATGAAAAGCAAAAGTGCTGCTTTGTACCTGTTTGTTTGTACCTGCTAGGTTTTGCTATCTATTGGACCCCTAGGTGGAAATGTCACATATACAACTGGGTGTTCAGGAGAGGGACCAGCTGGAGATAGAAATGTGGGCAGTGTTGGCCTGTGTGGGAAGCGGGGCTGGGTGAGATCAGCCTCCTGGAGAGTGCAGATGGAGAAGATCCAGTGATCTTCACCACGGGGAGGCTGGAGAGGAGAGAGGGTGGCAGAGGACACTGAACCGGGAGACAGGAGGCAGGATTAAACCAAGACTGCGTGGCAGGTGATGTCTTGGGAGCCAAGAGAGAAAAGGGTTTCAAGGAGGGAAGAGTCCACTGTGTGAGATACTGCTGGGTGCGTACGAGGCGGACAGCGAAGTGTCCCTTGGATTTGGTAACGTGGAGGTTGTTGGCAACTTTGACAAGAGGACTCCCAGCAAAGTGGGTTGAAGATGGGAGGTGAGAAAGAGATAGTGATGGTGGACAAATGGTCTTTTTGAGAAGTTTCACTGAGAATGGGATGGGGACGTGCTGAAACCGTGGGTTCAGGGGAGAGTTTTTAAAGATGAGAGAGCATGCCTGAGTGCTTGTGGGAGGCGTGGCAGATGCCTGGGAGCAAAGTCCTCGAGAAGAGGCCTCCTTGAGGACAGGAGTCATTTGCGATTGGAATGATGATGGAGAATGGGGGTGCAGAAGCTTCTGGGTTTGTGACTTGGCAGTGGTGGGTGAAGGCGTTCCTGGAAGGGTTATTAGATCCAGAGAAGGGAGGAGAGCTGTGTGGGTGAGAACTGGGAAAGGAAGATTTACAGACAGAGAATCTGAGGACTGAGAGAGTTGGCTCATGGAGCAGGAAAGCGAGTGTACCAGGGAGACGGTGAGACCCACGGCCCAGGCCTCTTGGCCTTCTGCCTGGCTCCTGCTCGGCTGCGCAGATGGCTGTGTTCTCAGAGGCTACATCTCATGCCTGCGTTGTCTTCCTCTCCCCAGGACCTTTATTGGGCTTGAGGTCACTTCAGGGCATGCCCAGTTCCTGGACCTGGTTTCAGAGGTGGACAGAGTCATGGAGGAATTCAACCTCACCACTTTCTACCAGGTAATGAATGGGGCTGCTGCTTCTCCATTGACCCATTTCTAATGAGAATAAAACTGTCTTTAAAGAAGCCCTCGTAAGAGGCAAACCGAAGACCCTTCAGAACCTCCCGTGTCGGTGCTCTGAATGCCAGCCTTCTGAGGATGCACACCTCGGGGGGTGAGGGCTTTGAGGTGTAGTCAGATGCAGCCCACCCAAAGTCCAACATTTCTTAGAAATTTTGCTTTATATCCTAAATACGCCCGAGATTTGTACCTTCTGCTCCATAATGTTCCCGTGTTGTTTTCACATTTTTTAAGTAGATGTCCCTAATAATTTTTGGTCAGATTGACCCTCAGAGAGGAGTTGTAGCTTCACACACCTTCCTGCACCTTGCCCAGGCCCTCCAAGGGCACTTGGACTCTAAGTCGACTCTCAGGGCTTTGAAGGGCCATTCATTTTATTTGATATATGTTTTTAAACCGTGCTGAGGGAGATAAGTATGAATTTGAATGGAGACAATTATTGTTGCTTCAAAACTTGAGACTTTGGGGATTTTGTTCATGTCATCTGAAAAGTATGGTGTATACTGGAATGTCCTAGATCAGAATAGAGGGTGGATTTTCTTTCATGTCACAGATGTAATGACCCTCTGATACTTCAGGGAAAGCCTCTGTGAATACGACTGTCTTAGCTCAGGCTGTCATAACAAAATACCATAGACTGGGTGGCCTAAATAACAGAAATTTATTTTTGCACAGTTCTGGAGGCTAGAAGTCCAAGATCAAGGTGACAGCATGGTTGATGTCTTTTTTTTTTTTTTTTTTTGGAGACAGAGTCTTACTCTGTCGCCCATGCTGGAGTGCAGTGGCGCAATCTCAGCTCCCTGCAACCTCCGCCTCCCAGGTTCAAGCAATTCTGCCTCAGTCTCCCAAGTGGCTGGGACTACATGTGTACAACACCACGCCCAGCTAATTTTTGTATTTTTAGTAGAGACGGGGTTTCACCATGTTGGCCAGGCTGGTCTCAAACTCCTGACCTCAGGTGATCTGCCTGCCTTGGCCTCTCAAAGTGCTAGGATTACAGGTGTGAGCCACTGCACCCGGCCAAGCGTGGTCGGTTTCTGGTGAGGGTTCTTCCTGGCATATAGATGGCCGCCTTCACATGGCGGGGCAGGGGTTGGGGGCTACAGAGAGAGAGAGCAGTGCCCAAGCTCTCTGTGATTAAAGGGCACTAATCATGAGGGTCCTGCCCTCATGACCTCATCTAACCCTAATTACCCCTCAAAGGCCCCATCTTTACATACTATCACATTGGGGGTTAGGGCTACATGAATTTGGGGGAGGTGACACGATTCAGTCCATAGCAAGGACCAGTCCTGTGCTGTTTTGTCTGTCTGTGGAGGGTGCTTGGGATCAACACTGAGTATCTTGTCTCCCACTGGGCAGGCCAGGGATCCAGCAGGGATGTCACGACAGCTCTGTCACAGACCTGCTGTGAGGGCAGGGCCTGCCAAGGCGTCCGGGTGACTGCCTGCCTCTCGTTTCCCTCCCCAGGATCCTTCTTTCCACCTCAGCCTGGCCTGGTGTGTGGGTGATGCACGTCTCCAGCTGGAGGGGCAGTGCCTGCAGGAACTACAGGTGAATTTCCAGGGCGGGAGCACAGAGGGCGCTGAACTCCAGAAATGACAGGACAGATGCTGGAGAGGGGGAGGATGAGGCACCCAAACCTGAATCCCTGGGAAACAAATGACATGGCAGGAGACCCCAACACCTTCCCTTGTGACTCAAGGTGTGGCCCCTGGACCAGCAGCTTCAGTGTCACCTGAAGCTTATTAACAACACAGATCTTTGCCCCCACCCCCACCAAGACCTAAGAAATCAGAATTACATTTTAACAAGATCTCTGGGGATTTGTGTGCACATTACAGTTCTAGGGAGCACTGCCCTAGAACACTGATCTGCGAGGAGGCTGCAGGCTTTCCCTGAAGTCCTAGCCACTTGCCCAGAGGTCAGAGGCTTGGGCCTGGCACTGAAAATGGGTGAAATGTACCAGGGGTAAGGAACATCCAGCCCCCAGAGTCTATCAGATTTTGATAAGTAGCTGAAAGATTCCACTTTCCCATCTGCGCCCTTGGAGGAGAACCAGCAAGTTACATGAAGTGGTAAGCGGCGGCTGATACTCCAGCCCTGGTTGGGGAGACAGTAGGGAGTGTGGCCATGCGGGAAGATTGGCCTAGAGTTGCCAGCACTTCTGTTTCATAAGAGAAGCCAGAAACCTAGATTTTTACATGTAATCTGTCAGTTTTCAAATGTCAGCAACTAATTTGGATGTTTAAAAAACATTTTGCAACCAAACCAAACGTGCAGGCTGGATGCAGCTGTGGTCCCTCGTTAAGGAGCCACCTTGCGCTTGGCCTGATGTTGCTGGAGGTGGCAAAGAGCTCTAGTTTGGGCTCCGGCAGACCTGGGTCCCAGGCCTGGTTTTATTGGTTTCTGTGATCCAGGGCTCTGAGCATCTGTGTCCTCATCTGTAAAGTTGAGATGATAGGACCAACCTCAGAGATTACAGAAGTGATCAGACAAGATCACCAATGCAGAGCCTGGAGCCTGCAGCCTCAGCCTCGCCCAGCCTCTGAAGTTGGGTGAGCTGGTTTTGTTTGCAGTGCCCTGTGGGTCCCAGATGCCCCTTAATGTGACTGTCCTCCCCTGGCTGCTGTTTTAAGGCAATCGTGGATGGGTTTGAAGATGCTGAGGTGCTGCTGCGCGTGCACACTGAGCAAGTCCGCTGCAAGTCTGGGAACAAGTTCTTCTCGATGCCTTTGAAGTGAGCACCAGAGGCCTTCCTCCTCCAGGGCCCTCTGCAGACCAGGCTGAGATGGAGGAACCTGCTAAAATCGATGGAGATGCTTCTAGCCTCCCAGTAGGAGGCCCCAGCCATGCCTTCAACCTGGCAGGAGGTGTAGCCACTCCTCATCCTCCCTGAGTGCTGATATTCTCTCTCTCTCTTTCTCTTCCTCTTCTTTCTCTCTCTTCTCCTCTCTTTCTCTCCTCTGTCTCTCTTCCTCTCCTCTCTTCCTCTCTTCTCTCTTCCTCTCCTCTCTCTCTTCCTCTTCTCTCTCTTCCCCTCCTGTCTCTCCTCCCCTCCTCTCTTCCTCTCCTCTCTCTTCCTCTCCTCTCTCTACCCCTCCTGTCTCTCCTCCCCTCCTCTCTCTTCCTCTCCTCTCTCTCTTCCTCTCCTCTCTCTTCCCTTCCTGTCTCTCTTCCCCTCCTCTCTCTCTTCCTGTCCTCTATCTCTTCCCCTCCTCTATCTCTTCCTCTCCTCTCTCTCTTCCTCTCCTCTCTCTCTCTTGCTTTCTTCTCTCTCTCCTGTCTCGGCTGTTGTGGGTTGCAGGTTGGGTGCTGCTGTTGTGGTCCTTCCCAGAAACTGCCAGTAGAGGGCAGCCTGGGCATCCTAATGCTTACTCTGGTTGTTACACAAAGAAAATATTGGGGTCACTGGCGAGCCCACCCACACTCACCAGAATCTCCACTGTAGTCCCCCTAACAAACAGCCCTTCACTTCCTCTCCCACTTCAGCAATTTGTATTTTGATGCCATTGGCCTCAGATCAGAGTGTTTTAAATCATCACGCCCTGGCTTATCCCTGGTCGAGCCAGGACACGGGGTGCTTCAGTGGGTCTGTCACCCTCTCTCCTTGAAGCATGTTGCTTTTATTTATTTACTTTTACTCTCACCCTGCTCCTGTACCAGCAGGGGCCACTTCAAAGCCAAGGTACAGGGTGATAACTTGTGGTCCAGCATCAGTTTTCTCCACTTCTTTCTCCCACTCACCCCCAGCAAGGTGCCTGGGGAGACTTGAGCAGATGTTTCATTTTGGCCTGGCCAGTGGCTGAAAGCCAGGCCTCCAATGCACTGTGACCTCTGGCTTCCCCAGCAGCTTTCCCAGAGAGGCAGAGGGGCCTTCCACAGCCCGGGTTCTCCTGCTGCCTCCTGCCTGCTGCAGCTGCAGGCATTCTGAGGGGCAACGTGGAGGAAGGGCCAGGGATGCATGGGATTTTAATTGTTTCATCACACCTTCCCCGTGGCAAAGAAACAGTCAGTCCTCTTCAGGTGTCTTCTGGATTTCTGGTGATGGACAGAGAAATCTTTTTACAGTTTCAAATTATGTTCAACAAATAAAAATTGCATTTTTTATTTTGGATCTTTTTTGGACTACTTGTATTTAACCCAGTGAAAAGATGACTGTCACCTTCCCCTACCCTGTCCAGCTGTGTCTCACAGTTTGGGAGGATTCTTGGAAGTCTCTGCTGTGACTTCCAAGATGGCCTCGAGAGGCATTAATGATGCTTCAGTAAAATAAGGGTAGGGAGGGGTCACCCAGCCTGCCAGGTGTACACACAGAGTTCTCACATAGGACATCTAGCCTGGAGCTAGGTGGCAGGGGTCACCACCCTCATCCCTCACCCACATAGGCAGACATTGAAGCCTTATACTGCTGTGACACTGAGCACTTCCCAGAACCTTCTCGTGTCTTCCTCCCAGTATCCCCTGAAAGGTAAACAGGGTGGGAATGTCTAGTCCTCTGTTACAAGAACAGGTTAAGTGACTTGCTTGCATGAGAAATAGGGCCGTACTCAGCCCTAACCTCAGGTCCTGTGCTGGGGTGGCCCTGATCCAGCCCTGCACACCACCTCGTGGTCAGGCCTGGCATCTGGGTGGGGACATAGGGCTTCAGGGAAAGGTGTGGGGAGAGGGGCCTGTTGCCCAGGCTCCCATGGTGGCCCCTGCAACCCCACCTTTCCTGAAAGGGGCAGCCTCCCAGCCACTGCACTGAAAGACACAGGCACATTCTGTGCCTTGTTCCTGCTCCCCACCGCATTGATCTGCTGACTCCGACTCATCATTAGTCTGGTTCTTCTGGAGAGGAGGAGGATGCCGGGCATACTTTCTGGCTTGCAAGCAACATGGCAACTCCGGCTGTGCAGCCTGCACTTAACTGACACCTGCCCTGTGCCAGGCCCTGAACTGGGCACTTGGTGAACCAGACTAGGTCTACCCTCTGGGTGCTCACAGCAGGGCTGAGCAGGCAGGGAGCACAGAGAAGAATCCCCATCCTCAACATGGTACTTCCCCAGACTTGGGTACTGGCTCCTATTGGGAGGGGGGCAGGTGTGAGGTAGGGCCTCCATCAACAAGCCCAGGAAGAGGGACTGGGCCATTCCCCTGGGGGAGGATGTGGCTGGGGAGTCTGTCTGTGCTGAGGATGGAATTTGAGTGCAGCAACTTTGAGAAATGGGCCAAGATCAATAACTGGCTCCTCAATGGAGAATGGAAGGTGGCAATGGAGGAAGGAAGCAGGAGTCTCGCTGAGGGGGAGGGGTGGGCAGGCTGGGCCTGAGGAGGAGGCTGGCGGCAGGAGCTTGGCGGGCACCCAGACACTGAGTGTGCCTCTGGAGCAGAGTAAGCCCGTTGAGCGAGCGCTCCCGCTGACAGTGCAGAAGCAGCCGGGGCTCTTCCATAACAGGAGATTCTCCATAAGAGGAGAAACATGGGAGACAATTCTGGAGACAGAGGGAAGACCAGAGAAGGCTGCGGTCCCCCCCAGGGAGGCTGGCCCAAAGAAATGCTCTTGATGAGGATTTTATCGCACCAGGGAGAGTACAAAATCAACACATCTGGCCTCGGTGTCCTCAGATGTTCCCCGCAGGGCAGGGAAATCATCTCACGCCTGTTTGGCTGATTTCCACCTGGCACTCTCCAGCGCCTCTCCAGACCACCCCAGCTTTGTTTCCAAGGGAGAGGGAAATTACCTTGGCTTGTTTGTTTATTCCTTGTCTTGGCACGAAGAGTCCCAAGGCCTGCTTCACCTTTGATGGTGGGTCGGGTGGGTGCATCGCCCGAGGGGCCCCTGGAGGGGAGAGCTGGGGGAGGGGGTGTCCTGGGCCTAGTTCCATCCCACAGCTACTTTCCTTCACTGAACAGGAGACCTCCCCTACGACCTCAGAACTCTCCTTTTGCAAATGAGGAAACAAACCCAAAGAGGGGAATAACTTGCTCGGATTGCCCAGTAAATTACAGCTGAGGCAAAAACCCAGGGACCTGGCTTCTGATCCAGAGCTTTTTACAATCCCTCACACCACATCGGGACCTCTAAATGAAACTGCTCTGAAACACCATGTCTGGGCTTTCATTCAAAAGACCAAGAAAAAAAAGGTGTGTGGTGGTGGGCGGGGGTGTCAGGGCATAGATGAAACGGTATTGGCAAAATATGGATAAGGTTTAAAGCTACTTGATGGAAGGGCTGCAGTTCACACATCTCAGTCCCACTGACTAGTCCTTTCGGGCTTTGGGTGCTGTCCAGACCCAGTAGAAACCCAGCTATCTTGGGTTGGATGTAGATGCAAATCCACCTTGGACTCCCAAAGTACCTATAGGAGCCAGAACCAATAATTGGGAGCTTCAAGATCTGGTCACAGGGGATGTCATTTCCTTAAGGCAGGATTGGACCCCAAGAGAGGAACCTCCAACAGAGAGAAAATCACCAGACTTGACCGACCCAGGCCTCAAAGAACGTTGCTCCACTCATTCCTGGGCTCCTCTCACTAACAGCTAGCCCCTTAAACCCCAACTTTTTTTTTCTTTTTTTCTGAGACAGTGTCTCGCTCTGACAGCCGGGTTGAAGGGCAGCGGCATGATCATAGCTCACTGCATCCTCAACCTCCTGGGTTCAAGTGATCCTCCCAACTCAGCCTCCCAAGTAGCTGGGCCTACAGACGTACACCACCACACCTGGCTAATTTTTGTATTCTTTGTACAGATGGGGTCTTGTCATGTTGCCCAGGCTGGTCTTGAACTCCTGGGCTAAAGCAATCCTCCCACTTCGGTCTCCCAAAGTGCTGGGATTACAGGCTTGAGCCACTTTACCTAGCCCCAAACTTTTTAAAATTGGCTAATCGGGACTAAATATCATGAAAGAGTGCGACGTGGTCGGTTAAACAAGGACAACCCCGTTGTCCGTGTCTGAAGACCACTGCACATTTCCCAAAAGCAAATTTCGAAGTGGAGAATTTAGAAACCAACTTCCCAGATGAAGGATCCCACAGAGAAGTGAGTCCGTGGAAATGATAGAATCGCCCGGTTCCTTTCTCTAAACTCCGACTTCCTTTCCCCAAGGACATCCCAGGAGGGTTCAAACGCGCCCTCTCTAAGGCACTCTGCCAGGTCTCCTGATTTCCAGTTTCCGGGAGGTGAGGCCGGCTAGGGTGCCCCGAGGGCCTGCTCTAGAGAAAACCGCCCTCAGGTGAGGACGGCTTCCATTTCCGGGTCTGAAGATAAGGAACAGCTTATCTTCGGTCTCCGCCCTCCTGCCTGCAACCCTCACCCACTGACCACGCCGGCCAGTCCGCCGCGCCAGGGCTGCCCTTGGCCTGGTCCCCGGGTCTCGGTGGACCTTCGACCCGGGCCTCCCAGCTCTGGCCTCCTGCATCCACCCCGCCCCGACCTCAAGCTGCTTCCGGAATAGAATGAAATCCAGCTCGTTAAGCTTCGCGGGGAGGTGTGTCCACCCGCCCCGCGCCGACTCCGGCCGCACTGTCGCACTTCACTCGCACCAGCCAGTGGCCAAAGTGCTTGGGCACCTATTGCGCCAGGCCAGGAGCCGGAAGTCTTACCTCGCCCTCACCCCAACTCTTTGCCCCACGTTCCCGATAAGAACATGGAGGCTCGGAGAGATTAATTTGCCCACGTGCAAGCGGCAGCTAAGGGGCGGACGCGGAACTTGAACCGTGTCCCTCCTAAACCTGCCCCTTGTCCGCCGCAACGCGCCCTCGACGCGCACAAAACCCTCACTTTGCTACTGAGGAAAGTTATTCAATGGCCAGAGACACCCTGCGGCTTTTGAAAAGAGGTTTCAGGCTGACAAATATCCATATATACATATATATTTATATTTAAGCCTAAAACGACTCTTTGATCCCTCCCCTAAGACCTCCTTCCCGTCCGCCTAGGCCTCGGTATCCCCCACCAGGTATGAGAAGGAGGAGTCTTCATTCTTCCCAGGCGGGGAGACCACGCCTTCCCTGCCTCCTCCCTCCGCGGGGGGTCGCGTTGGAGGTCACCCCCGCCCCCTAGGCGCTGGGTTGGGAGTGACGCGGGGTGGGCTGGAGAGGTTTCCTGCCGTCTGGGAAGCGTAAACGGACCGCCCACCTGTCGGGCCTCGGCCGCCCGCACCTGCTTGTGAGAAGCCTGCGGCTGGGGCACCGCCCCCGGTCCCCGCCCGGGTCCGCGCATTGGGAGCACACTGGCCCTTTAAGAGCGCGGCGGCCGCGGCGCGCGGGGAGGAGGGCTGGGAGCGCCCGGAGCCGCGCTGAACTCGCCGGGGACGTCGGGCGCCCGCTCCTTGGCTGGCTCGCTTGCTCTCTCGCTCGCTCTCTCGGGTCGGCTCCCTGCGCCTCCTCCCGGGACTGCTTGGGGACCCGGGCCCGGTCGGGCGCGGCGGCGAGCAGAATCCCCGTGCAGGAGGCGCGCGCTCCGGGCAGCGCCCGGCCCCGGGCATGGACAGAGGGAGCTGGGCGCGCAGGGAGCGCCGCGGGACCGGGCGGCCGGAGCGCTGAGCCAGACAAAGGCTCCGGAGTTGCGCTTGCTCTCGGGAGCCGGGCCCCAGGCGCTGGGCGCCGAGGCTGCGGAACCTCGCCGGGGGCAGCTCCGGTCGGCCCCCTTTCCCGCCGGCTGGTTCCGAGCTCCCGGACCTGCCCTGCCCGCTTCTCCTCGGGCTTGGGAATTTGCCGAGGCGACCTAGGCGGCTCCGGCGGGGACCGGGAGCCCGAGGTCCGCGGCGCGCCTGCCGGGCCAGGAGCCAGGGAGCGTCGCAAGTTTCCAAGGCGCGTGCGAGGATCCGGCGTGCAGTGTTCCGAGCTGGGCTGGGCGCCGAGAGCATGGGCAGCGACCCGAGCGCGCCCGGACGGCCGGGCTGGACGGGCAGCCTCCTCGGCGACCGGGAGGAGGCGGCGCGGCCGCGACTGCTGCCGCTGCTCCTGGTGCTTCTGGGCTGCCTGGGCCTTGGCGTAGCGGCCGAAGACGCGGAGGTCCATGCCGAGGTAAGACCCCCGCCCTGCCCTTTGGCTGCGGGCTGGGGGCTTGGAGGGAGAGGCGCCACGTCCGCAGGCTGGGACTTGGAGGTGGAGGGAGCGGAGACGCGCCCCCTGTTCTGGGCCGTGGCGGGGAAGCAAGCGGACTTGGCAGTCTGCCCCTCCCCAGCTCGCCCTCTGCAGCGCACCTCTTCGCAAACCCTTGAGGGCGCAGGGCCTCGCTCTCCTCCCCGCTACTCCTACAGCCCTGTTCTGGGCACTGAGCCCCCACCCCGACCCCCTTACATTCAGCCTGTGTCCCGGGAGCCGCTTCCGCCGCCCCCAGCCCTTGCCTCCCCTCCTTCCTTCCCTCCAGGGCAGCCGATTCCTCGAGAGCCCGGCTGGCGCGCAGTGGCGCTCTTTGCGAGTGGGGAGGGGGCTGCTCTCGGGGACAGCCACAGGCGGAGCAAGAGCTGGGCGGCTGGGCAACTGCGCTCCTGCCCAGGTGGCCTCCCGTCTGGGTGATACCGAGCCGCGCACGGCGGGCCAGGATGGAGGCGGGGGGATGGGTGCAAACGGCTGAGGCAGCGGACTCGGGTTGCGGGGGCGCTTTGGCGACTTTCTGCGCTTTTGCGAGGAAGCCTAGGCACGCCCGGGCGGGGTCCTAAGGACGGACCCTGCCTCCCACAGCGCTTCCTCCCAACAGCGCCCCTACGTCGAAGCCCTGGATTCGAGAGGGTGGACCCCGCGCCTCTCTTCGCTAGGAGCCCGCTTGGCGTCCCTCCCGGGGCCCCGCTCTGGATGGGTCCCGCGGGTGACCAGGCGCGACATCCCGGCGTAGAGCCGAGTCCAGCCAGCGCCCCAGCTCCATGGTGTCTCCCGAGCGAGGACACCGAAGGCGCCAGCTTTCTTGCCCCAGAGCAAGAGCAGGGTCCACTCTTCCCCGACTTCTAAGACCTGCGCCCTGCCCCAGATAGGCGGGGAGAGGACTTGGGCGGGGAGTAGGGAGAAAGAACCACCCCGGAGCCGCTTCTGAACGGTGCTCAGGCCTTGGTGCCCTTGGGCTGCCCGGGCTGCGGGCCTGAGCGCCGTTTCTATTTGCAGCTCAGCTGGTGCTCCCTCCCTGGCCCACGGCGGCTTTCCCACCTCTCCGGGCTGCCTGGGAGATTTTTCCGATGGAAGCTTGCCCTTCCCCGCCCTACTTTAATAAAAGCATAGAGGAAGGGCAGGGAATTCCTCCTGGGCTCGAGTTACACCTCCCAGCCATTTCCCCACCTGCTCTGCCCTCCCTCCCTGGCCTGGCCAGGGAGAGCTGAAGGAGGAGCCAGGCCCTGGTGGGAGGCAGGATAGGAGCCCCGCCCCGACCCAGTCTGGCCACCCTCCCCCACCCCATTCACACAGGCAGGAGGAGCTTTAGGGGGCTCCTGTTGGTGAGGATTACCCCTCAGCCTGTGACCCAAGTACTGGGCGGAGAGTGCCATTTGGGCCCACCTGCCACTCTGGGCTGGAGTGCCAAAGAATTTCAAGTCACAGTCCCACCATTGAGTTTCTAATCTACTTAGGGATGGCGTCAATACATAGGAAGCAGTGATGGAATTCAATGGCCGTGCATTGCTAATGGCATCCTAGCTGGCCAGGAGCTCAGGGGTGCAGGGACCTGTAGTTGGAGGGGCTTCACTCTCTCTCTCTTCTGCTTTTCCAGTTCCATCTCACCCCTACCCCAACTCCCCAGCTCAGGGAGTGCCCACAGCTCGATGCCGCCAGGGAAGAAGCCATGGTTGCGTTATCACAAACCGTGCTCCTGATCTGGAGGTTGTGACTGTCCTGGAGCCCTACTCCTGGGGAAACACTTGGGTTGGACCTGGGCAGTGACTGGAAGAGACCCCGGAAGGTTTAAGGAGCCTTGAATGTTGGCAGCCATGCAGATAGAGGGCTAGAGACAGGTGGAGTGTCCCAGCTCCTACAGTTGGCTTTGGGTACAGGCTGCTTCTAGGGTCCCATCAGGTCTGGCCACATGTGGGCCCAAAGAGTCAAATGGCCTCAGCAGCCAGCCCATCTGCCGGGGGCTGTGGCCTCAGACTCCTGGGCCTGGCCTACACCCTGTGTTGAGCCTCCCTTCCTTGGAGAAGGCTGGCTCTCTCATCCTCACCCCAGCATCCACACAGCCTCAGGCCTCCAGTAGGGTCACAGCTGGGACCTTCTCGGAGCAGCTTGGCAGCTGAGCCAAGGCCAGCCTCTCTCCACTTCCTCTCTCCCCTCCCAGGGTGGAAGCCACAGGACTTTCACGAGGCTGAGACATCAAGGAGCCTGGCATGTGCTAGGAACTGACAAACACCTGCAACCTGCCAGGCCCTAGCCCACCACTGAGCTGCCACGTCCTATCCCACATTCTCCCTTGGATGTCCAATCCCAGTCTGTAGCCATTCCGGGCCAGATCCCCACCTGGCTGAGGTGCTCACTGTTGTTCCTGCCCTGCAGGGCTGAGAGTCTCCAGGCTCACCGGGGGAGCTCTTATCTCACCTGCCTCCCCCTACCCCCTCCTCCCAGGCACAATTCAGGTCCTCAGCCTGCTCTGTGGAGGTGACTCAGGCTGCCAGAGTTCACAGGGGTGGTGCCACCACCACCAAAACCGATCCACCCGCCTTTCCTCAACAGGCCCACGAGTATCTTCCTAGCCCCTACCCAGCCACTGAGTAGATGAGGCAGCGGGGGTGGGGGCGTTGGGAGGGGGTCAGCGTGAATTACCATTTTGACCTTCAGGTGAGCCACAGTCTTGGGCTTCCTTAGCTTCAGTCTCTACTAGCACTTCCATGCTGGCTCCGGGGGGGCCCCACTGGTCCCCTCTTTCTTTTAAACAGAGCAAAACTACAGATGCCATCTGTGCCCACCAGCTAAGAAAAGGGAGTTAATAGCGGGGCCTTGTCATTGGGAATCTGCAGAAGCTGAATCTTCTCCCCCTCCCCTCTTGTCTCTGCTTTTTACTCTGTTTTCTTGCTAGTAGTAAATCACTCCTCTCCATGCTCTGTCAAGACCCAGAGAGAACTGGTCTGATTGGCACAGCCAGGGACCTAGATCTCATTGGGCCATGCCCTTCACACCCAGCCCTTGCCATGTTTCCGAGTTGGGGCTGCCCTTGGGTCCAGCCAGTCATCTGTCTCCTTGCAGAGAACAGCCCAGTGTAAGCTCCTTGTCTGAGCAGTGTATTGGCCTGACCTTCCCATTGTGACCTCTGAACATAAATACCTCCTTTGCCCCACCCCAAGGGATGTTGATACTTAAAAGATATCCATGAATGTGGAGAGGAGCAACATGGAAATACACGCTATCCCCACCCCCAAAAGAAGACTTTCCCCAAAAGCCCAGTGCCCACTGCTATCTCTTATGCCCATTCAGGATGGCTACACTGCAGGCGTGGAAAAGCCCCTCCCTGCCGAGCGGTTTGTTCTGCTGTCCCTCTGTGGCCCTTTTGTTGTTTGGTCCAGATGATCCCTTCCATCATCACCTCTGCCCTGCTGGGAGTTTGACCTCTGCCTCAGGCTAGCTGTGGTGGTCACTATGAGAACCACTACTTTCCAGATCAAATCAGAATGGGTATCCTCCATATCATCCCAAGGCTTAGGTGGCTCCCTGTCTTGGACACTCCAGCAGGAGCAATGCTTTGGTCCTGGAGATGTGTTTTCTGAGTCAGCAAAGACAGAGAGGGGTTGTGGACTCTGCCCTTATCTTTCTCCTTTACAAAGCGGGTCCTGGGAGAAGCCCACCATTGAGTGTGAGGACCGGGACCCTGAAGGCGGCTGAATGCTCCAGACCTGAGACACAGTAGGCACCATCTGGCTGGACAGCTCTGAGTGACGGCTCAGATAGGGCTGCTCCACAGTCAGACACAGGTTCCAGGGATTCCTGAGACCAGAGGCCATGGAGCTGGGCCTGGATCCCAGAGGCAAAGAGGGATGCCTCTTCCCTAATCCCATGGCCCTCGTGGGAATGGAAGAAAAAGTGGGAAGAGACCCAACTCAGCCTCCAGTATCAGGACAGGTGGATAAGCCCCTGGTACCAGCCATTAGCCAGCCCCTGGAGATGCCCCCCATCCTGCTGCCATCGGCCGATGGTGATGCAGGCCAAGGTCTAGATCACCTCTCCAGGGCACTGGCACTGGCACTGCCTTGTCCTTCCCCTAGGAGTGACTGTCACCCTGTAGGGGTGAGAGTCCAGCTCCACGTTCAGCGTTTCTGAGCATGGCACTTGATACATAGTGCACAACACGGTGGCCTACACCCTGTGTCCAGAGCCTCCCTGGCAAAATAGTGCAAAACAGTGACAGAAGCGAATGGCATTTACTGTTGGGCAAGTCACTGAATCTGTATGAACTTCAAGATCTCTATAAAAAGGGAATAGCAATGGTCTATCTGCTTGATGGAGTTACGGGGAGATTCATTGCATTTATGTGCAAAACACTAAACGCTATGCACAATGCCTGGCACAGGGGGCCTAAGGAGGCGCAGGTGTTATTTTTGAGCACCTTCAACATACTTGTGTCTGTTGTGGACACAGACTAGGGATGTTTTGTAAGCGTTTTCACATTTAATCCTTGTATTAACTCTTCAAGTGTAGATGCTGTCATTACTCAATCTACAAAAGAGGAAACTAATACTGTGAGTTGAGAGAAATGACCCCCGCATTCCATAGCCAGGGAGTGGCAGAGCTTGGATTTGAACCCAGCTCAGTCTGGCCTGGAGCCCAAGTTCCCAACCCCCATGCGGGGTTGAAGGCTACAGGTCAGAGCCTAGGGTGCCATCCTGTGGAAATTCCACCAGGCAGAATTCTGCTGGGCCCGATCCAGGTGGGAAAGAGGTTTCTGAGGTGGAGCCAGGGCTGCCTGAGCTGTGTGAGCCAAAAGCCCTCCCCCGGCCCACCCAGCCTTGCCCCCATCTGTCCAGCCACCCAAGCTCTGCCCTGTGGACAGCCCCGTCTAGGAGTCAGCACCTGCAGGGAGGTTTCCAGGTGAGGACCCAAGGCCGGGCCCCCAGCCAGGCCCGAAACTCCTGGCTAACAGAGGCCTCTTCACCCCGCGCGCTGGCCAGGGAACCCGGTTGTTTTTTCCTCCAAGTTAAGGAGTGTGGGGCAGGCTGGAAGGCTGCTGGGTAAAGAAGTGGTCAGACCTCAAGACGTCTTCCTCCTTCCTGCTTCTCCTGCTGGACTTCCCCACCACCCAGAGTCCCAGCCCCCACCTGCAACTCGCTTAAAGACCCATGGGAGGGAGCAGATTTAATCCCAGACTAAGCATGTGTGTCCTAGAACTGCTGAAATGTGGAACATGCTGCCTCTAAAGGTAGTGAGCAATCCTCCAAGGAGGACCTGGCTCGATGCCGCCTTTTTTTTTTTTTTTTTTTTTTTTTTTTTTTGAGACAGAGTCTCGCTCTTGTGGCCCAGGCTGGAGTGCAGTGGCGTGATCTCGGCTCACTGCAACCTCCGCCTCCCAGGTTCAGGCAATTCTCCTGCTTCAGCCTCCCAAGTAGCTGGGACTACAGGCGCTGCCACCACACCTGGCTAATTTTTTGTATTTTTAGTAGAGACAGGGTTTCACTGTGTTAGCCAGATTGTCTCAGTCTCCTGACCTCGTGATCTGCCCGCCTCGGCCTCCCAAAGTGCTGGAATTATAGGCGTGAGCTGCCATGCCCTGCCCATGCCACCTTTCTTTACTGGCCTTGGGGGTAGTTGCGCCATCGGCGCTCTCAACGCTGCTTGGTGGGTCGGAGTGATGATCTTGGCCCTATTTTGCAGAGGAGGGAACTAAGGCTCAGAAAAGTTATCCTAGCCGTCTTCCGTTGCTGGGAGGCCTGTTGTGTGGACTAGCAGTCAGGACCAAGGGGCAGCCTTCCGGGGGCTGACTTCCGCTCAGCCTGAGGAAGAGCTAACAGTCCTTGCTGTCCAGAGAGAGAATGGGGGGCCTTGAGTGGCAGTGAGCGCCCCCTGTCTGCAGGATACAGGCTGATGAGTTTTTGGCCAGCTGTAGTCCGTAGAGGCCTGGCGGGTGGCTGGGCTTGGTGGTATTGGGGCCACCCAGCTGGTGAATGGACTCTTGGCTCAGGTCCGCTGATCCAGGTGGGCCCTGTGGGCCTGGAGTGTGCACTCTGCCTTCTGCAAGCTCCCTGGCTCCTCCAGGACTCATCCCATTCAGCACAGGCTCTGTGCCTAGTGGCTGGGAGTACAGAGCTGGGCACAGCCTTGGCCTGCTCCCTAGAGCCCTCCATACCAAGACTATAGGGTAGGGGAGATGGGCATGGTAAGGACCTCACAAGGCCACAAAAGGTCCGGGGGCTGGATCCATCGCTGGCAGCCTTGACAAGGCTTCTTTTGTGCCTGGCTGGGCAACTCTGCCTGGGTCTGCTCAGATTGCAGACAGAACCTGGGTGACAGAGACAAAGCAGAGCCCAGTGGAAAGTGTCCTTATCGCCTGGGGTCTGATAAGGGCCCCGGGGAGGGGGCTGCCGGCCAGCTCCACAGATCTGAGTGCTGGAGGAGCTGGAAGGGCCGGCTGGGGCGGCTGCAGCAGACGCTTGCCCCCTCCCCCACCCCACTCCCACTCCCCCACCGTGGCGGCTGCTCACTGCACAGTATTGATCTAGTGGCTTCTTACACCAACCCTCTCAGCAGCCAGTGGGGGAGGGTGGACTGAGATGGCCCAGCGCCCAGACCCGGCCGGAGATGTCGGGTGTGGGGAGGATTAGGCACCCTTCCCCGTGCTGTGCTGGGCACTGCTCCTGAGAAAGGTCCAGTGTCCCCAGCCTGAGGCCAAGAGGAGCTGGTGATACTTCAGAAGCAGCCTGGTCCGATAGCCCCAGCTCCAGCCCAGATCAGCTCTGGGACCCTGGGTGAGGCACTCACTATCTCTGAACCTTGCCGTCTGTATTATGGGAATGGTCACAAATCTACCCTTCAGGAGTGGCTGTGAGCATTCAGTGGGGGCTGGAATGGGTGGCTGGCCCATGCCAGACTCAGGTGCTGCGGTTATGACCTCTCCTGTGTGCCAGGGGCCAGGAACCACCCTTCTGACTCCTGGTGGCCCATATCTCCTTGCCACTTACCTGAAGTGTCAATAAATACGAATGGGATGGGGTCTGGAAGTCAAGAAAGAAATTGGCCAGGCGTGGTGGCTCCGCCTGTAATCCCAGCAATTTGGGAGGCCAAGGCAGGCGGATCACCTGAGGTCAGTAGTTCGAGACCAGCCTGGCCACCATAGTGAAACTGTGTCTCTACCAAAAATAGAAAAATTAGCTGGGCATGGTGGCACATGCCTGCAGTCCCAGCTACTCAGGAGGCTGAGGCAGAAGAATCGCTTGAACTCAGGAGGCAGAAGTTGCAGTGAACCGAGATCATGCCACTGCACTCCATCCTGGGTGACAGAGCGAGACTCCGTCTCAAAAAAAGAAAAGAAATGGCTGAGAGAACCACAGTGGCAGGTGCCCCCCACAGCAGCCCACACCCGAAGCTGCAGAAGGGAGGGGCCCTCATGGCCCCAGAGCTCTCCTTCCCTCCCATTGGACAGTGGCCTTGGTGGCAGAAGAAACCAAGTCCTGCTTCAAATTCTGCCGTACTCTGCCACTTACAAGACTTTCTGAGCCTCAGTTTCCTCACTTGAGAAGCAAAGCTTCACCCGCTTGGCTCACCCCACCTGTGACTCTAGGTGACAGGAAGAGATTCCTTGTATTAGGGACAGTTTTTACAGTCACCAGGAGGAGCAGCAAGGGCTTGAACACTGGGATTGCGAGTCATGACCTAGGGACTCATCTGCGCCTTTTGCCCAGTGGCAGCAGAGCAGTTCAGCAAGCTCCCCACGCTGCCCACCTGCAGGCAGCAGCACCTCTGGCCCCACCCCCGCGTCCCCGCCCCCTGCTGTCTCTTCCCTCCTGTGTTCCCCTGAGCTTGTCCCACTTAGTGTGGCAGGAAGGTGCCAGGAAACTTCTTCCTGGACCCTGGGGAAAGGAGGAAGCTCACAGTCCTATGGGTGGTATTGCTGCCACCCGGGCAGATTTTTGGGCACTTGGCGTTCAGTCACCCTGAGCACACTTTCACCGGTCAGGCACGCTCTGCCAGCTTCGCCTTGTTATCCAGAGGTTTGAGTGGTCTGCGCCAAGGCCGTGTTTCTGCCTACCACCCCCCAGCTTCCCCAATCACTGCCCAAGGGGTGCCCCCATCCTCAGCCTCTGGCTCTTCACCCCAGGTGGCTGAGGGTTCAAGCTTGGCTGATAGCGAGATGGAAGCTCTTGACTTCCCTGGAACTCAATACTGTTTCTCTGTGTGGAGGGTCCATAGTGCCCTTGGGACCCTCCTGGCAGCCCCTGAGCTGGCCCCGGGGTTGAAGGGGCCCCTCTGCCGGTCTCTGGAGCTCTTCACTGCAGACAGGCCAGCTCCCTTGCTTTCCTCCCCAGGGCCCCAGCCTGATCCTCCCCCACCCTCCCCTCCTGTCGCTCCGCAGATACCGCTAATCAGCCCCTCCATGGCCCATGATTGCGCTCCCAGAGATATTTTTACCTTATGCAAATAGGTGATGTAGAGGTGCCCTCATCTGCCGGCAGCCAGTCCCCCGCCACTCCCCCGGCCTCCAGCTGCATTCCCTTTGCCGTTAGAGCTGGCTGAGCATCATGGCCTCGCCTTCTAGATCTCCCTAAGCACCTTCAGGGAAACTGTCCTTTAAGGATGGTGGATCTGCTGCTCCACACCTTCCAGCACAGGAGCCTTGGGAGAGGTTTCCCGTGCTTGGGAAGAACAGGGAGGGTACCCACGACATTGCCAGTATCTTATTGAGCTGTGGGAATGCGCCCTGGGCCAGAGGTGAGGAGTGCTAGTGGAGGGGCCCTAGGGGCCTCCTGCCTCCCTCCACTCTGGGGTCCTGGTGGAGCCTGGCCCATCACCAGTCTTGGGAAGTCCAGACCCATCAGCCTTCTTGGTCAATGATGGGTCAAGGAGGCCGAAGGCTGCCTGCCCCAGGGACAACCACACAGGCCTCTGGTCTCTGTCATTTGCACGTTTGTCGAGCACCATCTGCTGCACAGGGTGGTGTCAGGCACTAGCATGCACTTTACGATTCCTCCTCACAGGAACCCAGGAGATGAGGCAGGTCCTGGTGCAATCCCCCTTTTACTGATGACCGACAGAGATAAGGAGGTGGAGTGACACCTCGGAAATAGCCAAGCCAGGGTCTGCCTAGCTCCACCTGTCCCCAGAGCTGGTGGTGGTTTCTCAGCTCTGCATTTCCACCTCATTGCTCTGGGGCTGTTTCCCGGGTCCTGAGAGGCCTCAAAGCTGTGGCTGCGCATCCAGTCTGCGACCCTGGCAGCTTCTCCATGCTGCCCCTCCTTGGGTCAGCAGCTGCTCCGTCTATTGGCAGCCTGGGTACCACTGAGCTGGCCTGCCCAGCCACACCAGGGACCTGGCCGGGTGCCAGGGCTGGGCTGGTGGATGGTACCAGAAAGCAGGTGCCTGAGGTATTAGATGTAACACTGGTGGCAGGCAGATATGTGAGTGTGATCTGGCCGGCCAATATGGCTGTCAGCCTAAAGCAACCACCGTGTCCAGCTACTGCCCTGCTGCCTGGGCCCTCGGGGTGCAGCCCTCACCTCCCAGAGCACTCAGAGTGCCAGCCTTAAGGGCTTCTCACTCTGGAGACCCCCAGAGACCCAGACAAGTCAGACACAGACACTTGCAGTGTCCAAGGTCCAGGGCAGCCCCTGGCCTCTGCTCACTGCCTCCCATGGCGGTCACCGTGCTCTTGAGGGCTTGAGGACATGAAGCAGGCAGGGCAGAATCCCCTCTCTACCACAGCTCGGCCTGTCTCTGCCCTCTGGCTTGGCCGTGCAACCTGTGGGGTGTGGGTTCCTTGTTTTGTAGGTGTGTTGGGTCTCCCAGGGAGACTGTAAGTTCCTGAAGGCCAGGATGCCTCAGCCTAGTCCTCCCATGGCCCCCAGCTGGCACAGAGGGTGTTGAGAAACATCTGGCAGGGTGGGTGGTGGATGGATGAGAAGACTTGCCAAGCAAGCCCTAGAAAGGGAAGGGCACACCCATTGTGTACCAGCTTTTTCCAAGGCTGTTTTCCTCAAACCTCACCCCTCAGCAGCCCATGGTTCCCCATTCTATAGGTGAGGAAGCTGGGGCCCAGGGAGAATAAAGAGTTTGTAGCAGAGCAGGGACTGGGCTTCAGGCTTCTGTCCTGCCCTTGAGCCTGGATGGGTACCTGCATCTGTCTACTCCTTCCAGGAGATTTAAGGTCTTTGGGGAGCAGTGCCAAAGAGTAAGGCCTCAAGAGGTCCTGAATCCTTTTGGGTCCTTGGCCTGGTAGGGGCCCACCCCAGAGGGGCTAGTGCAGTTGTCAGCTACTGTGGACACAGCTTCTGTCCTAATGGGGGAAGACAAATAGCAAACACCTAATTGAAATGTACAGTGCATCAGATGGGTGATAAGCATGGGAGGAAGGAGGGGGTGCAGGGTATAGCTGATGGGGCCTTTTTAACGTGTCAGAGAAGACCTCTTAGATAAGGTGGTATTGAAACAGCGACCTGAAGAAAATGAGGATGAAAGCCTCTCAGTTGTCTGGCGGGAGAGTGCATCAGGCAGCAGAGGCAGGAAGTGCAAAGGCCCTGCGGCAGGAGCATGCCCGGCTGGGGTGGATGGTGGTGAGGTCCAGCTAAGGTGGGGTGACAGTGAGGGCCTTGTGGCTCTTGTACAAATGGCTTTTCCTTTGCAATGGGAAATCTTCAGAGGGTTCTAAGCAGAGGATTGACCAGACCTGACCTGGCCTTTGTTCTGGCTCTTATGTGAGGAGAGATGACAGGGAGGAGGGTGCTGAGGCTCACACGGTCACCTGGGCAGGAGGTGATGACGGCTCAGATAGAGCAGCGGTGGTGGAGGTGGTGGGAAGTGGTCGGCACAGGCTGTGCATGTTTGGAGGTAGCAGTGCCAGGACCTGCTGACAGAGTTGCGGCTTCTTTGCAGAACTGGCTGCGGCTTTATGGCTACCTGCCTCAGCCCAGCCGCCATATGTCCACCATGCGTTCCGCCCAGATCTTGGCCTCGGCCCTTGCAGAGATGCAGCGCTTCTACGGGATCCCAGTCACCGGTGTGCTCGACGAAGAGACCAAGGAGTGAGTTCCCCCCACCATCCACACCCCACAGGCACCTGCCTTCCATCTGGCCTGCTCTCAAGAGGGCTCAGCATGTGGAGTTTCCAGAAAAGAGTGGCCTAGATAAGAGATGCCAAATGGTTTGGTCCTCCATGTCACTTCTGATTGGTTGGAGTGGCTGCCCAAAGCCTTGTATTGAGAAAGCTCCAGGGGCAGAATCCAGGCCTTAGCAGTAAGAAGCACAGTGATTGATTAGTGATGTCTGACATGGCCAGGGGAGTGTGGAGGTACAGTACAGGAGCTGTGGAAGGGAAATCGTAGCTAGGCATGGCTATGAATCTAACAAGTGACATGACCTAAAGCCATGTCCCTGAAAACAATGCACAGAGCATAACGTATCCAGGACAGAAGGCCTTGAGCGAACCCTCCATTACTGGGTGATAAGGAGAGAAGGGCTCACCTTGACTGAACCACTCCTGGGCACTCAGTCTTCCAATACAGGCATTTTGCCCATTTTACTGGAAGTTGAAGCTGAGAGTCCCCCATCCCCACTGTGTCATAGGAGGGGCGGCTGGGAAGCCCGGAAGTGGCGGAAGTGGCAGTGCCAGAACAGGCAGGTGTGTGGAGGGGAGGCTCCGTGCTCACCCCTCTGTGTCCATGTCCCAGGTGGATGAAGCGGCCCCGCTGTGGGGTGCCAGACCAGTTCGGGGTACGAGTGAAAGCCAACCTGCGGCGGCGTCGGAAGCGCTACGCCCTCACCGGGAGGAAGTGGAACAACCACCATCTGACCTTTAGGTAGGGGGCTCAGCTGCCCAGGGAAGCATCTGCCCCTCGGCAGGCCGAGCCTCAGACCTCCTTTCCCAGAGCCCACCTCGGCGCCCAGCCTTAACAGTCCAGCCCGCTTTCACGCTGATGAGACCAGCCACACACGCCAGGCAGTCTCCCTCGAGGGAAGGTCAGGACACTTCAAGCTACTTCCACCCTGTCCTTCCCCACCCCCCACCTCCCTGCAGGCAGGGGCTGGCCTCACTGGGCACAGCTGGGCTACTGCCCCAGCACAGACTGCAGCAAGGGATGGGGGATGGCTGGGGTGCAGGAATCCAGGCATCCATCAAGTGAACAGGCAGCAAGTCACCTGCAGAATCCTTGGATCAGGGGCCCTCATCCTTTTTGCTGAGTTCTTGAGCAAGAAAACCCTCCAGCCAAGTGTGCCTTGAGCCATGTGGTTGTCCCCAAGGGCTCCCCTTCTTGTTCCAGTCTGGCTCTGTCCTGACTCCAAGCTCCATCTCCCAAGGAAGAGTGGTTCCCATGGTCACTTAGACCTCAAGCCCCCAGAGTGAATTCAAGGTCCAACCAGCTAAAATATTCCCTTCAGGTTTAATGTCTAGCACACAGAGCTGAATCTGATTTATATAGGTAAGAGCAGGCCTCACCATACGTCATCAAATGCAGTCTCTGGCTACAACTTACTTCCTCTAATCCTCACTGGAACCCTGTGAAGAAAGTACCACACACACACTCTTTTCTAACTTAACAGATAAACTGGAAATCGGCCAGGCACAGTGGCTCACACCTGTAATCCCAGCACTTTGGGAGGCCAAAGTGGGTGGATCAGCTGAGGTCGGGAGTTCGAAACCAGCCTGACCAACATGGAAAAACCCCGTCTCTACTAAAAATACAAAATTAGCCAGGTGTGGTGGTGCATGCCTGTAATCCCAGCTACTTGGGAGGCCGAGGCAGGAGACTCACTTGAACCCGGGAGGTGGAGGTTGCAGTGAGCCGAGATTGCGCCACTGCGCTCCAGCCCGGGTGACAGAGCAAGACTCCATCTCAAAAAGAAAGAAGGAAAGAAACTGGAAATCAGAGAGTCACTTACCCAAGGTCACACAGATACTGTTAGAGCCAGGCCTTGAACTCAGGTCTGCCTGACCCTGGAGCTCAACATTGAGAACTGCTCAGCCTGTTTCCCAAACCTCACTCATTTGCATCCCATTTTCTAGGTCTTTCCCCCAGCCACATAGCACCTGTATTTTAGTTTACTTAATGTCTCTCTTACTTAAAATCAGTTTATTTGCCACAATGCAATCTTAATTTAATGATATCTTCATGATCTCCTGGATTTGACAAATTCAAATTATGATTTACATCAAAGCAAACTGCCAGTTGATAATGACGGGCTTGTTGGTGACCTTGCGTGCACTCTTGGGAACATGCCAGCAGAGGATAGTAGGCCCTTGGCCCTGCATCCGCTCACTCATCTCCCACCCACCCCCAGCATCCAGAACTACACGGAGAAGTTGGGCTGGTACCACTCGATGGAGGCGGTGCGCAGGGCCTTCCGCGTGTGGGAGCAGGCCACGCCCCTGGTCTTCCAGGAGGTGCCCTATGAGGACATCCGGCTGCGGCGACAGAAGGAGGCCGACATCATGGTACTCTTTGCCTCTGGCTTCCACGGCGACAGCTCGCCGTTTGATGGCACCGGTGGCTTTCTGGCCCACGCCTATTTCCCTGGCCCCGGCCTAGGCGGGGACACCCATTTTGACGCAGATGAGCCCTGGACCTTCTCCAGCACTGACCTGCATGGTGAGGACAGCTGGCCAGGGTGAGGGGCAGGGCAGGTGGCCCCGGAGCTGGGCAACAACACCCTGCTGAGTGGGTTCAGCAGCCGCGGGGCTGGGAGGAGAGAGTTCCCCTGTGTTTGTCTCCAGATCACTACACTCAATTTCAGTCTGTTGTCCCACCATCTCCAAGGGGAGGCGAGAAAGGATGATTGTACCCATTTCTCAGATGGGGTTGTTGTAGGCCGAAAGAGCTCAGCCTCTTCCAAGAGGGAAGCAAGGGCAGGCTCTCTGGCAGCCTCAGCCTGGAGGGTCCAGGGTGATTGGGTCCTGGGACTGGCCACAGCTGACTGTGCTGCCCTCCTTCTCTCCCCAAAAGGAAACAACCTCTTCCTGGTGGCAGTGCATGAGCTGGGCCACGCGCTGGGGCTGGAGCACTCCAGCAACCCCAATGCCATCATGGCGCCGTTCTACCAGTGGAAGGACGTTGACAACTTCAAGCTGCCCGAGGACGATCTCCGTGGCATCCAGCAGCTCTACGGTGCGTGGGCTGTGACCAGCGGGCTCTGCATGCCGCTCTCAAGTCCCTGGCCAATGAGGAGTAGGCATTGCTGCCATCCCCATTTTGTAGATGAGGAACCCAAGGCTCAGTGAGGATTAGTGACTTGCCCACATCATTTGGGGAATAAATGGTGGTACTGGAAATGAAACCCAGGGCAGGCTGCCTCCAGGGCCTGGGCCTCACTCGAGGCTGTGGCTGCAGGCTAGAGGCCTTGAAGGGACACAGGTTCTTCATGACCCTCCTCTCCTCCTCACCCTTGGCAGTATTCTTACTAGACCACAAGTGCCTGGGGGATCCCAGGACCCGCCCCCTTCCACCGTCACTCCCAGCCTGAGCCTGTCACAGCTCTGTCCACAGTGCTGCTGGTTTGTCACTTCCCAGTGGCTTTGAGGAAGTGCCACCCCCCCACCCAGGGCCCACCCGAGAAAGTCTCCAGCAGTGAGGTCCCCTGGGCCAGTTCGGTGGGCCAAGTCCTGCACTCTGTGCCCACACCGAGCCCTCCTCGGGGCTGGCAGCTCCTGCCGTGCTGGGCACTTGACGGGCACCCCTTGCTGCATCCCCAGCAACTTGGAAATGCAGAGTCCAAAACGCCTGAAGCCAGGGCCTGGAGCCTCTGCTGGAGCAGGCTGGCATCCCAAGGGGAATGTCCCCAAGGGGACATGCAGGCAGACACCCTCAGGAGCACAGTGACCCAAGGTCAGTGTGGGGAGATCGAGGAGGGGCTAGAAGGAGGAGGACCCAGGTCCCACCGAGGATGGAGGCAGGTGTTGGGGAGGGGTCTGCTGTAGATGGACAGGATTTTACTTTCCGCGTGGGTGGGCCTGTGCTGGGGGCCCCGGGGCCCAGGGTTCTGAGTAGGAACACAGACCTCACTTCTGAACCCCTGCCTCTCTGCAGGTACCCCAGACGGTCAGCCACAGCCTACCCAGCCTCTCCCCACTGTGACGCCACGGCGGCCAGGCCGGCCTGACCACCGGCCGCCCCGGCCTCCCCAGCCACCACCCCCAGGTGGGAAGCCAGAGCGGCCCCCAAAGCCGGGCCCCCCAGTCCAGCCCCGAGCCACAGAGCGGCCCGACCAGTATGGCCCCAACATCTGCGACGGGGACTTTGACACAGTGGCCATGCTTCGCGGGGAGATGTTCGTGTTCAAGGTCTGGCCCCGCCTCCCATGCCTGGCCCTGAGCCTTTTCCCTGGCTGCTCTGGGCCCCCTGTCCCACCCTCACTCAGCAGGCCCCGGGGAGCCATTAAGCCCTCAGCTCTAGATGGGGAGGAATCCAGCCCAAGAGGTTGAGGGACTTGCCCAGGGTCACACAGCAAGCCCTGGTGCCAGCTCCCCAGCTCAGGGCTCTGTTTCTGTGCAGCCCTGGCTTTCCAAGCCACTGCCTGCCTCAGTATCTCAGTGTCCTCCCCTTGGGCCCACCCTCACCTGGGAAGGGGTGGTTTGAGGATGGCACCTCTCCCGGCCAAGGCAGCTTGCCTGCGCTGCCCGCTCACACTATGCCCTCCCCAGGGCCGCTGGTTCTGGCGAGTCCGGCACAACCGCGTCCTGGACAACTATCCCATGCCCATCGGGCACTTCTGGCGTGGTCTGCCCGGTGACATCAGTGCTGCCTACGAGCGCCAAGACGGTCGTTTTGTCTTTTTCAAAGGTGAGCAGAGGTAGGGTTAGAGGGTTGGGCACGCCTCCTGCCATGACCTCTGACCCTGCTGGATCTGAGAGAAGAGGAGGTGAAGGGTTGCATTGCATGTCTGGTCCTGTGCCCCCACTGTGGGCTCACTCTGGGAGGATGAGGACACAGCAGCAAGGCAGGACGGGAGGAAGATAGAGGCTGGAGGCAGGGTTGGACCTGCAACCCGGAAGTGCCTGGCCACCTTGTGCAGCACAGGGCTCAGCCCTGCTTCCCTCTGTCCTTGCCTCTTTGCCTCCTGCAGCCCCATCCTCATAAGAACAGGTGCCCCCAGCCCACTCCGGGGCCAGATTTCTGTGGTCTGTCTGCAGAGACGAGGTCTTGCAGGGCAGCGCCCCGTGATGGATCCACCAGGGCTCTAACCCCACTGTCCTGAGCTTCAGTGAGGCAGGAGCTCCCTGAGGACAGGGCTGGCACCAAACTAAAAGCAGGGAGCCCTGGGCCACACACTGTGAGGGCTGCAGGTGTGCTCCAGGGACACAGCCCCCAGACCCAGAGGCCAGGCAGTCCCCTCCCCATACAAGAACTATATGTGCGGGGGTGGATGTGCACATGGAAGCGAGGGCTGTGGGTGGCATGTGGCGTGTATGGGTGTGAGCGGGTGACTCTTGCTCACGGGAACAAGTGTGCCTCAGGTATCCATGAGTGCAGCATGTGATGTGCGGGTGACCTCATTGTATGTTGTCTTGAATATGTAGAGGGGTGTGAGTGTGATTTTGTGGGCCCAGAAGAGCATTCTTTTCCCGCACACACCCCTCAGCCCCAGGCCTGACCTCACTGTGCCTGCCACCCCTCCTGTAGGTGACCGCTACTGGCTCTTTCGAGAAGCGAACCTGGAGCCCGGCTACCCACAGCCGCTGACCAGCTATGGCCTGGGCATCCCCTATGACCGCATTGACACGGCCATCTGGTGGGAGCCCACAGGCCACACCTTCTTCTTCCAAGAGGACAGGTGAGCAGTGCGTCCCTCCCCTAAGGGGAGAAGGCCCCATCTAGGCCCCCCTCAACCTCAGGCCTACCCAGAAAGAATCCACTGCCTGTGGGGAACGGGTCCTGGCCCAAGCAGGATCTCTAGGTCCACAGCCTGGTGCTTTTGTTCACAGGTACTGGCGCTTCAACGAGGAGACACAGCGTGGAGACCCTGGGTACCCCAAGCCCATCAGTGTCTGGCAGGGGATCCCTGCCTCCCCTAAAGGGGCCTTCCTGAGCAATGACGCAGGTACCTGGCCAGCCCCTCCCAGTTTGCCCAGCACCTAATATCCCCTGCTACACACACCACAGGGCAGGGCTTGCCCAAGGTCACCCGGCACTGTGATGGTGTGTATGGGTGACAAGCTGTGTCACGCTCTGGGCTGGGAGCTTACCTAGCTTGACACCCTGGTCCTTCCTGCATAGTTAAAATTCCCTTTTTACAGACAGGCAAACTAATAAACCAGAGAGCTTGAGCAGAGTGCCCCAAATTCCACAGCCAGGAAGGTGCGGCGTCAGGATTCCAGGCCAGTCCTGCCTGCGTCCGGAGCTGGAGCTTGGAACTGCCCTGATGCCCACAGAGTCCAGCCACCCCCAGGCAATCCCAGGGGAGCCTTGAGCCTGAGTGGGGCAGGCTTGGCTCAGAGTGTTAGGGGTGAAAATCCTCCCAGGGCATCACTCATCTACCTACAAGGAAAGCCCTGTCTCTGTCATTATAACCAAGAGACAGGGAGCTGTGCCTCTTCTGTTTCTCTAGCAAGGTCTCTAGTGCATTTAAGAAAAACCAGCCAGGTGTAGTGGCTCACGCCTGTAATCCCAGCTCTTGGAGAGGCCGATGCGAGAGGATCGCTTGAGTCCAGGAGTTCGAGACCAGCCTGAATAACATAGTGAGACTCTATCTCTACAAAAACAATTTTAAATCAGCCAGGTGTGGTGACTTGCACCTATAGTCCCAGTTATTTAGGAGGCTGCGGTCGGAGGATTACTTGAGTCTGGGAGGTCAAGGCTGCAGTGAGCTGTGATCGCGCCACTATACTCCAGCCTGGGTGACTCAGGGGGGACCTTGCCTGCTTTGCCAGTGCTCAGGCCAGTTACACAGCTTCTGTATGTGAGCTTGGCACTCTGCAGCCGCTCTGATCTCTTGTGCTCACCCCTTGATTGAAACCTGGCCCTGCCTGGTATTGATGGGATGCTGGCAAGGTGCCCAAGGTCAGAGAGCCAGCCCAAGGCAGCACCAGGTTCCTTCCGCTCTAGAACAACTGCGGGGTGCTGTGTGGCCTTGAGCAAGACCCCAAACCTCTGTGGTGTGAGGTGAAGCCAGTTCTGGGAAGGGGCAGCAGGATCCCTGACTGCAGCCCCCAACCCAGCAGGCTATAGGACCCTTCCAGGCCCTTCCCCAGCTAATGTCAGTCTGGTCAGGAAGCCCAGGGTTCTAGTCGTACCCTTAGCCCAAAGCCCTCTGAGCCTCAGTCTGGCTCCTGCAAGTTGAGAAGGGGCAGATTTGAAAATACTCAGGGAAGCAAATGAGAAGAAGGGTGTTTTGAAGCCCTCAGCATGTCCTGGCCTTTGATGGTTCTCACTGGTGGTTCGGCTCAACCTGAAGCCACTCTGGCCTCCTTGCCCCTGCAGCCTACACCTACTTCTACAAGGGCACCAAATACTGGAAATTCGACAATGAGCGCCTGCGGATGGAGCCCGGCTACCCCAAGTCCATCCTGCGGGACTTCATGGGCTGCCAGGAGCACGTGGAGCCAGGCCCCCGATGGCCCGACGTGGCCCGGCCGCCCTTCAACCCCCACGGGGGTGCAGAGCCCGGGGCGGACAGCGCAGAGGGCGACGTGGGGGATGGGGATGGGGACTTTGGGGCCGGGGTCAACAAGGACGGGGGCAGCCGCGTGGTGGTGCAGATGGAGGAGGTGGCACGGACGGTGAACGTGGTGATGGTGCTGGTGCCACTGCTGCTGCTGCTCTGCGTCCTGGGCCTCACCTACGCGCTGGTGCAGATGCAGCGCAAGGGTGCGCCACGTGTCCTGCTTTACTGCAAGCGCTCGCTGCAGGAGTGGGTCTGACCACCCAGCGCTCCTGCTAACGGTGCTCAGGGGGCGCCTGTGGTTCTGAGATGGCTCCCAGGGGCTCCCTCCGCCCCCAGGTAGGGGCCCCTCTCAGCCCTCACACACCCTGTCTGCCCCGCCCTCATTATTTATGTCCAGGTGTTTGTTTTGTTTTGTTTTTGGCACCTTACTTGACCATTTGTTTCTGTTTCCCCGACTGGGGCAGGGTGTTTAGAATTTTCTAAATGTAGTTCTGCTCCAGACAGGGAATTAGGCCCCCATCATCCTCTGGCTTGGCCACAGCCAGGGGAGCAGAGGGGCAGAGGCCCACATTGGAAGAGCAGCACCTCCTCAGCCTGAACCCCAGGGCTGTAACTGCCAGGCTCTCTTTGCCCAGTTGGAGACTGTCTGGCCCCCCTGGTCCCCTCCTTCCCAAGTGAGTCTCTCTGGGCCTTAGGAAGAGCCTTCCACCCAGGGGCAGCCCCAGGCCAAAGGGGACCTGGAAGGGAGGTGGGCCGTGGCCCTTGAGTCCCCATTGAGGCTTGGTTCCTTCCCAATCCAGTGGACTTCGCAGTCCACTTCTGACAGCCTCAGTGACCCTGGCTCCTTGTGCCAGAGAACCCAGCCCACCCCCGGCAGCAGCCCCCAGCTCCCACCTCCCCTTGGGCCCACACCTCCTTCCCTCTCTGGAGAAAGGGCCCTGGGCCTGCCTCACCACGGACCAAAGGGAGTCTGCCAGGGCCCCTCTCCCCAGGGAAGCAGCAGCCTCGCCCCTGGCAGAGATGCCTCCCTGAGCTAGAACCCTCTGTTCCTTCCCTGTGCCTCCTCCCTCCCTCTCCGACTCACACCACTAGCCTCAGGGGTCTGAGCTCCAGCTCCTTTGGGCTTCAGCTGCCAGTGTCCTGAGCCCCAGGGAGAGGGGGCTGGTGGGTGCCTAGGCCTGGGCAGTGGATGGCCGTGAATGGGTGCCCACAGTGTCAGGCACTGGGCATGAGGGGTTCCTCCCCTCCAGCTCCCTGTGCCCCCAGGGTCCTGGGAGGAGAGACACTGGTGGGGATAGGCCAGCCGCGCATCAGACTGTGAACCCCACGAAGGAGCCCATTGTGGCCTAAGAGGCTGCCCTCCTGTGCTCAGCCCTGAGGACAGATGCCTCCTTCCTCTTTTCCTTCCCAAAGCAAGCAAGAGGCCGTGGCTGCTGTGGGAAATGGTACTGTACAGCTGGCTCTACTTCCCCATGGCCCTGAGCGAGTGGAGTCTGCCACCCAGGATCCCCAAGGCACTTGAGGGGGAAGGATTCTGCTGGCCTCTGCGAGTGGTTTCTTGTGCACTGGCACCAAGTGCGGGTCCGGCAGCTTCTGCCCCCTGCAGAACCGGAGAGCCAGCTAAGGGGTGGGGCTGCGGGGGTTCCGTGTCCACCCCCATACATTTATTTCTGTAAATAATGTGCACTGAATAAATTGTACAGCCGGCAAATGTGTCCTTGTTTGTAAGGCCTTGGGCTGGAACCTCCAGCTGGAAGGGCGTGCAGGTGGTGGGGGTCCAGCCCATGCTAGGGTTAGGGGGCTTGACCTCAATGCCAAGGAGACCTTGTTCCAATTCCATGGGGGCTCCTTCCCGATGGCCCTTGGAAACTATGCCCTGGGAGGGGCAGAGCTTAGGGCTGCCCTCAAGAGTCCAGAAGAGGGAGAGGCAGGGCACCTGGGGTCACCCTGCCGGGGTGGGGCAGGGAGGGAGCATGGAGTTAGTTTGCCGTTTGTTCCTGCTGAGAAAAGACAACTGAGTTTGCCACAAGCCCTCCCCGTCTAGGAGTGGAGGAAGAGCCAGGCCAGTCCTCCCAGGCTGGGTTCTGAGCACTGACGGGAGCCCAGAGCCAGGCACAGAGAGAGATGGGAAATGGTGGCACTTTGATTCCAAAAGTTCCCTTCCCCACACATGCTGCTCAGAGTGGCAGGCACCCAAGACCTGCCCTTTCATCTTTGAGAAGCAGAAAATCCCACCCAGGCCTGTGCAGGGTGCAAGTGATACCCCAGGAGGGCAGGAGACTGAGGTGTCACCGTCCCTTGAGTCTGAGCATGGCTGTGGACCCGGGAGGTCCTCCTTAGCCCCCACATCCATGCTCTTGGCCAAGCCTCTTAGGTACTAGCCTGGGCCCTCAGGAAAGTGATGATTTGCTGCAGTAGGGGTCGCACCCCCACCACGGAGCAGGCCAGGCCTCTGCAAGTCCTCAGGCAGGGTCGTTCCGCCTGTTCCAGGCCCAGCTCCCACTCCCACAACCAGTCCCATCCCGTCCCGCCCCTTCCTCTCTTTGTGTTGAAACTGGCTGGGGAGAGTAGGAAGTGCTGGCCCTTGGAAACCTCGAAGGCCTCTCAGGCTCATCTAGGAAACAGCCGGTGAGCTCCCCCACCACAGGGGCCTTGGTGGCAGCAGGGGGGATTCCAAGCAGCCGCCATCTTGTCAGCTTCCCTGTGGCAGAAGCCACGGGGTCCCTCCCAGGTCTGCCTCCTACCTGAGTCCCTAGGGCCCCCCAAAAGCCCAGAGGTCACCGGGCAGGTGGAGGGCAGTGTCGGGGCCCAGGGATGAGAGGAGAGTTTGAAAGGCCTTGAGTCAAGCCCTTCCTCAGAGCCAAGGCCAGGGGAGAGAGTTGGCAGAGGCCTCACCTCCTCAGGAAACTGCCTAAAGAGGCTTCCTCCCCCAAGCTTGCTGCTAAAATCTCAGAGGCCCAGTGGCTGAAGGCACGGCCCATCCGAGAGCCCTATCTATCTATCCTTGCGGGGGGGCTTTGCATGAGGAGGGGTGGGTGGGGCAGCTAGGCCCTGACTCCCCCACGTCCAGAGAGCCCAGATCCCAGGCCTGCCTGAGGCCTAACCCCCGTCCCTTCTCCCCGGGATTAAACAGGAGCCTGCACCTTTAAATCGTTTTTTTGTTTGTTTGTCTTTTAATGTGACTGTAACCTAAACTCACCTTGGGCCCCTCACAGCCCCCATTCCCTCAGCATCCTTTTTTCCTTTACATTTTTACTAATTCCCAGCTGCAAAAACTAAGACATTAAAGATAAGCAAAAAGAAGAAAAGTCTCAGTTGCCATAATCTCTCAGCCTGTGTTGACAATTTGACATGTTTCCTTATAACTTTATTTTCCTGCATTTGCAAGGCTTGGAGTTTTAGAGTCTAAAACATCCAGTGCCTGAGCCCTGGTGCTGCAGCCTGTGGGAGGTGGACAGAGGATGCTGGGTGGCTGCAAGGTGTTGGCAACCTTGCAGGCAAGGGCCTGGCACCGGGCACGTGCTCAATGTGTGATCGTGACCCCAAGGCTGACAAGCTCCCCATCTACATTTTACTCAGGAGAGCAGAGGCTCAGGTGAAGTGACTTGGCCAAGGTCACACAGCTAGGAAATGGCCATGCCAGGATTAGGACCCAGCTGGACCAACTTGCACCACAGTCCAGCTCTACCCGACCCTGGTGCTGCCGGAGCATCGGGACAGGGGCAAGGTGGCCCCTGCCCATCAGCCTTCCTCCCCGCACATTCTATGCATCGAAGACCCCAGGGCCACCAACAGAGCCTTCTTTCAGGCCGGGGCAGGGGCTGAATTGGCTGCTTTCTCCCCCTTCAACTTGGCAGAAAAGCCTTTTTGTTGTGGCTCACACAGAGGCCATTCTCCTCCAGCTCACGGGAAGGAATGCCGGCTTCCTGCGCATCCACAGTGCCCAGGCCACAGTGGGGTCCTGCGTGTAGGTCCCAGAGGAGCCCCTCCACACCCTCCAGCCCTGCCTCTGGGGACTTCAGCTCCCAGACTTTCTTCCTTACCCTTGACAATTTGAGGAACCACACAGGGAGGTAGGGGACAGCCCCCCTCGGCTACCTCGGTAAATGCCGGGGATTTTAAGCCTCACAGCACTTTCAAGACGCAGCAGTTCCACCCTCAGCTGACTTCTCAAGTGGCCTCATGACCCACAAAGTGCTGGCAGAGGCCCCTGCCAGGCTTCTCGCCCTGTCTCAAATGTCCCCTGCACTTGCCTGCCTCTATGCCTTTCCTTACACTGTTCCCTCCCCTGGAAAACTTTTCCCTGTACATCTCATCCTGTGCAAATGGCATAGACCCTTCAAGACCCAGTGTGTGGCTTCCGCCTCCCAGCTTCCTGCCTGCCTTCCTCAAGGTTGTTGTTTCCTTCTGCCTCTGGCTCCACAGCACATGGATCTCCTCAGCTCTAGCCCAGCCTGCCCCTTGTTCCAGGCACCCAGACACTGACCATGGCTCCATCACTCAGGGTGGGGGTGCGTCCTTGGGCAAGTACCTCCACCTCACTAAGCTGATTCCCCATCCGTACAATGGGCACGCAGGCATGCCTATTCCATCATGTGGCTTGGTGGAGCTGATGCTTAGGAACACGTAGAACAGCTCCTGGCTTGTGAAAGGCTCTCGATGGTTCATTACCAATATCCTTACTCTAAGTGCAGGTACCTGGTAGGCACTGGGGTGGTGTCTGTTTCCTGCCTGTGGGATGGGGTCACAGGTCGGCCAGCCTGAGGACAGGTGCCTGGGAAGAGGGACATTCCTGTCCCACCCGCTTCCCTCCCAGCTGCCGAGGCCTCACCCCACTGGGCCCTGGGGACAGGGCTGCCCTGCCCCAGCTCCTCCCTCACCGAAACACTTGCCCTTCTTCCCAGACTCTGGGTCCAAGCCCCAAGCTCAGGTTTCCTCTCCAAGCACCTCTGACACCTCCCACCCCCAACGTCTTTCACCCACTCCAGTCTTCGCCAGAAATAGCCTTGCAACTCCCCTCCACTGACAGTCAAGCTCAGAGGCCTCTCTTGGACAAATAATATTACTCCCCTCTTGACACGGGTCACAGCATGATTTCTTAATGGGATCAACTGGATTCCATTTAAAACTGTTCAGAAACAGGGCAAGGTGGTGCATGCCTGTAGTCCCAGCTACTCAGGAGGTTGAGGCAGGAATTCGAGGCTACAGTGAACTATGACCATGCCATTGCACTCCAGCTTGAGTGACAGAGCAAGACCTCGACTCTTAAAAAAAAAAAAAAAAAAGAGAGATTAAAAAAAACAGAGAGAGAGAAAGGCTGGGCATGGTGGCTCACGCCTGTAATCCCAGCACTTTGGGAGGCCGAGGCAGGTGGATCATCTGAGGTCAGGAGTTCAAGACCAGTCTGGCCAACGTGGTAAAACCCAGTATCTACTAAAAATACAAAAATTAGCCGGGTGTGGTGGTAGGCGCCTGTAATCCCAGCTGCTCAGGAGGCTGAGGCAAGGAGAATTGCTTGAACCTAGGAGGCGGAGGTTGCAGCTAGCCCAGATCTCACCACTGCACTCCAGCCTTCGTGACAGAGCAAGACTGTCTTAAAAAAAAAAAAAAGTCAAACTAAAAATATTTGAAAGAGATTTATTCTGAGCCAAATATGAGTGACCAATGGCCTGTGACACAGCTCTCAGGAGACCCTGAGAACATGTGCCCAAGGTGGTCAGGGCACAGCTTAGTTGTATGCATTTTGGGGAGACATGAAACATCAATCAAATACAGTTAAGATAAACGTCAGTTTGGTCCAGAAAGGCAAGACAGCTCAAAGTGGGGGCTTCCAAGTTATACATAGATTTTAAATTTTACTGCTTGGCAATTTGTTGAAAGAGTTATTATCTATAGAAAGGAATGTCTGGGTTGCAATAAATGGTTGTGGAAACCAAGGTTTCATCATGCAGATGAAGCCTCCAGGTAGCAGGCTTTCCGAGACAGTGGATTGTAAACTTTTTTTTTTTAATCAGACTTGAGATCTATGTTGATGCTAAATGCTGGTTGGCTTTTCCTGAATTCCAAAAGGGAAAAGGGTATAAGGAGGCATGTCCGACCCCCCCACCCTTTCCGTCATGGCCTCTAGCAGTTTTTCAGGTTAACTTTGGAGTGCCTTTGGCCAAAAGGAGGGAGCCCATTCAGATGACTGGGGGGAGGGGGCTTAGAATTTCATTTTTGGTGGAAGAAAGGAAGGAGGAAGAAAGGAAGGGAGGGAGAGAGAGAGGAAAGGAAGGAGGAAGAAAGGAAGGGAGGGAGAGAGAGAGGGATGGAAAGAAGGAAGAAGGGAAAGAAGGAGAAAGGGAGGGAGGAAGGAAAGAAGGAAGGGAGGAAGGGAAGGTGGGAGGGAGGGAGGGAATAAAGAAGGAAGGAAGGCCGGAGGGAGGGAAGGAAGAAGGAAGGAAGGAAGGAAGGAGGGAAGGAATTCCTCTGAGCCAGTGATGCAGCACTATCCTACAACCTGTAGACTCCAGCCCAATCAATGTCTCTTTACAAATGGGGATACTGAGGCCTGGAGAGGGGGTTGATGAGGCCATAGTCACCTACTGTTTGAACTGTGTCTTCTGATCCCCAGGCAGGACTCTCCTCCCACCCTCCCCTATCTTACCCCCCAAGCCCTGACCTCCCCACCCCCATGGAGGACCCCCCCTCATCTGTTCTTCTGCAGAACCAAGGGCAGTGGGTTGTGATTAATTCAGCTTTCCTGATAAAGGGCAGTCCTGTGCTTCCTGGAGCACGAGTTTCCAGCGGCTAGTGAGGAGGAGCTCTGCTTGGCCTCCCCTCCCTCTGCCAGTGGCCCCTGCGTTGTCCTGTAAGAACAACCCCCCCTCCTTCTCAGTGCATGGACTCTGGCAGAGCTGACTGCTCACCCAGTGATGGCTGGATGGGCTTGTGCCCCAGGACCAGCCAGCAGCCCCCGAGTGCCTGGTGCAGGGGTAGGGAGGAAACCCAAGCCTAGCCCATCAGGGCCTCCCTGGGACTTTTCCTGGAGCCCCTGGGAGAGAGAAACCTGTGTCCACTGGGATTGCTGAGCTCCTGGGATGTGAGCCTGGAGCCCTTGACAGGTCATCTTGCCCCCACAGGGAGAGAGCCTGCCCCGGAGTGAAGCCAGTACAGAAGAAAACAGAGCCTTGAAGTGGCACAGAGCTGTGGAAAGGGATCATCTGAGCACCTGGATCCAGCCGTGCCTAAAGGCTCGTGGCCCGACTTTGCAGTTTCATGTACTGATCAACTCACTTTCTGAAGCCAGTGTGAGCTGTCAGGTTCTGGTTTGGTTTAGTTTTTTTGTTTGTTTGTTTGTTTGTTTTTTGTTTGTTTGTTTGAGATGGAGTCTCACTCTATTGCCCAGGCTGGGGTGCAGTGGCACGATCTCGGCTCACTGCAGCCTCCACCTCCCAGGTTCGAGTGATTATCCTGCCTCAGCCTCCCGCGTAGCTGTGACTACAGTCACACGCCACCATGCCCACCCGGCTAATTTTCTTTCTTTCTTTCTTTTTTTTTTTTTTTTGTATTTTTAGTAGAGACAGGGGTTTACCATGTTGGCCAGACTGGTCTTGACCTCCTGACCTCAAGTTATCTGCCTGCCTCAGCCTCCCAAATTGCTGGGATTACAGGTGTGAGCCACCATGCCTGGCCCCAGTTTGGTTTGGTTTTTAAATTTTTGCCTTGACGATGTCCTAGGGTAGCTTGAGTTCCAAATTCAAGCCTCCCTTCAGGCATTTTTATTGGCCACCTAAGACTCCTCAGGAGCTTGCCAAACTCCAGGACCACAAGGCGCCCATCTCTTCATCCGTCAAAAGTATACTGAGAACCAGGGTTCCCTCTGGGGTCTCTGGCACAACCCCACAGTTGCTCTTCGCAAGAGCCCCTGGGGATCAAGTAGACAAAGGGTGGAAGGTAGGGGGTGGGGCGAGGCAGGAGACATCAAGTTAACTGTTACGTGGGCTTTTTTGTTTGTTTGTTTTGAGACGGAGTCTCGCTCTGTCTCGCAGGCTGGAGTGTGGTGGTGTGATCTCCGCTCACTGCAAGCTCCGCCTCCCGGGTTTACGCCATTCTCCTGCCTCAGCCTCTGGGTAGCTGGGACTACAGGCGCCTGCCGCCATCAGGCCAGGCTCATTTTTTTGTATTTTCAGTAGAGACAGGGTTTCACCATGTTAGTCAGGGTGGTCTCGATCTCCTGACCTCGTGATCCGCCCGCCTCGGCCTCCCAAAGTGCCGGGATTACAGGCGTGAGCCACCGCGCCCGGCCACATGGGCTTTTTCAGATTACATAAAGAAATACGTGGTCAGCCACCACAGACAGTGAGGAAGCCACAAAAAAGCCAGAAATGGCCGGGCATGACTCATGCCTGTAATCCCAGCACTAAGGGAGGCTGAGGCGGGAGGAACCCTTGAGCTTAGGTGTTCGAGACCAGCCTGAGCAACACGGCGAAACGCCATCTCTACAAAAAAAAAAAATTTTTAATTAGCTGGGCATGATGGTATGTGTCTGTAGTCCCAGCTACTCAGGAGGCCAAAGTGGGAGAATCACGTGAGTCCAGGAGTTTGAGTTTGTGGTGAGCTGTGATTGCGCCACTGCACTCCAGCCTGGGCAACACAGCAAGACCCCCCGTCTCAAAAAAGAAAAGGCAAAAAAGACCATGAAAAATGCGAGCAATCTCTACTCTCCCACCAAACATCCTTGACACTTTAATGTAAATCCTCCAGGCTTTTCCTTATGAGGATATACTAATGTATATATATATATAGAGAGAGAGACAGAGAGAGAGAGTCTCGCTCTGTCACCCAGGCTGGCATGCAGTGGCACCATCTCGGCTCACTGCAACCTCCGCCTCCTGGGTTCAAGCGATTCTTCTGCCTCAGCCTCCTGAGTAGCTGGGACTACAGGCTCATGTCACCACACCCAGCTAATTTCTGTATTTTTAGTAGAGACAGGGTGTCACCATATTGGCCAGGCTGGTCTCGAACTCCTGACCTCGGCCTCCCAAAGTGCTGGGATTACAGACGTGAGCCACTGCGCCCAGCCATATTTTATTGTTTATGTCAGTTTGTACTGTGCATATTGGGGTTTTTTTAACCTGCCTTTTTCATTTAATATAGCATGAAATTTGGATGAGAAATTGTGGGATGTAGGAGACTTTCACTTTGTATTTGATTCATCGCTTGAATTTTTATGAGCATGCATCATATGCCCACGATGATAAAATACGCGAGTAAACAGTGCGGTGAGTCTTCACTTAACGTCGTTGATAGGTTCTTGGAAACTTCAACTGTTAAGCGGAAACAACAGAATGTATAACAAAACCAATTTTACCGTAGGTTAATTGGTATAAACAAGAGTTAAGTTCCTATAGCATGTAGTTCCTCCTTTCACTTAAAGTCTCAGTTTCCAGGAACCTATTGGCAACGTTAAGGACTCACTGTATACTTTAACTCTGTCTCCCAGGCTGGAGTGCAGTCGTGCGATCTCGGCTCACTGCAACCTCCACCTCCTGGGCTCAAGCGATCCTCTCAGCTCAGCCTCCTGAGTAGCTGGGATTACAGATGCACGCCAACATGCCTGGCTAATTTTTGTAATTTTTTTAGAGACAGGGTTTCATCATGTTGGCCAGGCTGGTCTCAAACTCCTGGGCTCAAGGGATCCACCCACCTCGGCCTCCTACAGTGCTGAGCCACCGCGCCCGGCCCGTAGATCATTTCCTACTACATCCTTTTGGTGGATGCACTCTATGGATGCCTGGAGTTCCTCAATCCATGGCAGCACAATTACAGATAAAATTCAGAGAGGCCTGTAATTATCACAAATGATCCTCCAGGGTCACACTGTACCAGACTTGATATGCTTGCACATCCCCGTTGAGGGAGTTCGTCTGCTTGTACTTCACAGCAGAGGAGCCCAAGGCTCAGAGAGGTGAAGGAACTTACACAAGGCCACACAGCTAACCAGTGCTGGAACTGGGACTCAAGCCCACACCTGCTTCTGACCCCAAAGCTCATGCTCTTAACCTTTCATGTATTCAGTGAACATCTACTGATATCGGGGGTCAGACCAGGGGTCTAGCAGTGAATAACATAGAGACCCTCGGCCAGGCGCAGTGGCTCACGCCTGTAATCTCAGCACTTTGGGAGGCTCAGATGGGTGGATAACCTGAGGTCAGGAGCTCGAGACCAGCCTGGCCAACATGGCGAAACCCTGTCTCTATTAAAAATACAGAAATTAGCTGGGCATGGTGGCACGTGCCTATAATCCCAGCTACTTGGGAGGCTGAGGCAGGAGAATCCCTTGAACCCGGGAGGCGGAGGTTGCGGTGAGCCAAGATCATGCCATTGCACTCCAGCCTGGGCAACAAGAGTGAAACTCCATCTCAGAAAAAAACAAAACAAAACAAAAAACATAGAGACCCTCCTTACTGAGGTCACATTCTAGGGAGGTGAGCATTCCAGGCAGAGGGAGGAGCAAGCACAAAGATCCTGAGGCTAGACCAGGCCTGGCCTTTCTGGTTTGAGGACCAGAAAGGAGACAGACAGTGGGTGAAGGGGGTGGAGGTGGGAGGAAGGGAGCAGGACCAGGCTATGTGGTAGAGTCGGAGTTGTTCTAAGCCTGATGAAGAGAAACCCTGGGAGTATTCTAAGGGGCAGGGGGAAGCTGACATGATTTGATTCATAATTTTTTTTCTTTTTTGAGACGGAGTCTCGCTCTGTCGCCCAGGCTGGAGTGCAGTGGCATGATCTCGGCAGTGAGATCACTGCAAGCTCCGCCTCCTGGGTCCACGCCATTCTCCTCTCTCAGCCTCCGGATCAGCTGGGACTACAGGCGCCCGCCATCACGCCCGGCTAATTTTTTGCATTTTTAGTAGAGACGGGGTTTCACTGTCCTAGCCAGGATGGTCTCAATCTCCTGACCTCATGATTCGCCCACCTCGGCCTCCCAAAGTGCTGGGATTATAGGCGTGAGCCACCGCGCCCGGCCCTGATTCATAATTTTAATAACACATCCTGCACATCCTGGCCAGGTGTGGTGGCTCACGCCTGTAATCCCAACACTTTGGGAGGCCACGGCGGGCGGATCACTTGAGGTCAGGAGTTCGAGACCATCCTGGCCAACATGGTGAAACCCTGTCTCTATTAAAAATACAAAAATCAGCTGGGCTTGGGGGCACGCACCTGTAATCCCAGCTACTCGGGAGGCTGAGGCACGAAAATCATTTGAACTCCAGAGGCAGAGGTTGCAGTGAGCGGAGATCACACCACTGCACTCCAGCCTGGGGGACAGAGCAAGAATTGGTCTCAAAAAAAAAAAAAGGATACATTGTTTTTGTTTTGCTAAATGACTTTTGCAAACACCCACAATCCTTGCCTTCAGAGAGAGTCCGAGAAGCGGAATTGCCAGCCCACAGCGTCCCAAGGCTTAATACCAACAAATTACTCCCAGGAAGAAAATAGCATCTGTTTCTATTCCTCCCTGAAGTGGCTGAGTGCCTATCCTCTCCACTAGCTGTGAGATCACCTTTATCAACATAATTGGTGAGACTGCTAAAAATAATGCTTTGTTGGCTTTATTTGCAGTTCTTTGATTACCACTGAATCTGAACATTTTTGCCTATGTTCGTTGTTAACCCTTTTCGGTTTGAGGGTTTTGGGGGGTTTTTTGGTAGGGGGAGGGGATAATGGCCTACTCATCACCATTGCCCAATTGCCTTTTGGGATGTTTCTTCTTATTGATTTGTAAGCATTCTCTCTAGTGTGAAGAAATTGACCGTTTATTACTCAATGAATTTTAGGGCTAGAAAGTTCTTAGCCCAAGCTCCTGGGCTCCTTGTGCAACATGTACAGATAGGGAAACTGAGGCACAGACAAGAATGGGTATTGGCTCTGGTCAGTTCGGTCAGTTCTCTGGAACCATGTTCTCCAGTGAGAACCCTCTGTCAACTTCATTCATTACGTGAGAGAGCCTGTCCCTTCCTCTACGCCCTCCTGGTGTCTATAGGGCTCTTTCTCTGCCCCCACCCCCAATTTCCTACCACAGCCTCTTATTCAGTTTCTAGTGGAGGGGAAGCCATTCTGCAGACAACTGGCTCTGTGTGCAGATGCCTCCCGTGGAGGAATGGGCTCCTGAAAGCAGAGCTTTGTTTCCTGGGGTGGGGATGAGCTGTCCTCTCCTTGTCCCCAGATAACAGGAGGGGGGCACAGAATGTGATTAGGAGGCTTGCTGCATGCACGCATGCCTATGCCAGCAGTCAGTTCAAGGTGGTGCAGGGCTGCAGGAGCAGGCTTCGGACATTAAAGGAGCATCAGAGAAGAGGCAGTGGGTGAATCCGACTAAGTCCTGGATCAGGTCTCAGAAATCCTGGGTCAGAGTCCAGCTCTGTTTGTGCAACTTACTTGAGCTTTCAGCCTCTGCTTCCTGTGTTATAAGATGAGGATCCCAACAGTGCTAAGAATCAGTGAAAAGATGGGCTTAAGTATGTGCAGACATGAGGTTCCACTGGCTGCCCAGCACCCATCTTCCCATCTCTTGGCTTCACACCTTGATTTTCCCCTTGGAGCTGCCACTCCTCCAACTCTGAGTTCATGAGTTGCAGAAAGGTTGCCTCTCTCCTCAGCTTCAGGGGCAGGTGGGGCCCAGGTGGAGTCAGTTCCCTATCCCCAAATCTATTCCTACCAGGGGTGGGCAGTGGTACAAGTCATCTCTGGCCTTTGTCTATCTTAAAATGAGCACCACACAAAAGAACAGAGGCACAAGACAGAAAGATGACATTGTTTCAGCCCCTGGATACAGCCAGACCTGAAGTCAACATCCCTTACACGTTTGCAAGAGCCAATAAATACCATCTCTTTAGTCAATCCAAAGGGTTGAGTTGGAATTTCTGTAATTTGTAACTGAAAAAAATACAAAATGCAATCGTCACTTAATCAGATCCTTGCATTTCGTCACCCAAGTCTGAGGCTCAAGGAGGGCAACAGACCTGTCCCAGGTCACATAGCAAGTTAGCATCAGAGCTAGGGCTCTAGAAGTGCAGAAACTCCCATTCCAGCCACATTGCCTTGCCCACTGGGGTCTGCCGAGTTACACAACATGCAACTGCATCCACTCTCCCCAGCACCCATGTGAACTTGCAAGTTAACAAACAGCTTTGCAAACACGTCTTGTTCAGTTTCATAAGCCAATCCTGCAGAGTTTAGAAATCAATATTAAGAAAGCATATTTCCAGAACATGGGAAAAACTTTGTGTACCAAACTGTTCATTCAGCTTTATTTGCAACGGCAGTAACGAAGCCACCAGCCCAATAATGGGACACTGGCTCAACAAGTTGCAGCATATTCTTTGATGAAATATACCACAGGTCGGGTGCGGTGGCTTACCCCTGTAATCCCAGCACTTTGGGAGGCCGAGGCAGGTAGATCACTTGAGCCCAGGAGTTAGAGACCAGCTTCAGCAACATGGTGAAACCTCATCTCTACAAAAATTAGCTGGGCATGGTGGCTCACGCCTGTAGTGCCAGCTACTCAGTAGGCTGAGGTGGGAGGATTACTTGAGCCTGGGAGGTTGAGGCTGCAGTGAGCCGTGACTGTGCCACCTGCACTCCAGCCTGGGCAACAGAGTGAGACCCTGTCTCAAAAAAAAAAAAAAAAAAAAGTGGGGGGGAAAGAAATACCATACAATAATATTTATTTATTTATTTTTGAGATGGAGTCTCACTCTATCACCTAGGCTTGTGTGCAATGGCATGATCTTGGCTCACTGCAACCCCCACCTCTCAGGTTCAAGCAATTCTCCCGCCTCAGCCTCCCAAGTAGCTGGGATTATAGGCACCTGCCATCATGCCCGGCTAATTTTTGTATTTTTGTAGAGACAGGGTTTCACCATATTGGCCAGGCTGGTCTTGAACTCCTGATCTCAGGTGATCCACCAGCCTCAGCCTCCCAAAGTGCTGGGATTACAGGCATGAGCCACCTTGCCCGACCCCATACAACAATTTTTAGATGGTGATTCTGGAATTAGTTCATGCAACAACATGGAAATAAATTTGATACAACTTTAAGCGAAAAAAGCAGGCTAGAAATTGAACAATGGTGGTCTTTAAAGTGCAAATGAGCAGGATAAAGATTGGGAAGAAAAATTGCTGGCAGCGTTAGATTTTGTATTAGATGCGCTGGGATAATGGGTGGCTTTTCTTCTCTCTTTGATCTTTTCCAAACTATTAATAATGTGCTTTTGCTGCTTTTACTACGGAAAAAGTCCACTTGTTTCAATTTTTTAGTTATAATTAGGCCTTTCATACAGACATATCAGCAAAATGATGCTTCAATTCTTTCATGGAACGAGACAGCATAAATACTTTGATATATATATATCTAAATAAAACAAAAAGACTGATAAGTATAGATGTAACTGAAGACCAAAGTTCTCAGGGCAGTCAATCTGTGCTTCAGGGCAGTCAATCTGTGCTTCAGGCCGTCAAGTTGGCCTGAGTCTTACAGGGTGGAAGGATCTGGAAGGTTAAGGAGAAAGGCAAGACGGGTAGAAGAATGGCGCACATCAGTGCGTGGCGGCAGGACTAAATGGGGAATCTGCAGCCTGGCTGCATGTGACCCAGTGCTCATGCTGTGGGTGTATCAGAGGCACTTTGGGACATGTAAAGTTAGGCCAGAGTACTCAGGGTCTTCAAGGCTGTGCCAGCCCCCAGCCACTCCCACCTGCATTTTCTTTTTTTTTCTTTTTTTTTTTTTTTTTTTTTGAGACGAAGTCTTGCTCTGTCGCCCAGGCTGGAGTGCAGTGGCGCGATCTCGGCTCACTGCAAACTCCGCCTCCCGGGTTCACGCCATTCTCCTGCCTCAGCCTCCTGAGTAGCTGGGACTACAGGTGCCCGCCACCACGCCTGGCTAATTTTTTGTATTTTTTAGTAGACACAGGGTTTCACCGCGTTAGCCAGGATGGTCTCGATCTCCTGACCTCGTGATCTGCTCGCCTCAGCCTCCCAAAGTGCTGGGATTACAGGCGTGAGCCACCGCGCCTGGCTCCACCTGCATTTTCAGAAGTGTGCAGCACAGCCCTGATTGGGGCTCACTCCCTGAACAGCCAAGGAGAGAGACTGGGAGGGAGGGAGACCCCAGGGCCCTGCAGGAGTGGGCCAGGTGAAGGCCCATCCCAGACAGTCTTACAGTGGTGCTTGGTGCTTGGGCTGTGTGTGATGCCAAGTGGCCACCAGGGCAGGAGGGCTCTGCTGGCGACTAACAGAGGACAGAGGGGAGAGGAGATGGGAAATGAGCACCACGGGGGCTCTAAGTGGAAAGGGGCCTTCGAGAGCACCTGGTCCACTTTCCTAATTGGGCAAACTGAGATCCAAAAGGGGCCCATGACTTTCCCAGGGTCACTCAGAAAGTGAGTGGCAGAGTTAGATTCAGACTTGGTCTCTGGCCCCGAGGAGGGTGCACCTGCCACTCTTCCTTACTCAAGTGCAGTATATGCATACATTCTGTGTGTCTGAAGTGAAGACATTACAGAGGCTGGATGCGGTGGCTCATGCCTGTAATCCCAGCACTGTGGGAGGCTGAGGCGGGTGGATCACTTGAGGTCAGGAGTTCGAGACCAGCCTGGCCAAGATGGCAAAACCCCGTCTCTAGTGAAAATACAAATATTAGCCAGGCCTGGTGGTGGGCGCCTGTAATCCCAGCTATGCAGGGGGCTGATGCAGAAGAATCACTTGAACCCAGGAGACAGAGGTTGCAGTGAGCCAAAATTGTGCCACTGCACACTAGTCTGGGCAACACAGTGAGACTCCATCTCAAAAAAATAAAAGTAAATAAAAATAAATAAAGTTAATACATTACAGAGAAGGCTGAAACCCAGATCCCCTTTCACTCACCAGAAGTAACCCGTTGTTCAGTTTGCAATACATCATTCCAGACCCTGTCTATTCACTAAATATTATGTATCTATATATTCATAACGTACATAGCATTTGTTTTGTGACTGAATTTTTTGCTTAACAGAAATGTTATCATCGTGTGCAGTGTTCTGCAACTTATCTTTTCACCCAATATTTTATTCTGGATATCTTTCCATGTCAGCACCTAAAGATCTACCTCATTGTATTTGTTGTTGTTTGTTTTGAGATAGAGTCTCACTCTCTCGCCAAGCTGGAGTGCAGTGGCATGATCTTGGCTTACTGCAACCTCCGCCTCCTGGGTTCAAGCAATTCTCCTGCCTCAGCCTCCTGAGTGGCTGGGATTATAGGTGTGCACCACCACACCCAGCTAATTTTTATACTTTTAGTAGAGACAGAATTTCACCATCTTGGCCAGGCTGGTCTTGAACTCCTGACCTCAGGAGATCTACCTGCCTCGGCCTCCCAAAGTGTTGTGATTACAGGGTGAGCCACCATGTCCAGCCCCTACCTTATTGTTTTTAGCTGCTACCTGTTTTGTGCAATAGATTACTAGGGATAAAGGTAGCAAAGGGATAAGGTACTCCCTGAGTACACAGGAAGGCATCCCACCTCCTTTGTAGGGGGCTAAATGACTACATCTGGCCAATGGGCTACTAGCAGAAGTGACAAGGGTTGCTTCTAGTGAAAGGCAGTTAAAAGAAAGGCAAATTTATGGCCAGGCACGGTGGCTCACGCCTGTAATCCCAGCACTTTGGGAGGCCAAGGCAGGTGGATCACGAGATCAGGAGATCGAGACCATCCTGGCTAACACACGGTGAAACCCCGTCTCTACTAAAAATACAAAAAAATTAGGCCGGGTACGGTGGCTCACACCTGTAATCCCAGCACTTTGGGAGGCTGAGATGGGTGGATCATGAGGTCAGGAGATTGAGACCATCCTGGCTAACACGGTGAAACCCCGCCTCTAGTAAAAATACAAAAAACAAGCCAGGCGTGGTGGCGGGTGCCTGTAGTCCCAGCTACTCAGGAGGCTGAGGCAGGAGAATGGCGTGAGCCCGGGAGGCGGAGCTTGCAGTGAGCTGAGACTGCGCCACTGCACTCCAGCCTGGGTGACACAGTGAGGCTCTGTCTCAAAAAAAAATAAAAATAAAAATAAATTAACCAGGTGTGGTGGCGGGTGCCTGTAATCCCAGCTACTGGGAGGCTGAGGCAGGAGAATGGCGTGAACCCAGGAGGTGGAGCTTGTAGTGAGCCCAGATCGCACCACTGTACTCCATGCAGCCTGGGCGACACAGCGAGACTCCGTCACACACACACACACACACACACACACACACACACACACAAAAGAAAGGCGAGTTTCAAGCCCCTCCTCTTCCCCTGAGGCTTTTTCCGTCTCCTTATCCCTAAAGCCTCTTGTTGAGATGGTGGGTCATTATGAGATAGAGAATGCCTCAGCCTGAGCTGGATACATAGCCTGAGCTAAATACAACTTTGTGTGTTACACCATGGAGATATCAGAGTTAAGTTGTTTCTGCAGTTTAACCTTGTCTATCCTGACTGACATAGTCTTGGGTGTAATCGTTTTTTCAAACAATTCCTTTCACCGATTGGTTGCTCCTGTTACCGTTACAGACAGTGGTACAAGTAATCTTCCTGTCTGCGCCTCCTCATGCATTCTCAAGCGCCTTTCTCTAGTTTTTTTTTCCATTTACATCCCTGCATGCATCTCCGCTCTGCTCCACCATCCTGGAGGCCTGGCCCCTGTAGGCTGCATTTTCCTGCCAGCTCCCTTGCCCTCTGGCTTCTGTTGGGTTCTACCAGTGGGAAGTGCCGGCAGGAGACTGGAAGGCTGGAGAGGGAGGTCATCACTGCTTCCCTGTGGAGTCTGGCAGTGGCTGTGCCTTCCATGAGTACAGCTCCAAGCAGGCAGACCCTAGCCCACAGCCAGCTGCAGCTCCCACTGGGGTCTCCCCTCCACTTGCCCTCTAAGCCTGGGGTGACAATGGCACCCCGCTGTGCTTATTGGGGGGGGGGTACCTTGACAACCTTTGCAGGGTCTGGTGACGCTGTCTACACCACACAAGTCATGAAAACTCTACTGTTTATTTGGCCCACCTGGAGTGAATTGTGTAACTTGACAGGAATCTAAGTAATACACCTGACATTGGTGTGTTGTCAGTTTCAATACATGCTTCCAGATTGCCCGTCCAGGTCACAATACAGCTTGCCTGACCAGGTCATCTGGTGGCCCTGTGGTGAGATGGGGACATGGGGCTTCCTCCATGGGGCTGGGACTCTGGCTGCTAAGAAGCAAACTCCAGCTTTAAGCAGGTGTCCAGGCCAATCAACAGTCCTCACACTGGGGCACCAGGCACCTTCCCCTGTCCTGCTCAGAGGCAGGATAGAAACCTGACAAGGGTGTTTTCACCAACCTGAGAGTTTCGGCCCCTCTCTGGGGACTGTTTGCGTTTCGGGTCACAGTGTTGGCTGCCCCCACCCCCTTCTTTCCTCTGCCAAATTGACATTCCCCAGGCTGTCAGGCCTCCAGGAAGCGGGCAGTTCCTGCCCTGTGGTGCCTACAGGGAATCTCCTCTTTCTATTCCAAGCACTTCCACATCCTCGTGACATTTCATCCCCTTCACACAGTCCAGCAAATGAGAGGTGCTGCCCTCATCCCACAGACAGAGGCTGAGGCCCACCAAGGGGCGACAGCTTGCCCAAGGTCACAGAGCAAATTAGGGGCTGAAGAAACACAAAGAAAACTGACCGCCAGCCCAGTAGCCACTCCCTGTTATTCTCCTCCCTCCCCTAACTCAGCCACCGGACAGGGATCAACCTCTCTCCAGTTCCTTCATGCATTCAGCAAATACTGTGTTGGCATTTACTGAGTACCAGCTGCAGAGGCTGCAAACTATGGCCCTCTGACCAAAGTGGGCCCACTGTCTGCTTTTATTTTTTTATTTTTATTTTTAATTAATTTATTTTATCAATTTTTTTTTTGAGACGGATTCTCACTCTGTCACCCAGGCTGGAGTGCAGTGGCGTGATCTCGGCTCACTGCAACCTCTGCCTCCCGGGTCAAGCGATTCTCCTGTCTCAGCCTCCCGAATAGCTGGGAATACGGGCACGCGCCACCACGCCCAGCTAATTTTTGTATTTTTAGTAAAGACGGGGTTTCACCATGTTGGCCAGGCTGGTCTCGATCTCTTGACCTGGTGATCCGCCCACCTCGGCCTCCCAAAGTGCTGGGATTACAGGCGTGAGTCACCACAACCGGTCGTCTGCTTTTATAAAGTTTTATTGAAGCACAATCACTCCCACCCATTTGTGTATTGTCTATAGCAGCTTTCTGCTACAAGGGCAGAGCTGAGTTGCAGCAGAGACCATCTGGCTCCCAAGCCTGAAAATTTATTATCTGTCTCTTTGCAGAAAAATTTGCCCATGAACCACATTATGATTTTCTAGGCCATTTTGTCTTCACGAGCCCTTTTTGTGAAAAAAAAAAAATTACAAATATATGTAATATATGTTATATATATAATTGTATAATTTTTAAATTATAAATATCTACAGCCAGGCGCGGTGGCTCACGCCTGTAATCCCAGCACTTTGGGAGGCCGAGGCGGGCAGATCACGAGGTCAGGAGATCGAGACCATCCTGGCTAACATGGTGAAACCCCGTGTCTACTAAAAATACAAAAAAAAAATTTAGCCGGGTGTGGTGGTGAGCACCTTGTAGTCCCAGCTACCCGAAAGGCTGAGGCAGGAGAATCACTTGAACCTGGGAGATGGAGGTTGCAGTGAGCCAAGATCATGCCACTGCACTCTAGCCTGGGTGACAGAGCAAGACTCTGTCTCAAATTAAAAAAAAAAAAAAAAAAAAAAAAAAAAAAATATATATATATATATATATATATACATATTTACAATTTGTATAATTTTTGTATGCATATACAAACAAAATTATATGTTATAACTGTGTTGATATCAAAACAAATACAACCCAGGCCAGGCACAGTGGCTCACATCTGTAATCCCAGCACTTTGGGAAGCCAAGGCAGGTGGATCATTTGAGGTCAGGAGTTCGAGACCAGCTTGGCCAACATGGTGAAACTTTGTCTCTACTAAAAATACAAAAATTCTCTGGACATGGTGGTGCGTTCCTGTAATCCCAGCTACCAGGGGGCTGAACCAGGATAATCGCTTGAAACTGGGAGGTGAAGGTTGTAGTGAGCCAAGATCGTGCCACTGCACTCCAGCCTGGGTGACAGAACAAGACACTCTGTCTCAAAAAAAAAAAAAAAAAAAAAAAATTACAGGTTGGATTGGATTCTTTCTTGTTTTGTTTTGTTTTTTTTGAGACAGAGTCTCATTCTATCACCAAGCTGGAGTGCAGTGGCGCAATCTTGGTTCACTCACTGCAACCTCCGCCTTCTGGGTTCAAGCGATTCTCCTGCCTCAGCCTCCTGAGTAACTGGGACTACAGGCGTGCGCCACCATGCCCAGCTAATTTTTTTATTTTTAGTAGAGACGGGGTTTCACCATGTTGGCCAGGATGGTCTTGATTGCTTGACCTCGTAATCCGCCTGCCTCGGCCTCCCAAAGTGCTGGGATTACAGGCATGTGCCACTGTGCCCGGCTGGATTTTTTTTTTTTAGCTGACTAAAAAAACTTACAGGCTGGGCACAGTGGTGGCTCACGCCTATAATCCCCGCACTTTGGGAGGCCGAGGTGGACAGATCACTTGGGGTCAGGGACTCGAGACCAGCTTGGCCAACATGGTGAAACCCTGTCTCTACTAAAAATACAAAAATTAGCCAGGCATGGTAATGTGTGCCTATAATTCCAGCTACTTGGCAGGAGAATCGCTTGAGCCAGGGAGGCGGAGTTTCCAGTGAACCGAGATCATACCATTGCACTCCAGCCTGGGTGATAAAGCGAGACTCAGTCTCCAAAAAAAAAAAAAAAATTACAACATGTTTGTGGGTTCCTAGAAATATTGTAGGCCCTAGGCACTGGGCCTGCTGGGCCTCATGGAGAAGTGAGCCCTGAGTTTGTCACACAGGGGTCCTCCCATTGCTGAGAATAGAGCCCCCAAAGGAGACACCCACTGTGGTTACCCCCTCTCCTTAGTCCTTATCCCAATAGTAGGGGGCAGGGGAAAATTTTGACAGCTTTGAGGGGAACCATTAAGGGCTTAAACAAAATGATTGCATACAATTCTTGGGATGAAAATTTTAATTCTTTTTCAAATGCCTACATTTCATAATTAAAAAAAAAAAAAACTTTTGAGACAGGGTCTCCCTGTGTAACCCAGGCTAGGGTGCAGCAGCATGATCACAGCTCACTGCGGTCTTGAAGTCCTGGGCTCAGTCGATCCTCCCACCTCAGCCTCCCAGGAAGCTGGGACTACAGGCACATGCCACCATGCCTGGCTAATTTTTAAAAATTTTTTTGTAGAGATGAGGGCTCACTTTCTTGCCCAGGCTGGTCTCAAACTCCTGGGCTCAAGCGATCCTCCTGCCTTGACCTCCCAAAGTGCTGAGATTAAGGCGTAAGCCACCATGTCCAGTCTTACATTTTAAATTAGTTTTTTTTTGGAATAAATAATAAATGTATGTGGGTAAAAACATGTTTTGAAAGCCCCAAATTATCTGCAAAGCTGGGTAACTCTCCCTCCCACCACAGCAACCCCTCCCCTTCCCATCACTGACTACAATTCCTTCCAAATAGATTGTGTAATACAAAAAGAGATGCATACTTCTTAAGTCTATAGTCTTATGCAGAAATTCACCTTGATTTTGTTAAATTGCTCTTTAGTATTCCATTCAATCAAATAACTCAATTAGGATATTTGGGCATTTCCAATTGTTTTCTATTACAACAATGGAACAACAAATACTTCTGTACAGACCAGCTATTCCTGAATATTAGGCATGCTTTTTTTTCCGCTTCCAAAATAATTACTCAGAAAAGATAGAGTCCCTGTATGTACGAGTTCTCATAAAAGGTCTTGCATTACCTGATGTTTTCTGATCATTTTAAACAAGGAAGTACTATTTGGGGAAGACACAATAGCCTGAAATGACCTCAGAGAATTTTAATTTGGGATGTTTATGGCAGTCATCCAAAAGAATTAGTTGGGGTGAAAAAGAGGCAAATTTAATGCAGATTTAGTAATTTTTCCTGGGGATATGACTTCACAATTCCAAGTGTTAAATAACACTGTAAACAAGTCCTTTCAAGATTACTTTGAAAGTGGTACTTTAGGCCAGGCATAGTGTCTCACGCCTGTCAATCCCAGCACTTTGGGAGGCCAAGCCGGGTGGATCACTTCAGGCCAGGAGTTCGAGACCAGCTTGACCAACATGGTGAAACCCCATCTCTACTAAAAATACAAAAATTAGCCAGGCATGGTGGCAGGTTCCTGTAATCCCAGCTACTCAGGAGGCTGAGGCAGGAGAATCGCTTGAACCTGGGAGGCGGAGGTTGCAGTGAGCCAAGATCATGCAACTACACTCCAGCCTGGGTGACAGAGCAAACAAACAAACAAACTCAAAACAAACAAACAAAAAACAGACTAAATTAGGTAAAAGGTAAAAACAGTCCAAGTGTCCATGAACAGATGAACAGATAAAATGTGATCTAGCTATACAATGGAATATGATTCAGCCATAAAAGTGATGAAGTTCTGATACATGCTGCGACATGGATGAACCTTGAAAACATTATGCTGAGGGAGATACACCAGACACAAAAGAACAAATATTGTGAGAACTACCTAGAATAGGCGAATTCAGCCTGTGTGGTGGCTCATGCCTGTAATCTCAGCACTTTGGGAGGCCGAGGCAGTTGGATCAATTGAGTCCAGGAGTTCAAGACCAGCCTGGGCAACATGGTGAAACCATATCTCTCCAAAAAAAAAAAAAAATTAATTAGAATAGGAAAATTCATGGAGATAGAAAGGAGATTGGAAGTTCCCAGGGGTTGGGATTATGGAGAAATAAGGAGTTATTGCTTTATGGTTAGAGTCTCTAGGGTGATTTAAAGCTTTGGAAATGGTGATGGTTGTACAATATTATGAACGAAATTAACACCACTAAATTCACTCTAAAAATGGATAAAATTGCAACTTTTTAAATATATAAAAACCACAATGTAAAACATCTTTTAAGAGAAACCTATGTAAAAACAAAAAATAAAGAAAAACAAGGACGGGCACGGTGGCCCACGCCTGTAATCCCAGCACTTTGGGAGGCCAAGGCGGGCGGATCACGAGGTCAGGAGATGGAGACTAACCTGGCTAACATGGTGAAACCCCGTCTCTACTAAAAATACAAAAAATTAGCTGGGCGTGGTGGCGGCGCCTGTAGTCCCAGCTACTCGGGAGGCTAAGGCAGGAGAATGGCCTGAACCCGGGAGGCAGAGCTTGCAGTGAGCCGAGATCGCACCACTGCCCTCCAGCCTGGGCGACAGAGCAAGACTCTGTCTCAAAAAAAAAAAAAAAAGAAAAGAAAAGAAACAAAACAAAACTTTATATCATAAAGAAAGAAATGAAGTCAAGGCCGGGCGTGGCTCACGCCTATAATCCCAGCACTTTGTGGGACCCAGGTGGATGGATCACCTGAGATCAGGAGTTGGAGATGAGATCACACCACTGCACTCCAGTCTGGGCAACAGAGTGAGGCCCTGTCTCAAAAAAAAGAAAAAGAGAGAAAGAGAGAAAAATAGAAAGAGAGAAGGAAGGAAGGAAGGAAAGGGAGGGAGGTAGGGAGGGGAGGGAAGGAAGGAAGGAAAGAAGGAAGGAAGGAAGGAAAGGGGAAGACAGAAAGGAGAATGAAAGAGAAAGAAATGAAGTCAAAACGGAAAAACAACAACAGGCCAAACCAACCAGCGATGTTGGAAGTAAAGACAGTGTTTCTCCTTGTGGTGGGGGATAGTGACCAGGAGGATCATGAGGGGCATTCTGGTGAACTGGGCATGTTCTGTTTCTTTTTTTTTTTTTTGAGGAGGAGTCTCACACTGTCCCCCAGGCTGGAGTGCAGTGGCGCAGTCTCAGCTCACTGCAAGCTCCGCCTCCCGGGTTCACGCCATTCTCCTGCCTCAGCCTCCCGAGTAGCTGGGACTACAGGCGCCGCCACCACGCCTGGCTAATTTTTTTGTATTTTTAGCAGAGACGGCGTTTCACTGTATTAGCCAGGATGGTCTCGATCTCCTGACCTCGTGATCCACCTGCCTTGGCCTCCCAAAGTGCTGGGATTACAGGCGTGAGCCACCGCACCTGGCCTCATGTTCTGTTTCTTGATCTGGGTGCTGGTCAAATGAATGGGTTCTTTTTTGTTGGTTGTTTGGTTGGTTGTTTTTTTTTTTTTTTTGTATGTTTTTTGAGATGGAGTTTTGCTCTTGTTATCCAGGCTGGAGTGAAGTGGGGTGATCTCGGCTCACTGCAATCTCCACCTCCTGGGTTCAAGCGATTCTCCTGCCTCAGCCTCCCAAGTAGCTGGGATTACAGGCGTGCACCACCACACCCAGCTAATTTTTGTATTTTTAATAGAGACGGGGTTTCATCATATTGGCCAGGCTGGTCCTGAACTTCTGACCTCAGGTGATCCACCCGTCTTGGCCTCCCAAAGTGCTGAGATTACAGGCGTGAGCCACCTCGCCCACAGAATGGGTTCTATTTGTGAAAATTCATCAAATGGTTTGTATATATGAAAAAAATGAAATATACCTGCAGGATGTAATATTTTGCAAGTAGATAATTGTGACTTGTGTTAAATTTCCAGGGACAGCATCTTAGATGTTACAAACATTTAGATGGCAGTGACACTGGAAAGCTGAGAGACACTCAGACAGTGAGCACAGTGACAATGACGAAGAGAGGCAGATGCATGTGCAGAGAGTCATGTACAATGTAGACATACTCATTTAATGGAATATGACAGAGGGGACAAAGCTACATTTCTAAAGTTGTACCTAATATGTGATTTTAAAGTATATATGTGGCTGGGCGTGGTGGCTCATGCCGGTAATCCCAGCACTCTGAGAGTCTGAGGCAGGCAGATCACTTGAGGTCAGGAGTTCAAGGCCAGCCTGGCCAACACAGCAAACCTCCATCTCTACAAAAAATACAAAAATTAGCTGGCCTTGGTGTCACAGGCCTGTCGTCCCAGCTACCTGGGAGGCTGAGGCAAGAGAATCACTTGAATCCGGGAGGTGGAGGTTGCAGTGAGCCGAGATCACGCCACTGCACTCCAGCCTGGGTGACAGAGTGAAACGCTGTCTCTAAATAAATAAATATAAATAAAAAGAAATGCAGGAGCTGGCATTTGGGAGTTGGGCCAGCACACCTGGGCCAGTAAAGGCAGGGGCCTGACTGCATCTGCCACACCCTAAAATCATGTCTCCCCAGTGTGTCTTCTTGAGTGAATGAGAGAGCCAGCTGGTATAGGAAAGTGTGTTCCAGCAAATCATTTCACATTAGCCACAGGCCCAGTGACAAGAGCTGTTTCTGGCTCATGGCTTTCCAGAACCCATCCTGCCTTCTTCTCATACCAGTACCTGGATTTTCCTTGGAGGAATCAAAGCCATGCTCAGTTTTCAGTCCCCTTGGTTGAGGAAAGGGTTGGCTTGACCCCTCAGATGCAAGGCTGGTCACATGATCCAGGCCTGGCCAATCAGCAGATTCCACCCTGCTGGCTATAGTGATTGGTTCAGAGATGACCGCATGACCCAAGGTTGCTGTGCCCCATCAAAGCTAACTTTGCAATGGCGCAATCTTGGCTCACTGCAACCTCCACCTCCTGGGTTCAAGCGATTCTCCCGCCTCAGCCTCCTGAGTAGCTGGGATTACAGGTGCCCACCACCATGCCCAGCTAATATTTGTATTTTTAGTAGAGATGGGGTTTCACCATGTTGACCAGGCTGGTCTTGAACTCCTGACCTCAGATGATCCACCCGCCTAGGCCTCCCAAAGTGCTGGGATTACAGGCGTGAGCCACCGGGCCCAGCCAGAAAGGTGGTTTTCTGATGGGCTTGTGGATTCAGAGCTGCTGGATGCCATCCCACCTGGCTGAGCGGTGTGCATGTTGGAGATGTGGCCTGCCTGAGAGTCCCTGCAGGGGAAGTGAGATGGATTACTGGTGACACTGAAACCTGGATGCACTTAGGCCTAAAGTGAGATCTACCTCGCCACTGTTCAGATACCAGGACCAGTAAGTGCCCTTTTAAACTTAAGTCAGTCTGAGTTGGGCTTCAGTTGCTTGCAACCAATAGAGGGCTGACCAGTGCACCAAGGCACCTTGACATATGTGGTCACTGAGAGTAATTGTGGGGCTTCCCTTTTTCAGATATTTTTGAGGAAGAATCACCAAACTGCATCTCCTACTGGGAGGTGCCCAGACTTGGATGTTCTCTCCCATCATGGAGGTTCACAGCAGCAAAGCCTGGGGAGACTGGCAGCCCATAGGCCAAAGAGGCCCCTGCCTTACCTGCACCATTCCTTCCCTTTTCTCTCCTTTCTCTACAGGCCATTGGCCAGTGGCAGCAGCCTCCTCATCCTCTCCAGACACACTCTGGATCTTGGTTCTGCTCTTCTTGCCTCTGGAGAGCCCCAACACTCCCCATTCCCAGTTGACTCAGCTCAGGTATGTCCTCTTTGTGATGCCTACCTAGACAAGACACCCAAACAGAACCAGAACCACTGATCCCTCCTTTGTGTTCCTACTGCATTGTTTGTATCCTTTTATTTAACGCAGAACTTGGCACTCACTATGATCAGTCATTTATTTCTTGCTTCTTTTTATTTACTGAATGTCTTCTGTGTTCCCAGGACTGTTTTGTGCATTGGGAATACAGCAAAGAACAACACAGAGAAAATCTATTTTCATGGAGTTTATATTCTAGTAGGGAAACAGACGTAAAAATCAATACATCAGTGAACTACACATGGTGTGCCTGAGAGTAAGTGTTACTGAGAAAAATCGAGCAAGGAAAGAGGACAGTGATATGGTTTGGCTGTGTCCCCACCCAAATCTCATCTTGAATTGTAGCTCTTATAATTCCCACCTGTTGTGGGAAGGATCCAGTGGGAGATAATCGAATCATGGGGGCGGTTTCCCCCATACTGTTCTCGTGGTAGTGAATAAGTCTCACAAAGTCTCATGGTTTTATAAGGGGAAACCCCTTTCACTTGCTTCTCATTCTTTTTGCCTGCCACCATGTAAGACGTGCCTTTATTCTTCCATCACCTTCCACCATGATTGTGAGGCCTCCCCAGCCATGTGGAACTGTGAGTCTATTAAACCTCTTTCTTTATAAATTACCGAGCCTCAGGTATGTCTTTATTAGAAGCATGATAACAAACTAATATAGACAGGGAGGGCTGGAATGTGGAGGGAGGGTATGCTTTGAAATAATGTGGTTGGCCACACAGTGGCTCATGCCTGTAATCCCAGCACTTTGGAAGGCCGAGGTGGGCAGATCACTTGAGCTCAGGATTTCAAGTAGCCTGGCCAACATGGTGAAACTCAATCTCTACTAAAAATAATCCCAACACTTTGGGAGGATTGCCTCAGGTGGATTGCCTCAGGTCAAGAGTTCCAGACCAGCCTGGCTAACATGGTGAAACCCCATCTCTACTAAAAATACAAAAATTAGCTGGGCATGGTGGTGCACGCCTGTAGTCCCAGCTACTTGGAGGCCCAACACTTTGGGAGGCCAAGGTGGGTGGATTGCCTGAGGTCAGGAGTTCAAGCCAGCCTGGCTAACATGGTGAAACCCCATCTCTACTAAAAACACAAAAATTAGCTGGGCGTGGTGGCTGATGCCTGTAGTCCCAGCTACTCGAGAGGCTGAGGCAGGAGAATAGCATGAATCCAGGAGGTGGAGGTTGCCTCCGGGGTGCAGTGAGCTGAGATCGTGCCACTGTACTCCAGCCTGGGCAGCAGAGCAAGACTCCATCTCAAAAAAAGAAAAAAAAAATTAGCCAGTCATGGTGGTGGGTGCCTGTAATCCCAGCTACTTGGGAGGCTGAGGCAGAATCATTTGAACCTGGGAGACAGAGGCCGCAGTGAGCCAAGATCGTGTCACTGTGCTCCAGCCTGGACAACAGACTGAGTGAGACTCCATCTCAAAATAAATAAATAAATAAATAAATAAATAAATAAATAAATAGATAAATAAATAATGTGATCAGGGAAAGTCTTCCTTAGAAGGTCATCTTTGAGTAAAGGCCTGCAGGAGATTAGGAAGTGTAGTGGGTTGAATGGTGGCCCTGAAAAGATGCATCCACATCCTATTACCCAAAACCTATGAATGTAACCTTATTTAACAAAAGGTCTTTGAAGATGTCATTAAGGATCTCAAGATGAGATCATCCAGGTTTATCCAAGTGGGCCCTAAGTCCAATGACAAGTATCTTACAAGAAAAACACACAGAGGGGTGGGCGTGGTGGCTCACGCCTGTAAGGAGGCCGAGGCAGGTGATCACTTGAGGTCAGGAGTTCGACACCAGCATGGCCAACATGGTGAAACCCCGACTGTACTAAAAATACAAAAATTAGCCAGGCATGGTGGTGCACACCTGTAGTCCCAGCTACTCAGGAGGCTGAGGCATGAGAATCGCTTGAACCCAGGAGGCGGAGGTTGCAGTGAGCTGAGATCACAACACTGCACTCCAGCCTGGGCGACAGAGCAAGACTGCATCTTTAAAAACAAAAACAAAAACAAAACAAAAAACCACCACACACACGGAGATACACAGAAAGGCGAAGACCAGGTGAAGATGGAGGCAGAGATTGAAGTGATGCAGCCACAAGCCAAGGAACACTTGGAGCCACCTAAAGCTGGAAGGGACAAGGAATTATTCTCCCCTAGACTTCAGAGGAAGTGTGTCCTTTGATCTAGGAATTTGGGGCTCCAAAACTGAGAATAAATTTCTGTTCTTAAGTCACCAAGTTTGTGGTAGTTTGACATGGCAGCCTGTCTTAGTCCCTTTGTGTGGCCATAGGGGATTACCTGAGGCTGGGTAATTTATTGAGAAAAGAGTTTTATTAGGCTGACAGTTCTGCAGGCTGTACCAGAAGCATGGCGCCGGCCTCTGCTCAGCTTCTGGGGAGAGCTTTGTGCTGCTTCCACTTATGGCAGAAGGCTAAGGGGAGCCAGCATACAGTGATCACATGCTGAAAGTGAAATGGAGAAAAAGAGGAGGACGTGCCCAGCTCTTCTCAACAACTGCTTCTCATGGGAACTGAGTGAGAACTCACCCACTTCCATGAGAATGGCACCAAACCAGGCTGGGCGGAGTGGCTCACGCCTGTAATCCCAGCACTTTGGGAGGCCAAGATGAGAGGATCATGAGGTCAGGAGATCGAGACCATCCTGGTTAACACAGTGAAACCCCGTCTCTATTAAAAACACAAAAAAATTAGCCGGGCGTGGTGGCGGGTGCCTGTAGTCCCAGCTACTCAGTAGGCTGAGGTGGGAGAATGGCATGAACCCAGGAAGCGGAGTTTGCAGTGAGCCGAGATCGCGCTACTGCACTCCAGCCTGGGCAACAGAGCAAGACTCCGTCTCAAAAAAACAACAAAAAAAAAGAATGGCACCAAGCCATTTACGAGGGATCCACCCCTGTGATCCAAACACCTCCCACCAGACCCTACCTCCAGCATTAGGGATCAGATTTCAAGATGAGACTAGGCAGGGCCAAATAAACCATACCCAACCACAGCACAGTCCTGGAAACAAATATGGATTTCGGTACTAGGCGTGGGTTGCTGCTGTAACAAATACCTAAAATGAGGAAATAGCTTTGGAATTGGATAATGGGTAGAGGCTGGAAGAATTTGGAGGTACATAATAGAAAAAAGCCTACATTGCCTTGAGTAGACTGTTGGTAAAAAAAAAAAATATATATATATATATATATATAGATAGATAGATAGATAGATAGATAGATAGATATAGATATTAAAGATGCTGATGTTGGCTGGGTGCGGCGGCTCATGCCTATAATCTCAGCACTGTGGGAGCCTGAGGCGGGCGGATCACTTGAGGTCAGGAGTTTGAGACCAGCCTGGCCAACATGGTGAAACCCCATCTCTACTAAAAATACAAAAATTAGCCGGGCGTGGTGGGGGCGCATGTAATCCCAGCTACTGGAGAGGCTGAGGCAGAGGCTGATATCGCGCCACTGCACTCCAGCCTGGGCGACAGAGTGAGACTTTGTCTCCAAAATAAAATAAAATAAAATAAAAATAAATAAATAAATAAAGATGCTGGGTGGGCGCAGTGGCTCACACTTGTAATCCCAGCACTTTGGGAGGCCGAGGTGGGCGGACCACAAGGTCAGGAGTTCAAGACCAGCCTGACCAACACAGTGAAACCCCGTCTCTACTAAAAATACAAAAAATTAGCTGGGCATGGTGGTGGGTGCCTGTAATCCCAGCTACTCGGGAGGCTGAGGTAGGAGAATCACTTGAACCTGGGAGGTGAAGGTTGCAGTGAGCTGAGATGGAGCCACTACACTCCATCCTGGGTGCCAGAACTAGACTCTATCTCAAAAAAAAAAAAAAACAAAACAAAACAGATGCTGATGTTAAGGGCTCAGAAGGAAATTAGGAACATGGAAGAGAAAACTTCCATAAACTTAAATAATATATAGTTATGAACAGAATGTTGGTGGAAATATGAACATTAAAGGCATTTCTGGTGAGAGTTCAGAAGGAAAAGAGGAACATGGTTTTGTTCTGTTTTGTTTTGTTTTATTTTTGAGACAGAGTCTTGCTCTGTTGCCCAGGCTGGAGTGCAGTGGTGTAATCGCAGCTCACTGCAGCCTCAACCTCCTGGGCTCAAGCAATCCTCCCACCTTGGCCTCCTGAGTAGCTGGGACTACAGGCACAAACCACCATGCCTGGCTAATTTTTTTTTTTTTTTTGTAGAGAGAGTCTCCCTATTTTGCCCAGGCTGGTCTTGAACTCCTGGCCTCGAGCAATCTTCCCACCTTGGCCTCCCTAAGTGCTGGGATTACAGGCAAGAGCCACTGTGCCCAGCTAAGAAATGAGGAACATGTTATTGAAAACTGGAGAAAAGGAGATCCTGGTTATATGGTGACAGAAAACTTGGCTGAAGTGTGTTTCACTGTTGTGTGGAAAGTAGAACTTGTTAAGCAATGAACTTAGATATTTAGTGAGGAGAATTCCAAGCAAAGTGTTAAAGGTATGGCCTGATTTCTCTTTGTGGCTTATAGTAAAATAAGAGATGAAGGAAATAAACTGAGGAAGGAACTGTTAAGCAAAAAGGAACCAGTGCTTGTGGATTTAAAGTTTTCTTGGCCTATCCAGATTGCAAAGGATGTTAAAATGAGGAAATTTACTGTTGGAAAAGCATGCTGTGGAGAGAGAAACAAAAATATATCTAGACAACTTTGTGCTGAAGAGATTAGGTGTGTGACTTATGCATGGATTTGCTCAATCATTTTCACAGAAGCCAGGGATAAAATAGAGATGAACTCAACCAGGAAATATATGTGGAGGTGCCTCTTGTCTAATGGCATGAATCCCTGTTAAATACATGGGAGACCCACAAGGTTTTTGAAAGTATTATACCAGCAGAAACACTGCCAGCTTAGACCAAAAGGGATGGAGACAAGACAAAATGAAAGAAGGCTATTGGACCTGCAAAATTCTACAGACAACAACTGGGCTGGACAGGGCTGCTGAGAGTGGATCATTGAGCCAAAGAGAATCATCCTCAGGCCTTGGAACCTATCGGAATTGGACCTGATGGATTTTGGACTTGCTTGGGACTCATAACCCATATAATCCCTCTGCTTTCTCCATTTTGGAATGGAAATATCTGTCCTATGCCTGTCCCCCATGATATTTTGGAAGCATGTAATTTTTTTCCTAGTTTCATACGTCCATAGGTGGAGAGGAATTTTGCCTTAGGATGGAACATATCCCAGTTCTCACCCATTCCTAATTTCCTAATGAGATATGGGACTTTTTTGAGATAATTATCTTTAGATGAAATTTTGGATTTTGAGGTAATACTGTAATGGGCCCGCATGTGGTGGCTCACGCCTGTAATCCCAGCAGTTTGGGAGGCCAAGGCTGGTGGATCACCTGAGGTCAGAAGTTTGAGACCAGCCTGGCCAACATGGTGAAACCCCGTCACTACTACGAATACAAAAATTAGCTGGGTATGGTGGCACGTGCCTGTAATCTCAGCTACTTAGGAGGCTGAGGCAGGAGAATCACTCGAACCCGGGAGGTGGAGTTTGTAGTGAGCTGAGATCATGCCACCACACTCCAGCCTGGGAAACAAGAGTGAAACTTCATCTGAAAACAACAACAACAACAACAAACTAATGGATGGAGACTTAGGGGATGTTGTGATGGGGTCAATGTATTTCACTCATGAATTTGGGGGCACTTGAGAATGGACTGTGGTGGGTTGGATGGTGGCCCCCAAAAAGATATGTCAGTGTCCTAGTCCCCAAAATCTGTGAATGTAACCTTATTTGGGAAAAGAGTTCTTGCCGTTAAGGATCTCTAGATGGTAGATTATCCAGGTGGACCCTAATCCAACGACAAGTATCATTATAAGAAACACACAAAGGAAGACAGATGGAGAGGAGAGGGCCATGTGAAGACAGAGGCAGCCATAAGCCAAGGAACATGGAGCCACCAGAAGCTGGAAGATGCTGGAATTCTCCCTTGGAGCCTTTGGAAGGGGAGTGATTTTGGACCTCTGGCCTCCAGAACTGTACGAGAATGAAATTCTTTTGTTTGAGCCACCACGTTTGTGTCATTTGTTATGGCAGCCATGGGAGACTAATACAGGAAGAAAATAATGTGGCCCTGTGGTGAGGAATGTTCCAGGAAGAGGGACTGGCACGGCCAGAGGCCCTGAGGCAGGGATTGTGCTTGGTGAGTTATGGAAAAGCAAGGAGCCACAGCAGCTGGAACCGATTGAACGGGGACAGTGGCGGGAGTGAGGTCAGAGGGGCTGCCGGGGACCAGATGACGTGAGATCCTGTAGAACCTTGTTGGCTTTTACCTGGAGTGAGGTGCGGCAGATGAGTGACACAGTTGGACTTTCAGCTTAAATAAACAAAGGAATAAATGAGCACACAGCAGCCATCCCATCATATCCCAGTTACTTCCCCGTCTGTCTACCCTGCTAAACCATGGATGCTCCTGAGGGCAGGGGCTATGCCTTAAGATTTTTTCTTTTGCATCCTTACGGTCCAACACTAACAATCAAAGAGCTCCTACAAATCAATAAGAAAAAAAAATAGGTAAAAGAAAAAGAAATTCAAGTGTCTAACAAACATGAAAAGAGGCTGGCTCGGCTGGGCGCGGTGGTTCATGCCTGTAATCCCAGCACTTTGGGAGGCTGAGGTGGGCAGATCACGAGGTCAGGAGATCGAGACCATCCTGGCTAACACGGTGAAACCCCGTCTCTATTAAAATACAAAAAAATTAGCCGGGCGTGGTGGCAGGTTCCTGTAGTCCCAGCTACTCAGGAGGCTGAGGCAGGAGAATGGCGTGAACCCAGGAGGCGGAGCTTGCAGTGAGCTGAGATCGCGCCACTGCACTCCAGCCTGGGCAACACAGTGAGACTCTGTCTCAAAAAAAAAAAAAAAGAAAAGAAAAGAGGCTGGCTCAATTACGTTCCTAGAGAAATTGCATTCCAAGAGATACAAAAACGTGCTCACAAAAAGACTTGTATATGAATGTGCTTATAGCAGCTTTATTAATAATAAGTAAAAATGTAAGCAGACTAGGTGTCCATCGACAAGAGAATGAATAAACAATGGTCTATCTATACAGTGAAACACTGTTTAACAATAGTAGTTAACTATTGCAATGACTATCACAAATGGATAAACCCCACATATATAATGTTGAATGAAAGAAGCCAGACACAAGCAGGCACAAGTGGCATGATTCCATTTATAGGAAGTTTCAGAATAGGCAAAACTAATCTATGATGAAAACATAAGAGCAATCAGGCATTCCTGCTTGCCTCAGGAGAGTGGAGGGTTAGATATTGACTAGGTAGCAGGTGATGGGGATGCAGTTTTCTGGGGGTCACGTTCTATATCATGATAGGGCACTGGGTTACACAGGTGTATGCATTTGTCATCACTAATCAAATAACACACTTAAGATTGTTACATTACCAGACGAGGTGTGGTAACTCATGCCTGTAATCCCAGCACTTTGGGAAGCCAAGGTGGGAGGATTGTTTGAGGCCAAGAGTTCGAGACCAACCTGGGCAACATAGTGAGAGCCCGTCTCAAAAAAAAGAAAAAAGAAAAAAGAAAAAAAATTGTTATATTATCATATGTAAATTTTACCTGGGGTGGGGGAAGAACTATGAACAAATATTCAATTCTAGTGAATAATACGCATGCCCAAGTGTTTAGGGATGAAGTGTCTGATGTCTGTAATTTGCAGTGAAATATACATTTAAAAAGTAGTCATGGATGGATAGATAGATATGTGCTAAAGCAAGTCTAGTAAAATATTAATTGCAGAACCCATATGGTGGGTAGATGGGTGTTCACTGTACAATTTTTTTTTTTTTTTTGAGACAGAGTCTCACTCCCATCGCCCAGGCTGGAGTGCAATGGTGTGATCACGGCTCACTGCAGCCTTGACTCCCCGGGCTCAGATGATTCTCCTACCGCAGCCTCCCTAGTAGCTGGGACTACAGGCACACGCCACCACTCCTGGCTAATTTTTTGTGTTTTTAGTAGAGACAGGGCTTTGCCACATTGCCCATGCTGGTCTCGAACTTGTGGGCTCACATGATCCACCTGCCTCAGCCTCCCAAAGTGCTGAGATTATAGGTGTGAGCCACTGCGCCTGGCCCATTGTACAATTCTTTCCACTTTTCTATATGCTGAAAATTTTCATAATGAAGCATTGAGAAGAAACACGAGGCTCAGTGATCAAGGACGTGCAAATTACAAGACACTATGTTCCATGCACTGGACTGCCAAAACTGTTAAAAACTAGTGGTATGCAGTGTATGCAAGGGTGTGGGCATTGTCCTATACTATAGATGACGGGGCCTGTGGCGATAGCCCCACTAAAGTCAGCAGCTCTAATCTTGTGCGCTTCCTTCCTGTCCCCTCCTGTCCTGAGCATCCCCTGCTTTACATACCATGTATACAATGTCGCATCCTGTTTTCCCCTCAGTGTTACAGTTTCTATCAGTATTTATTTCCCCGCTGCTTTAAAAATTCTTTGTAAACATGGTACTTAAAAGAAAACAGGTACTGTAGGATCTGGGTGTTGTTTTTTTTCTTTAAAAACTTAATTTTTTTTTTTTTTTTTTTACGAGACGCTCTTGCTCTGTTGCTCAGGCTGGAATGCAGTAGCATGATCGTAGCTCACTGCAGCCTCTATCTCCTGGGCTCAAGTGATCCTCCCACCTCAGCCTCCCAAGTAGCCAGGACTACAGGCGCACCTCACCACACTCAGCCTTTTTTTTTTTCCCTTTTTTTAAATGATTACAAAGTTCACTGTAGAAAATTTAGGAAGTCCAGAAAAGCACAAAGAAGAAAATAAAAATCCCCACCACCTTGACATGTGACGCTTCTCCTTCCTGCCTTTTCCATGCACATGCATGTGGACACACATGAACACAGATTGCTGTTTGTATTATTTTTTTCTTTTTTTGAGACGGAGTCTCACTCTGTCATCCAGGCTGGAATGCAGTGGCGTCATCTCGGCTCATTGCAACCTCTGCCTCCCAGATTCAAGCAATTCTTCTGCCTCAGCCTCCTGAATAGCTGGGATTACAGGCATGTGCCACCAAGCCCGGCTAATTTTTTTGGTATTTTTTAGTACAGTCAGGGTTTCACCATATTGGCCAGGCTGGTCTTGAACTCCTGACCTTGTGATCTGCCCACCTCGGCCTCCCAAAGTGCTGGGATTATAGGCGTGAGCCACCGCGCCCGGCCTGCTGTTTGCATTTTAACAGCATTGAGATCCTATAGGATTTTGTGTTTTATTACTTGCCTACTTAATAGAATTTTTCTAGAGCATAGTTTTACAGGCTACCTGGTTCTCTATAGAGGGACTACATTATGTCTCTGTTGTTGGGGTCCAGGGAGGGTCAGCTTGGGGCTTACTGTGCCCTTGGGGAGCCCTGGTTGGAGACAGGTCCACAGACACAGATATTAGAGGTGTGCAGGCCCCTGGGCTTGGAAGGCCTGGCAGAAGCACTCACTGACCCTGGAGGGGGTTCATCCATTCCCTGGCCCCCACCTGGCTACGGCGGCAGCCCCCACCAGCGCCTAGTGCCAGGGCTCAGCTGGGAGCCGGGCGGATAATCGCTGTCCCCTCAGTGGAACACTGCCTGTCCTGGCTCATCCTGAGCTGTCCTGAGCTGCCCTCGCTGGGCTGGGTGGGGTGAGGCTGGGCCTTGAGTCCCCCTGAGAGCCACGGGAAGAGCCAGTGCCTGGGGCCAGCAAACAGGAGTCTTGCTTCAGCAAGGCTTTTGGCCCAAGAAGCATCCTCAGTCCGGCCCTCGGCCCGGAGGAAACCCCTGCGCAGCAGGGCTTATTGTGTTTCAGGATTTCCCGTTTCCTGACCGCCTAACCTATTTATGGGCCACAATGGTTGCTTCCCCAGGGAGACCCCTACTGTACTCAGGAGGCCTCAGGACTCGGCCCACATCTCACAGGTCCAGCCTGGGCTTGGCCCGGGGCAGGGATAGTCAATGGGTGTCACCTCATGTGGTAATTCCATCAGTAGATAGAACCTGCCAAGGTGAAACGTTGAGGATTCTGAGGCTCTGTCTGGGCTCTACAAGAAAGAGTGTGACGGTCCATCAGCCGTGACTGTCTGTGTGTGCAAGACAGAGGGGTGGTGGGTGGTGTGAACTCACAGCCCCTGGCTTACATGGTGACAGGCATTCTCCCTCTGTGCTGGCACTAAATTCCTTTCTTTCCTTATTTTTGAGACAGAGTCTCGCTCTGTCACCCAGGCTGGAGTGCAGTGGCATGATCTTGGCTCACTGCAACCTCCACCTCCCTGGTTCAAGCAATTCTCCTGCCTTAGCCTCCCAAGTAGCTAGGACTACAGGCTGACACACACCTGGCAGATTTTTGTATTTTTAGTAGAGATGGGGTTTCGCCATGTTGGCCAGGCTGGTCTCAAACTCCTGACCTCAAGTGATCCACCCACCTCAGCCTCCCAAAGTGCTGGGATTACAGGTGTGAGCCACCATGCCCCGTCTAATTTTTGTATTTTTTAGTAGAGACAGGGTTTCACTATGTTGACCAAGCTCATCTCAACTCTTGGCCTTAAGTGATCCACCCACCTCAGCCTCCCAAAGTGCTGGGATTACTGGCTTGAGCCACAGTGCCCAGCCTAAATTCCTTTCTAATCTCATCTCCTGCCTCCCTTCCATATCCCTGCCCTCCAGCCACAGGTCCAATCTCTTCCTGTCTGTGCCCTGCCTCTCCCTGCCTCAGGCCCTTTGCTCAGGCTGCCCCTTTTCCTAACCTTCCTTCCCCTCATCTTCAGCAATTACAGCAGGCAGCTTTGTCTAATGCAGCAGGCAACTTTCAACTGAGCAATTCCTTTTTTTTTTTTTTTTTTTTTTTTTTGAGCTGGAGTTTTGCTTTTGTTGCCCAGGCTGGAGTGCAATGGCGCGATCTCGGCTCACCGCAACCTCCGCCTTTGGGGTTCAAGCGATTCTCCTGCCTCAGCCTCCCGAGTAGCTGGGATTACAGGCATGAGCCACCAAGCCCAGCTAATTTTGTATTTTTAGTAGAGATGGGCTTTCTTCATGTTGGTCAGACTGGTCTTGAACTCCCAACCTCAGGTGATCCACCCGCCTCAGCCTCCCAAAGTGCTGGGATTACAGGCGTGAACCACCGCACCTGGCCCTTTTTTTTTTTTTTTTTTTTTTTTTTTTTAAAGCTGGTCAGGTGAAGCAGTGAGAGTAGAGAAGGAAAAAGAAATCTGCTACTGGTTGTGATCGATTAGTTGTAAACACCACTGGACTTGGACCAGCCAACTGGGCAATTCTTACTGAACCTTCAAGACCCCAATTCAAATGTCACCTTTTCTGGGAGGCTTTCCTGTGCCCTCAAGATTGGGCCACACTCCCCCGCCCCACCGCATCTCTTTTTTTTTTGAGACCGAGTCTTGCTCAGTTACCCAGGCTGGAGTGTAATGGCGTGATTTTGGCTCACTGCAAGCTCCGCCTCCCGGGTTCACGCCATCCTGGTGCCTCAGCCTCCTGAGTAGCTGGGACTACAGACGCCCGCCACCATGCCCAGCTAATTTTTTTTGTATTTTTAGTAGAGACAGGGTTTCACCATGTTAGCCAGGATGGTCTCGATCTCCTGACCTCGTGATCCACCCGCCTTGGCCTCCCAAAGTGCTGGGATTACAGGCGTGAGCCACCGCGCCCGGCCACTCCCTCCCATCTCTGATGTACATTCAGTGGGAGAGATTGCCAAGTCTGTGGGCATCAAGCTCCCCAGAAGCAGAGCCAGAGATGGGAAATCTTGTGTAGGAGTTTTACTGAGATCTCAAGAAACCTGTGAGAGTGAGAAGCAGGGCAGGGCTGGGCCAAGATGTGATTTTGGGAGAAATCTTGCCCCAGCCTGATATGAAGGGGAGTTTCAGGGCACCAATGGCACCAAAGAGGCTGTGAAATCAAGAGGCAAGGGGACTGGGTTGCTCTACACCCCCACCCCACACCCCCACCCAACCCACACTGCTGGCCTTCAACCATCGCTCATAACCTCCTGGGCAGGTCCAGTAGCATGGCTCCCATCAGCCAAAGGCGTCCTCTGGAGAGCGTCTAGCTCCTGGCAGCTCACAGCTGCAGTGGCTAAGGGAAGGCGGCACCAACCCGGGGAGATGGGGGCAGTGTCCATGTCCCCACCAAGTGTCAACTCCCCAGGGCAGGTATGGTGTCCGCAGAGCTCAGACTGGGCACCAGAAAGCACAGAGTTTAGCGTCTGATGAGCTAAGCTGAGTCCAGGGAGGACAACAACTTCTGGGCTGCTATTGAAACTGCCTTTGCAAAATTATGACTGAGACAGTGAAACAGATCTAACTTAACTGACTCCATCTTGCTTCTAATCTCCAAGCTGTCCTTGTTCATTTCTGGGCGTAGGCTGAACTAACTTTGGGAGAAAGTTAGTTCATAGTTTATAGTTTAAACAAAGACGGTAACAGCACTTTCCCAAAACAGACCTCCTTCTTGCCTGGGGACTAGATTGCCTTTGTAGGACTAACATTAGCCACAAGATTAGAAATTATGGTTTAGGAGTCACGCAGCTGGAGATTCTGACAAGATTCTGACCTTCCCTAATCTGCTCAGTGCTTGAGATATTTTGCAGACTCTGCACTTGATGGATCAATTGGCACCACCCAGATCAATAAACTGGCTCATCTGATCTGATTGCTATGATTTCATCCCTGACGAATCAGCACTCCTGGCTCACTGGCTTCCCCCCACCCACCAAGTTATCCTTAAGAACTCTGCTTCCCTAATGCTCGGGGAGACTGATTTGAGTAATAATAAAACCCTGATCTCCCGCACAGCTGGCTCTGCGTGAATTACTCTTTCTCTATTGCAGTCAGCTCTGTCTAGGCAGCAGGCAAGGTGGACCCCTTGGGCAGTTACAGTATTGGCTGACTCTGTGGCTGGTGGAGGCCCCCTTCCACCCTAGTACCTTCCCAGCAAGCCTGGGGCCTCATCTTGTGGCTGCGTCCCATCCTCCCAGCCCTTGGTTGTGCTGGCCAGCCTGGCTGGGTGTCCAGCAGGCTCTGGGAAGGCGGTGGGCCTCTGGGCAGATGTTCTGGTTTGGGATCTTTCCCCCGCCCCAGCCACCTTCCACTCCCCTCCCTGCCTTAGGCATCATCCCTAAAAAAGTCACCTCTAGACTGGCACACAGCTCCCCAGAACCCCTCCTCCTGGAAGCCTCCCCAGACTGGCTCAGCCCTGGGACCGCTCAGCTCCGTTTCCCACCCCAGTGACAGCTTTAGGGTTTACACCATAGAAGACTATGTGGATGCAGGAGCCTCAATATTAGAAGTTTCAAAATAGTTTAAAAGGCTTTTTTCTGGGTCACCCATTTTTACAACCATACACTGCAAAGGTAGATAGCCCTGCTGTGGCCACACGAGGTGGTAAGGCCGGCCCACCTGGGGCGTGCTGGCCTGTGAGGCCGGTGTCGGGCAGGGGCAGCAACCGCCCAGCATCCTCTGACACAATCTGTGTGGTGCTAGCCGGTTGTCATATGGGCTTGCACCGAGTCTCGCACTGTTGCCAGGCTGGAGTGCAATGGAGCAATCTCGGCTCACTGCAACCTCCACCTCCCAGGTTCAAGCGATTTTTCTGCCTCAGCCTCCTGAGTAGCTGGAATTACAGGCACCTGCCACCACATCTGGCTGAATTTTTTTTTTTTTTTTTTTTTTTTTGTTGTATTTTTAGTAGAGATGGGTTTCGCTCTGTTGGCCAGGCTGGTCTCGAACTCCTGACCTCGTGATCCTCCCGCCTCAGCCTCCCAAAGTGCTGAGATTACAGGCGTTAGCCATCGCACCTGGCCCTTGGGCACCACTGTTCTTGCCACTTCCTGCTGGCCCAGCATCCCCCCGACCCCTAGTGGTGCTGGGTTGGCCTCCAGCCAGACCAACCAGGGGGCTGGTTTCAGGTACCTAGGTTTACACGATAGAAGATGGTGTATGCAGGAGCCTCAACATTAGAAGTTTCAAAATAGTCTAAAAGGAGTTTTTCTGGGTCACCCATTTTTACAACCATACACCATAAATGTAGGTGGACCTGCTGTGGCCGTGTGAGGCAGTGAGGCTGGCCCACCTGGGGCGTGCTGGCCCGTGAGGCCGGTGTCAGGCGCAGGCACTAATGTCCCGGTGGTCCTCTGACACCTTCCGTGTGGCGCTGGTTGGAAGTTATGGGCTTGCTGTTGAGAGGCTGCGTGCCCCTGGGCAAATATACATTATTAACCGTGGTGTTTATACTGGGAGGAGCGGGCAGAGATGAGCGCTGGGGAAGGCCTGAGTCCCTCTGAGCAGCCTGTGGGATCCATGAATCCGAACAGGGATCCATGCCCAGGGGCAGGGAGGGATCTCCGGAAACCTCAGCTTCTCCTTGCAGCTGAGCCCCTCATTTAAGGAGGGCAGGGAAATGGCGGTGGGGCTTGGGGACGGCGGAGGAGAGAGAGGAAGAGGGGTGTGTCTGTGCTGATAGCCCCTCCACGAGCCAATCTGCCTGGGAGAAGGAAGAGAGAAAAACAGCCCATTCCTGGACCACCAGGCAGGGGGCTGGAGCCCCAGCTCTGGCCGGATGTGCTTTGCAACCTTAAGCACTAGGCCTGGGGCCTCAGGCTCACCAAATGAATGACAAGGGGTTGGACCAGGTGACTTCATAGGATTCTTTGGCCTGGGACAACCTGCTGAACATCCCTGAGGCAAGGAAGGGCCTCAGGTCCTACAGGCAGAGGAGGAGCAGCTAGTTGCCCAGGGGACAGAAACTGAGTCCCAGAGCCTGGAGGGAGGATGAGGGGGCCAGGCCTCGGTGTGACGTGGGGCAACAGCACAGGGTTGGGAGAGATGCCCTGAAGTGAGGCAGACCTGGGTTCTGGTCTCAAGTCAGCTACTTGCCAGCTGCAAGCCACTTTACACCCCTGAGCCTCGGGCTCCCCACGTGGGATGCGGGGACAATAGCAGCACCTGCCTCGAAGGTTGCTATGAGAGCAATTGGTAGCTAAGAGAACCGAGACATGTTCCTGCCCCTTTCCACGTTGGCTTCTCTGTGACACATCAGCCCTAGGGAAGCAGGGCCAGTGCCACCCCACATGCAGGTGGCAACACTGAGGCTCCAGGGGGTCGATTCAGGCCGGTTTCTTTCCCCGTTTATACACCCTGCTTCTCTCCAGCATCCACGACTACAGGTGATGGCCACGCTACTCCCATGTCCTCACATGCACCTGGGTTACGTCAGCGGCAGCCATGCGTGCACATGCACACTCACACACGCACACTCACACTCAAACACACATGCACACTCACACTCAAACACATGTACACTCACACGCACACTCACAAACATGTACACTCACACTCAAATGCACTCACACTCGAACACACATTCACAAACACACACGGACACTCATACTCAAACATGCACACTCACACTCGAACACACATTCACACTCAAACACACTCCCACTTACACATGGATACTCACACTCGAACACACATTCACACTCAAACACCCACATGCACACTCACACTCGAACACAAACGAACACACACGTACACTCACACTCTAACACATTCACTCAAATGCACAATCACACTTGAACACACACTCGCACACACGCACTCATACACACATGCACACTCAAACACATGCACACTCACACCACGTGCACATGCATACTCACCCTAACACACATTCACACTCAAACACGTACACATGCATACCCTAACACACATTCACACTCAAACACACACGTACCCTCGCATTTGAACACACACAGGTACACATACACACACTAACATTCACACACGCATAATCACACTTGAACACACAAGTGCACACTCGAACACACATGCACACACACTCGAACACATGCACCCTCACTCGAACACACGTACACACAAACGTTCACACATGCACGCTCATACTGTCACACCCATGCACACACTCGCAACTGCACACACAAACTACACTGCACGTGCACAAACATGCTCACATATGCACACATTCTCACACACATCCACGCACACATGCACACACATGCACTCACACACCACACACACATTCACTCACACACATTTACTCACTCTCACGCATGCACACACACTCATACACACACTCTCAAACACACTCACACATTCACACACATTCACACACACACACTCATACACTTGCACACATACACCCTCACCCACCCCTGCCCCGCCTGCAAGGCACCTGGGGTTGGGCAGTGCTAAGGATGGGAGCTGGGAGCAGAGCATGGTTTTTCCAGCTGCTGGGCTCCTTCTGCCAGAAAGTGAGGGAAGAAGAAATGGAGGCGGCGGCGGGAGGGGGAAGGGTGGGAGTGGGGTGGAGTAGGGGAGGTGGCACTGGCTGGCTGTTCTGTGGAAGGATCACTTTTTCCCTGGAAACATTCCGCGGGCTCCAGCCCTCCACCCCTCTCCTCCAGCTGCCTTTTCCTGCCTTTCCTGGAACAAAGGCTGGGGGTGGGGAGGAGGAGGCCCCAGGGCCCACCTGGACATGGACACGCAGCGACATCGCCAGCCAGGCTTGGGCTACAGAGCCCCCACCCTGCCCTGTCATTGAACCCAGGCCACTAACCACAACTCTGCCTTATGGAGGGAAACTGAGGTGCAGAGCAGAAAACCCACCTTCCCCATGGGATTCCATCAACCCCGAGAAACACCATGCAGCCTGTGCCCTTTGAGAGGCCATGGTGGCCAGTCCCTTGCCTCGGGTAAGGCCAGGGCTCCTAGGAGGAGGCCCCTTCCCTATGGGACTGTTCTGCTGCTTATTTTATTTTATTTTTGTAGAGACAGGATCTCATTATGTTGCCCAAGCTGGTCTTAAACTCATGGGCTCAAGCAATCCTCCTGCCTCAACCTCCCAAAGTGCTAGGATGAGTGTGAGTACAGGCGTGAGCCACGGCACCCAGCCCATGCTCTGCTGTTTAATCGAGAACTTCCTGCTGTGTCCAACCAGGTCTCCTGGCTGTAGCTCATCCCCACTTTTTTTTTTGAGACGGAGTCTCACCCTGTTGCCCAGGCTGGAGTACATTGGCACGATCTCGGCTCACTGCAAGCTCCGCCTCCCGGGTTCATGCCATTCTCCTGCCTCAGCTTCCTGAGTAGCTGGGATTACAGGCGCCCACCACCACGCCCAGCTAATTTTTTGTATTTTTAGTAGAGACGAGGTTTCACCGTGTTACCCAGGATGGTCTCGATCTCCTGACTTCGTGATCCAACCGCCTCAGCCTCCTAAAGTGCTGGGATTACAGGTGTGAGCCACCGTGCCAGCCATTAATATTTAATATACATGTACATCTTAAAACTTCACCCAGGCTACTCTGGGCACACTGTCCATGGGTTAACCCTGCTCTGCAAGCAGCAGTAAAAACCAAAACACTGGGCACAGTGCCTCATGCCTGTAATCCTAGCACTTTGGGAGACCGAGGCGGGTGGCTCACCTGAGGTCAGGAGTTCGAGACTAGCCTAGCCAACATGGTGAAACCCCGTGTCTACTAAAAATACAAAAATTAGCTGGGCGTGTGCATTGCCAAGACAATCCTAAGCCAAAAGACCAAAGCTGGAGGCATCACGCTACCTGACTTCAAACTATACTACAAGGCTACAGTAACCAAAACAGCATGGTACTGGTACCAAAACAGAGATACAGACCAATGGAACAGAACAGAGGCCTCAGAAATAATACCACACATCTACAACCATCTGATCTTTGACAAACCTGACAAAAACAAGCAATGGGGAAAGGATTCCCTATTTAATAAATGGTGCTGGGAAAACTGGCAAGCCATAAGTAGAAAGCTGAAACTGGATCCTGTCCTTACACCTTATACAAAAATTAATTCAAGATGGATTAAAGACTTAAATGTTAGACCTAAAACCATAAAAACCCTAGAAGAAAACCTAGGCAATACCATTCAGGCCATAGGCATGGGCAAGGACTTCAGGACTAAAACACCAAAAGCAATGGCAACAAAAGCCAAAATTGACAGATGGGATCTAATGAAACTAAAGAGCTTCTGCACAGCAAAAGAAACTACCATCAGAGTGAACAGGCAACCTACAGAATGGGAGAAAATTTTTGCAATCTACCCATCTGACAAAGGGCAAACATCCAGAATCTACAAATAACTTAAACAAATTTACAATAAAAAAGTCAAACAACCCCATCAAAAACTGGGCAAAGTATATGAACAGACACTTCTCAAAAGAAGACATTTATGCAGCCAATAGACACATGAAAAAATGCTCATCATCACTGGCCATCAGAGAAATGCAAATCAAAACCACAATGAGATACCATCTCACACCAGTTAGAATGACGATCACTAAAAACTCAGGAAACGACAACTGCTGGAGAGGATGTGGAGAAATAGGAACACTTTTACACTGTTGGTGGGACTGTAAACTAGTTCAACCATTGTGGAAGACAGTGTGGCGATTCCCCAAGGATCTAGAACCAAAAATACCATTTGACCCAGCCATCCCATTACTGGGTATATACCCAAAGGATTATAAATCATGCTGCTATAAAGACACATGCACATGTATGTTTAATGCAGCACTATTCACAATAGCAAAGACTTGGAACCAACCCAAATGTCCATCAATGGTAGACTGGATTAAGAAAATGTGGCGCATATACACCATGGAATACTATGCAGCTATAAAAAAGATGAGTTCATGTCCTTTGTAGGGACAGGGATGAACCTGGAAACCATCATTCTGAGCAAACTATCACAAGGACAGAAAACCAAACACCGCATGTTCTCACTCATAGGTGGGAATTGAACAATGAGAACACTTGGACACAAGATGGGGAACATCACACACCAGGGCCTGTTGTGGGGTTGGGTAGCGGGGAGGGATAGCATTAGGAGATATACCTAATGTAAATGACGAGTTAATGGGTGCAGCACACCAACATGGCACACGTATACATATGTAACAAATCTGCACGTTGTGCACATGTACCCTAGAACTTAAAGTATAATAATAAAAAAAATACAAAAAAAAAAAAGTAGCTGGGCGTGGTGGCTCGTGCCTATAATCCCAGCTACTTGAGAGGCTGAGGCAGGAGAATCGCTTCAACCCGGAGGCAGAGGTTGCAGTGAGCCGAGATTTCACCACTGCACTCCAGCCTGGGCAACAGAGTGAGACTCCATCTAAACAAACAAACAAACAAACAAAACCTCCAACTTAGTGAAAACAAGGCATTCAATGATAGATCATCAGCAGAAACTGCTTATTACCTAGTAATCATTTTATTTTTATTTTTTATTTTTTGGAGGGGGGACAGAGTCTCGCTCTGTCACCCAGTCTGAAGTGCAGTGGCGCGATCTCGGCTCGCTGCAAGCTCTGCCTCCTGGGTTCACACCATTCTCCTGCCTCAGCCTCTTGAGTAGCTGGGACTACAGGCACCCGCCACCACACCCACCACCGGGCCCGGCTAATTTTTTGTATTTTTAGTAGAGACGGGATTTCACCATGTTAGCCAGGATGGTCTCGATCTCCTAACCTAGTGATCTGCCCGCCTCGGCCTCCCAAAGTGCTGGGATTACAGGTGTGATCCACCACGCCTGGCCCTAATCATTTTATAAAGTCATATCTATATAAAAACAAACACTAAAGAGAATAAATAGATCTAACTTAAGTGACAAGAATAATTATAAACAAATACCAGATTTTAAACAAGAATCTGTAAAAGTTTTACTACCTAAGGATTTTCACTCAAAGAAGAAAAAATATGGCCAGGCACGGTGGTTCACGCCTGTAATCCCGGCACTTTGGGAGGCTGAGGCAGGTGGGTCACCTGAGGTCAGGAGTTTGAGACCAGCCTGGCCAACATAGTGAAACCCTATCTCTATTAAAAATATAAAAAATTAGCCAGGCGTGGTGGCAGACGCCTGTAATCCTAGCTACTCAGGAGACTGATACAGGAGAATCGCTTGAACCAGGGAGGTGGAGGCTGCAGTGAGCAGAGATGGTACCATTTCACTCCAGCCTGGGTAACAAGAGGGAAACTCCATCTCAAAAAAACAAAAAAACAAAAAACCCCCCCAAAAAAACATAGTAACACCAAGCTTGCAGGATGGTGAGCTAACAGATACATCTTATCTTAATGGAAACTCATGTAGCATTCAGTAACATTTCTGGATGAAGCTTTAAGTTACTGTTGCACATTTGTGAAAGACTGATCCAGCAGTGTGTCCTCTAATTTTAATTCCTCTGCTTCATTTAAAGTATTAGCAGGAGCATCATTGCATGGATTGTCTAGCATGTTTTCACTTAATCCAATTGATTCCTCCTTTTGATCCTCATCAGCATTAACCTCAACTCTCTATGCCCTGGGTGCATTCATTAATGTATCATTTCCTAGGGACTATTACTTAGCAGCTTTGCCTGCCTTCTTTCTAAAGCCAGTTGTTTATTTCTCTCAATTTTTTGTTGTTGCTCTTCTGTTAGGCTTCTACTTGACTCAGAAGCAAATATCTCACTTTCAGATGAGTTTGTCAGAAAGGGATCTAATTCAGTAGCGGTTACATCATGTCCATTATTTCCCACAACTTCATCATTCTTGCTAATAAAATCTTCAGGTAAAATAGGGAGATTTGTTTTAAACAAGCCTGAACTTCCTTTTCATTTCCCAGGTACTCAACTCTGTCAATAAAATCCTCAAACTGCAGTTTAGGGAAGAGCCTGTGTGCCCAGTGCTCCATGTGTCTGATTAGAGTCTTCAAATCTTCAGCCTCATGACCTTTACCTTTGAATTTTGCGTTATCAAATACATGCCTTAAGGCTGGAAGTCCTCTCTCTGAAATTAATATCTGAGCATCCAGCTTGGGTATACTTCTTTTAACTGTTCTCTTTGGAGGTACGGGACTCTGCTTCCTGACTCTTCATCAGGTTCAGCCCCTTCAACATCTTGTCTCTCTGGAGAGATTGGAGGCGGGAATGGAGGAAAAGTTTCATCTTCTACATGCTCATAATCAGGTAGGTCAATCATGCCATTCTCCTGTGGTTCTAGCATCTTCTCCTCTCACGCAGAAAGCAGGGGCCACAGTGTAGAGCTCCAGGGTTCTCACTTTCACCACACTTTCCCCTTTGGTTTTTGTTTGTTTGTTTGTTTGTTTGTTTGTTTGTTTGGAGACAGAGTCTTGCGTCTCGCTCTGTCGCCCAGGCTGGAGTGCAATGGTGCAATCTTGGCTCACTGCAACCTCCGCCTTCCAGGTTCAAGCGATTTTCCTGCCTCAGCCTCCCGAGTAGCTGGAACTACAGACTGCCGCCGCCACACCCAGCTTATTTTTGTATTTTTTAGTAGAGACAGGGTTTCACCACATCAGCCAAGCTGGTCTCAAACTCCTGACCTTGCAATCTGCCTGCCTTGGCCTCCCAAAGTGCTGGGATTACAGGCTTGAGCCACTACGCCTGGCCTCACTTTCCTTCACTTTCTCCATTGCTTCTTTTTTTTTTTTTTTTTTTTTTTTTGAGACAGAGTCTTGCTGCGTCTCCCAGGCTGGAGTTCAATGGCATAATCTCGGCTCACTGCAACCTCCGCCTCCCAGGTTCAGGCGATTCTCCTGCCTTAGCCTTCCGAGTAGCTGCGATTACAGGTGTGCGCCACCATGCCCGGCTAAGTTTTGTAGTTTTAGTAGAGACGAGGTTTCATTATGTTGGGCAGGCTGGTCTCAAACTCCTGACCTCGTGATCTGCCCACCTCAGCCTCCCAAAGTGCTGGGATTACAGACATGAGCCACTGCGCCCAACCTCTCCTTTTCTTTCTTGCTCTCTTCTCTCTCTCCTTTCCTCCAACTCCCCTTACTTTTCCTCCTCCTTTCCTCCCACCCTCATCCCGTTCTCTCCCCAGGCTCTCCAGCACTCGTAGCCTTATACCCATCCTGCGGGCATCTCCCCAAGTTGTTCCACCAGCTCCTCAGACTACCCCCCACCCACCCTGCTCCTCCCCAATTGCTCCCAGCCCCATTGGTGTCTCCTCCAGCCCCCTCCATTGCTCAAGTCAGAACCCAGGGTTCATCCTGAGCTGGTCAGTTGACTCAACCCTTGGACCCATTACTGGCCAGGCTCATCCACCTCCTCATCTTCCCCAGGTCCCCGCTGGCTGCTTTCTTCCTGCCCCTGCTCCTGGCTCCCATCTTCCCCAAAAATCACCTCCTAAGGGCCGACATGGGACCTTGGGTTAGGGCTTGGTGCTTTCTGGATAAAGCCCCTGCTCTGGAGCAAGACCTGTTGGCCCCTCCCCACCCAGCCAAGCATCCTCATCACTCCTGCATGTCTGTGGTAGGGCCTGGCCTCCCCAGGGCCTCTGCACATGCTGCCTGCTCTGCCTGGGAAGCCCTCTCCCTCCTCTCACCCCTGTCATAGGCACACACTCTGTCCCAGGCAACTCGGCGGACCATGAGCTTCCCCTCTCAATAGCCACTGGGTTGTCCCTCTGTGCTCCCCGTTTCCTGCCTGCTTCCCTCCAAGGGCAGGTCCCTGTCCAGCATAGAATGTCACACTGCAGTGTGAGGGACTTGGCCCAGGTTAGAAGTAAGAAATCCAAGTAAAGGCCAGGCTCTGTGACTCATGTCTGCAACCTTGGTGCTTTGGGAGGCTGAGGCAGGAAGATCACTTGAGGCCAGGAGTTCGGGTCCAGCCTGGGCAACATAGCAAGCCTCATCCCTACCAAAAAGAAAAAAGAAAAAAAAAATTAACTGTGTGCGCTGGTGCACACCTGTAGTCCCAGCTTCTCGGGAGGGTGAGGTAGAAGGATCGCTTGAGCCCGGGAGGTGGAGGTTGCAGTAAGCTATGATCATTGTACTCCAGCGTGGGCAACAGAGAGAGACCCTGTTTCTAAAAATAAATAAATAAATAAATAATAATTTAAAAATCCAGGTAAAGACTGGCCAGGAGGAATCCCTAACAGAGCCAAGAAGAGGCCACCGATGTGGAACCCCAGAAGAGCAGAGCTGGGGAGGTCTCTGACATTACAAGCCCAACCCCTTCACACCCCGGCTGGGGAGGCTTATCTCCTGTCCCAGGATCCTAGGCAGGCACCCCTAGACCCATGGGTGCTGGGCTGTTTGCTGTGGGGCACTCCCTGAGGCAGAAGCGCCACTGCTGGTTGGGCCACCCCGCAGGCAGTCCGAGGCTGGTAGCCTGTAGTCTCCACCGTTGTCTGGACCATCTTGCCCATACACTGAAAGAGAAGGATGATAATCTCCCTGCACTCGGTTGCTTCCCCTGCCAGAAGGAGCCGGTGCTGCAGAAGAGAAAGGGGGTCTTTATGCCCACAGGCAGAAGGGCACCACTCCCCTCCTGGTCCCCCCAGGATGACCTCTGGTGAAAGGACTCTTTGTAAGGCTCCCCGAGTCTGGCCAGGGCTGACACAGAGCCCTCCCCAAGTTGGGGGTGGTGGCAGACAGCTGGGGGGACTCTGTCCGGGTGAGGTCACAGGCCATGGCTGGGGAGGCCTCTGAGCCTTAGGACCTGAGGAAGAGGCCATCTGACGGCAGGAAATGAGAGAGGACACGCCCCCCGCAGCATGTAGTAGTGGGGTTAGACTTCCTGTGCCTGGGTCCAAACCGGCCCTGGTCTCTCAGCAGCTACTGCAGAGTGAGTTCCTTATAGAACTGGTCACACAGGAGGCGATGCCCACCCCACCTCCTTCTCACCTACGCTCCCCTCACCCACTATGTTTCGTTGTTTGTGTTTTTTTCTAAAGATGGTGTCTCACTATGTTGCCCAGGCTGGTCTTGAACTCCTGAGCTCAACCAATCCTCCCACCTCAGCCTCCCGAAGTGCTGGGATTACAGGCATGAGCCACCACGTTCATCCATGCTGTTTGTTTTTGTTTTTGTTTTTAAGAGACAGAGTCTTACTGGAGTGCAGTGGCACAATCACAGCTCACTGCAGCCTCGAATTCCCGGGCTCAAGTGATCCTCCCACCTCAGCCTCCTGAGTAGCAGGGACTACAGGCATGTGCCACTGCAATGGACTTTTTCTCTGTTTCTTGAATCAGCTGGCACATGCCCACCCCCAGGGACTTTGCAAATGCTGTTTTTTCTACTTAGAATGCTATTCTCTGAGATGTTGGAGTTGCTCATTACCTTCTCAAAGGGGCCTGCTCAACCCACTCCCCAACATATGCTCCCTCCTGGCTCTTTCCATTGCCCTATCACCTTCCAGCCTACCATATCATAGATCGTGCCTAGCCGCTCATCCCCCATCTAGAAGTTCAATGAGGGAACCTCCATTCACTTATTTCATGTCCCAGGGCCTGACATCCAGTGGGTTCCCAGTGAACATTTGTCTGAATTAACAAATAGATCATGTTGTTTAATTAATCCTTTCTCCCACCCCGAGATGGAGGCACAATGATTCATTTACAGACAAAGGCTCTGGGAACTGAAGGATGTTTCCCAAGTTACACAGTGAGGAAGAGCTAGAATTGGGATTCAGATATGGGGCTGTCTGCCCCCCCACCCCACATGGCTTTCACCAATGTGCTTCCTACCTCCCTGGTGACAGCCACCCACACATACCACGCCCCCCTGCCTGGCTAGGCTCCAAAGATAGAAGGGCTTGTCCCTTAAGGAATGTTCCCAAGGATGCCTATCAGAGGCAGCTCTGAAGTTCAGGACCACCCAATCCCTCCCTTGCAGGGTGAAAGGATCCCAACCCCAGGTCCTCAGGCAGAGCCCAGCCTGCAACCTTCCCTCCCTAGGAGAACAGGAGAGCAGCCGCATCCCTCCCCAACCTCACCCCTGCAAGCCTGACACTACCAAGCTTCGTACCAGCAGGCCAGGCTTCGACTCTCTGCAACCTCAGCACCTCATCTGTCAAAAAGGACAGTACCACCTGTCCAGCAGGTGCATCTGTGAGGAACAGGTGAGAGTGTACAGGAAGGGGCTCCCAGGACCTGAGCTGCAAAGCTGCAGGCATAAATGTCACCCCTGCCCCGCTGCCAAGGCTGGAAGCAGGCAGGAAGTGAGGAATGGGAATGCCAGAAAAGAGCTCACCCCTGCCCCACTCCCCCAAAGCTGGAGGAAAAGGCTGAGCCGGGGGCCGCCAAGGCCATGAGTCAGCCTCCCCTGAAAAGCCAGGCAGGGGGCCCATGTCCTCCTCCATGGGTGGGGAGGGTCTCCCTGGGGAAGAGCAAAGCCACCCAGGCCAGGAGCCATGTGGAATTCATCTCTCCCAAGCCTATGGAAGGGTCTAGAGTGATGCTGACAGCAGCCGACTGGACTGCACCGGCCCCTGGAAAAGGGGATTTCCTTACAAAGGCCAAGCTTGGTGCCCCCTTGGGGGCTACCTACCCCCTTCTCTCAGACTACTTGGCATGGCCCCCTCCATCCTGCCACCCCCATCCCCCGGCAGCCCTCACAGTGCCCAAAGGGCCCTTCTGAGCCAAGAACAGGGCTTCAGAGAACAGCAAGGCAGCCCCTTCCCGGTGCAGATGGGGAAATCGCCACAGGGGGCAGCACTGAGCGGCCAGGGGCTGCACGGCCAGCTAGTGGAAGGGCTGGAGATGGGGCCCAGCTGGGCCTGGCCCTTGGCTCTGCCCTGAAGACAACTCACTCAGGTGCATCCGCCCCCTGTGCTGCCGGGTTGGACCCTCTGGCACAAGCAGGCTCTGACCCCAGAGTGGGGACACCATTCATTGCCCCGTTTCACCCGATCTCTCACCAGCCCCCACCCACCCGTTGCTCCAGCCACAGGAACTTCTTGCAGTTCCCTCAAACTGGCCAGGCTGTCTCCAGCCTCTCCAGGTCCAGGCCTTTTTGTTTCTTTTTTCTTTCTTTTCTTTTCTTTTTTTTTTTTTTTTTTTTTTTTTTTTTTTTTTTTTTGAGACAGGGTCTTGCTCTGTCACCAAGGCTGGAGTGCAGTGGCGTGATCACTGCTTATGCAGCCTTGACCTCCCAGGCTCCAGTGATCTTCCCGCCTCAGCCTCCCAAATAGCTGGGACTACAGGCATGCCACCACATCCAGCTAATTATTTTATTTTTTGTAGAGATGGGGTTTCACCATGTTGCCCAGGCTGGTCTCGAACTCCTGAGCTAAAGTGATCCACCTGCCTTGGCCTCCCAAAGTGTTGGGATTAAAGGCACGAGCTACAGCACCCGGCCCCTCCAGGCCTTTGTCCATGGTGTTTCTTTTGCCTAGAAATGTGTTTCACCTCCTTTCCCTGGTCAGCTTGTACCCATCCCTCAGCTTTCAGTGCAGACAGTAGACATGGCTTCCTCCGAGAAGCGCTCCCTCTTTCCTCTCACCTGCCCCCATGAAGGTGGGGTTACAAGCCCCTCTCTGGACTCCCACTCAACAGGAAAGCTACTCTGCAGTGCCCATGGCTCAGCCCCAGATCCTAGCAGCACAGCCAGTACACAGCAGTGGCTCACTGTTTGCTCACTGAGGGGACCAGTGAACAACAAGGAATGGACACTCACGGTGGGGGGGCTCCAGGATGAGAGCAGGTGCAACTCCCTCCTCTCCCACTCCCTCCTCTGGCCACTCCAGGTGCTGGGGAGCTGGAAGGGAGACTGAGAGGGGCAGGAGCTGCCACTCTCGCCCTGTGTGTGGCCTCCCCTTGGACAGGCCTACTCCACCCTCTGCTCGTCAGACTCTTTCTCACTTCTGCTCCAGAGCCCCCGCGGCTCTCCTCTTCTTCATCTCTGTTTTCCTCTTCAAATTCCAGAGAGAGGAATCCAACAGCCGTGGCCTGGCACTGGCCAGCCCAGGAGATCATCATGCAATCGTCTTCAGCCAGCAGCCCAGGGCAGGTCCACACCCCAGGGTGATTCACTCAGAAATCCACTCATTCTTTCATCCCTGTGCCAGGCACTGTCCTGGGGGCAGGGGATCCAGCAGGGAAGAAACAGATGCGGCCCTGCCCTCCCGGGGCAGACAGTCCATGGAGACTCTTCTCTCCTCCCCACGTTTCTAGGAGCCTCAGTCTTCCCACCTGGTGAAGATTTCTTCATTTCTCCTCTCCTCGCCATAAAACCCTTCTATGCAGCTGAGACACAGTTGGGGGCCCAAGAAGGAGGCCAACCACAAGGACCACATGAGGACCCTAAGACAATGACAACTACAGTTACCATGACAACACTCACTGTGGACTGACTCCTGCCTCAAGGCTGTTCCATCTGCTATCAGTGAATCCCCGCCATGCCCTAGGAAGGTGCACGTGGCTGTTATTCCCATTTCTGTGAAACAGGAAAGCACAGTGAGGTTCATGTCACATCCTCAGGTCTCAGAGCTCAGGTTGGTAAGCACTGGAGCCAGGTTTATTCCAAGTCATCACGCCCTGAAGGGAAGGGCTGAGCCACTGAGCCACTTGGTTTTTCCCACTCAGAAGGGCACATCCATTGGTTCATTGCCCTGCAATGATCCTGCGCCATCAGAGGTGTAAGGCCTCCACTAAGCCTGCCTTCTGGATGGAAGAAGGTGTTGGGCAGGGCCTGCCTGGAAGAGGGGGACAATCACCACCCTTGCCTAGCCAGCCCCTTACGAGGAGAGACACTACCCTCCCCCAGCAGCCCAGCCTCAGTCTCAGGGACCTCTTTTCCTTCTCCACTGTTGCCAGTGGCACAGGGGCCAGTGCGGGGAGCTGTGCCCACTTTACCATCCCATGCTCAGGACACCAGATCTATTTCCGACATTTCACACCTCTGGCCTCTGGCCTCCCTGGCCCGTCTCTATCCTCTGCAGCCCCCATTGCAGCCAGGGTGGCCTCCTGCTCCCCAGCAACCCCTGTGGCCATGTGGGCTGCCCTCGTCAGGCTCACCCCACTGCTGGGCCCGACAAGGCCATCCATGTGTCCCAGTTGGAAGCTAGTGATCAACTCAAAATAACTACTCCCCTCCACTCTGACACAACTGTCTTCCCCAGAAGGACAACAGCTGCAAGGGATTAGAGCTGGGGATGGAAGGAGAGAACCCCCCACCCACAGCCCCAAGCCCACGGAGCTGGAGCAGGTGGCAGCGACGTGGGGTGAGGAGCCTGTGTCTAGGGCTGCCCTGTCTTCTGGAAAAAGTTCCTCTCCCCCTGGAGCTGGAGAAGGTGAAAGAGGGGATCTGGAGGGTGCAGCCTCCCCTACCCTAGCACCCCAGCCTGGCCCACGTGTGGCTGGAACCCGCCTGCCTCCAAGCCTGGGGCTGCAGCCTGGAAATCGATGGGAGGGAACCACGTGCTCCTGCTTACCCAAAAGCTGGCTGTCCCGAGCCTGGGCCTCTTGATTCGCTCCACTTGGTTCTCCTTCCCCCCACAGCCTGGTGCCACACCTCCTAGTCCTTCCTCCACAAAGCCTTCCTCCACACCACCACCCAAAGTCCAGAATCACACAGTTCACCCACCCCCACACTCTCTCTAACTGTATTTCTAGAGGGGAACACTTCCCTGGGTGAGGATGACACCCCTGTCCCTTTCCTGGGAAAGCTTGATCACTTTCTCCCTCCGGGTCACAAGGGTTTTCAGGGCCACATTTTCAGGCCACCTCCCGAGCACATATGAAGAGAGGTGGCATCAAAACAGACCTCCACCTGGCAGGTAGTCCTTGACCTTCCTGCCTTTACTGAGCCTTTTTCCTCCCCCTCATCCTTCTAGCTTTAAGAAAACATCGGCTGGGCGACGTGTCTCCTGCCTATAATCAAAGCCCTTTAGGAGGGTGAGGTGGGAGGGTTGCTTGAGGCCAGGAGTTCAAGACAAACCTGGTCAACAGAGCAAGACCTCATCTCTACAAAAAAAAATTTAAAAAACTTGGCCGAGTATGGTGGTGCATGCCTGTAGTCCCAGCTACTCAGGAAGTTGAGGTGGGAGGATCGCTTGAGCCTAGGAGGTTGAGGCTGCAGTGAGCTGTGATCGTGCCACTGCACTCTAGCCTGGGTGACAGAGCAAGACCCTGTCTCTAAAAAAGGAAAACTTCACATTATATGCACTTTTGGTAAACCTCATATCCTTTTAGGAACTGAAATGAGATACACATTAATAAATGAATAAATATTACCTGCTTTCTCCAGACTGTCCTTTAATGCATCTTTTCCTCTCCTTGCTCAAGGACACTTGGGGTCTGAGGAGAAGGGGCAGGTACTGAGACGAGGGGACTGGGTGCTCCTCTAGGACCTGAGCCACTCAGGTTTTTGTAATCAGCTGCTCTCTGAGGAAGCACCTGAAACTTCATGGCTTGAAACCACCACCATCGTATTTGCTCCCAATTCTTCCCTTTTTTTTGAAACAGAGTTTCACTCTTGTTGCCCAGGCTGGAGTGCAGTGGCACAATCTCGGCTCACTGCAATCTCCGCCTCCGAGATTCAAGCAATTGTCCTGTCTCAGCCTCCCAAGTAGCTGGGATTACAGGCGCATGCCACCATGCCCAGCTAATTTTTGTATTTTTAGTAGAGACAGGGTTTCATCATGTTGGCGCTGGTCTCAATCTCCTGACCTCAGGTGATCTGCCCACCTCGGCCTCCCCAAAGTGCTGGGATTACAGGTGTGAGCCACAACACCTGGCCTTGTTTTTTTTTTTTTTTTTGTTGTTGTTGTTGTTTTATTTTTTTGAGACGGAGTCTCACTCTGTCACCCAGGCTGGAGTGCAGTGGTGCAATCTCGGCTCACTGTAAACCTCTGCCACCCAGGTTCAAGTGATTCTCCTGCCTCAGCCTCCTGAGTAGCTGGGATTACAGACGTGCACCACCACGCCCAGCTAATTTTTGTATATATATATTTATTAATAGTGATGAAGTTTTATCATGTTGGCCAGGCTGGTCTCAAACTCCTGATCTCAAGTGATCCACCCGCCTCGGCCTCCCAAAGTGCTGGGATTACAGTCGTGAGCCACCATGCCCAGTTCCCTTTTGGCTGAACTCTCTGGGCAGTCCTTCTGCTGGGCTGGCTGATGACCACCCGTGTACCTGTGTTCACAGATAGCTGAAGCCGGGCCTCCCTCTTCTTCTCCACATGCCTCTCCCTGTGGTCTCCTGACATGATCTCTAGGGTAAGTCTAAGGTAGCCAGACTTCTTTTTTTGTTTGTTTGTTTGTTTGTTTGTTTTAGACACAGGGTCTTACTCTGTCGTTTAGACTGGGGTGCAGTGACACGATCACAGCTCTCTGCAGCTTCAACTTCCTAGGCTCAAGTGATCCTCCCACCTCAGCCTCCAAAGTAGTTGGGTCTACAGGTGCATGCCACCACACCTGGGTAACTTTTTTTTTTTTTTTTTTTGAGACAGAGTCTTGCTCTGTCGCCCAGGCTGGAATGCAGTGGCACAATCTCGGCTCACTGCAAGCTCTGCCTCCCAGGTTCATGCCATTCTCCTGCCTCAGCCTCTCGAGTAGCTGGGGCTACAGGCGCCCGCCACCATGCCCAGCTAATTTTTTGTATTTTTAGTAAAGACGAGGTTTCACCATATTAGCCAGCATGGTCTCGATCTCCTGACCTCGTGATCAGCCCGCATCGGCTTCCCAAAGTGCTGGGATTACAGGTGTGAGCCACCGCGCCCGGCCGTTTTTTTTTTTGTTTGTTTTTTTTTTTTGAGACAGAGTCTCATTCTGTCACCCAGGCTGGAGTACAGTGGAGCGATCTCAGCTCACTGCAACCTCTGCCTCCTGTGTTTAAGCGATTCTCATGCCTCAGCTTCCCAAGTAGCTGGGCTTACAGGAGGACACCACCACACCCGGCTAATTTTTGTAAAAAAAATAATAATTTTAAAAATTATTTGTAGAGACAGGGGTCTCCCTATGTTGCCCAGTATGGTGTCAAACTCCTGGGCTCAAGTGATCCTCCGGCCTTGGCCTCCCACAGTGCTAGGATTACAGGTGTGAGCCACCATGCCCGGCCTATGCTAGCCAGACTTCTGATGTGGCTGCTCAGGGCTTCTGAGAACACAAAAGCAGGAGCTGCTAGGCCTCCTGATGGCTTAGGCTGGGACCTGGCACGGAATGTCACTTCTGCCACGTTCTGTAGTTAAGCATGTCATGGGGCCAGCCCAAGCTCAAGGGGAAATACATGAGGCGAGACAAGAATACTAAGAGGCCGCATTCATTGGGGGTCAACAAATTGACAGACTATAGTGACATACACAGAACTGAGCGGTGCATGAAAAATTCTAACAATGGTAATTTGGGGTCGTGGGAATGAGGGTACTTTGTGCTTTCCTATTTTTACATTTGAAAAAAGACAGGAAATAAAGGGGAGGCTGAAACAAGGCATCCAGCTCAGCGTCTGAGCAGAGCTGTCTCAGGCAGCTGTCACTGCAGGCCCCCTCGGTCCCCGGGGAGTTAGGGCCTCCTGAGGCCCCAACGTGGGAGAGGGCAGGGGAGCTGTCCCTGACTGTCAGGGCCTATCAGTGTGGCAAAAGGGCTCTTGTGCTGGGCCTGTCATTCACAACAGGCCTGATATGAGACATCGTGTCTGAGTGAGGTTACTCAGTGGCCAAGGCATCCTGTCAAAGCCAAAGAAGGTAATGTGCGTCACTCGTCACATAGGTCTCAACTCGGGCCCCATTCCTGAGGCTCAATGCCTATAATGCACCTTAAGTGTTATCTATTTATTTATTTATTTATTTTTGAGATAGAGTCTCACTCTGTCGCCCAGGCTGGAGTGCAGTGGCGCGATCTTGGCTCACTGCAACCTCCACCTCCCAGATTCAAGCGATTCTCCTGCCTCAGCCTTCCAAGTAGCTGGGATTACAGGCATGCGCCACCACACCTGGCTAATTTTTATATTTTTAGTAGAGATGAGGTTTTGCCATGTTGGCCAGGCTGGTTTTGAACTCCTGACTTCAGGTGATCCACCTGCCTCAGCCTCCCAAAGTGCTGGGATAACAGGTGTGAGCTACCGCTCCTCGCCTGTTTTGATTTTTTTAGAGATGAGGTCTCACTCTATGACCCAGGCTAGAGTGCCGTGGCACAATCAGAGCTCACTGCAGCCTCAAACTCCTGGGCTCAAGTGATCCTCCCATCTCAGCCTCCTGAGTAGCTGGGACCACAGGCATGTGCCACCATGCCTGGCTCTCTTGTTTTTCAATGAATCTTCTAATCTCTTCCTTCTAGAGTGGTCCATGGACCAGCAGTGTGGGTATGACCCATGAGCTCATTAGAAATGCAGAATCTAGGGTCTCATCCCAGACCTGCTGAGTCAGAATTTGTATTTTAAGGCCAGGCCTGGTGGTGCACATCTGTAATCCCAACACTTTGGGAGGCCGAGGAGGGTGGATTGCTTGAGGCCAGTAGTTCGAGACCAGCCTGGGTAATATGGTGAAACCTGTCTCTATTAAAAATACAAAAAATTAGCCAGTCATGGTGGCAGGCACCTGTAATCCCAGCTACTCAGGAGGCTGAGGCAGGAGAATTGCTTGAACCTGGGAGGCAGAGGTTGCAGTGAGCCAAGATCATGCCATTGCACTACAGCCTGGGCAACAGGGTGAGACGCCATCTCAAAAAAAAAATAAGAATTTGCATTTTAATAACATCCCTAGGTGATTCCTGTGCACATTAATGTTTGAGAAGCCTGCTCAAATCATCTTATTAAGGTCACCATTATACTACATTGCATTTTTTTTGGTGGTAGTGATAACATCTCATTTTATTCAACGCAAGCATTTAAAACAGCATTGTCCAGTAGAAATTGCCTTTACCTGCACTGCCCAATGTGGAGGTCGCCAGCCATGTGTAGCTACAGAACACTTGAAATGTGTCTAGTATGATAGAACTGAATCTTAAATTTTATTTAAAGTTAATTAATAAAATCTTAATTTAAGGCTGGGCGCAGTGGCTCACGCCTGTAATCCCAGCACTTTGAGAGGCCAAGGTGGGAGGATCACCTGAGGTCAGGAGTTCGAGACCAGCCTGGCCAACATCGTGAAACCACGTCTCCATTAAAAATACAAAAATTAGCTGGGTATGGTGGCGGGCGCCTGTAAACCCACTTACTCAGGAGGCTGAGGCAGGAGAATCGCTTGAGCCCAGGAGGCAGAGGTTGCCATGAGCCGAGATCATGCCCCTGCACTCCAGCCTGGGTGACAGAGCGAGACTGCATCTCCAATAAATAAATAAATGAAAATAAATTTTAAGTAGCCACACAGCTAATGGCTACCATATTAGATGGCATGAATTAAAAATCTACTTTGTGTTTTGGCCGGGCGTGGTGGCTCATGCCTGTAATCCCAGCACTTTGGGAGGCCAAGGCAGGCAGATCACAAGATCAAGAGATCAAGACCATCCTGACCAACATGGTGAAACCCTGTCTCTACTAAAAATGCAAAAAATTACCTGGGCGTGGTGGCGAGTGCCTGTAGTCCCAGCTACTTGGGAGGCTGAGGCAGGAGAATCACTTGAACCCAGGAGGTGGAGGTTGCAGTGAGCCGAGATGGCACCACTGCACTCCAGCCTGGGTGACAAGAGCGAGATTCTGTCTCAAAAAAAAAAAAAAATCTACTTTGTGTTTTAATGGCTCATAAACCGCTTGGGTGCGGTGGCTCATGCCTGTAACCCCAACATTTTGGGAGGCTGAGGCAGGCAGATCACGAGGTCAGGAGTTCGAGACCAGCCTCGCCAACATGGTGAAACCTCATCTCTACTAAAGATACAAAAAATTAGAGGTGTGGTGCGCGCCTCTAATCCCAGCTACTCAGGAGCCTGAGGCAGGAGAATCACTTGAACCCGGGAGGCGAAGGTTGCAGTGAGCTGAGATCACGCCATTGCACTGCAGCCTGGGCGACAGGGTGAGACTCTTGTCTCAAAAAAAGAAAGAAAGAAAGAAAACAAAGAAAGAAAGGAGGAAAGGAAGAAAAGAAGAAAGGAAGAAAGGAAGAAAATTGCCAGCAGCCTGGCCCCTCCTCTGTCTGCAGGGGGATTTGCATGGCCCGTGTACTCCTTGTTACAGTTTTACAGACAAGGCAGGAAAGATTGTGTCACTGAATGCCATGAAGCCTCAGGAAGCTCCACCTCCTCCACATCCTTATTTGAGGTTGCTGGGATTTCCTGGGGTGGTGGTGGCCTTGGGGTGGAGTTAGGAAAGGGGCTTTGGGTTCAGAGCATCTCCCTCCTGCCCCTCTGCCAGCACACTGACCAAAGTGATCACAGCCTTCTGGGAATGAACCTCTGCTCCCCTATCATTAGTACAGGGATCTCAGCAATACCTTTCCATTAGTGAAATGAGTCAAATTCAAAATAAATGACTGGCTAGAAATGTTATATAGGTACCTCTGTCGCCATTAAAATGGGGCATAAGAATTGGGTGAGCCCAGGCTTGTAAAAGCTTTGGGACATCTTAGTGCAGAACTCCTGCAGGACTCACCCCCCACTCCCACCCACCCACACACTTAAGAAGGAATTCCTGCCTGGTACTGCTCTCTCATCCCATCCTGCTGTCCATGTGTATTAGTCTGTTTTCATGCTGCTAATAAAGACATACCGGAGACTGAGTAATTTATAAAGGAAAGAGGTTTAATTGATTCACAGTTCCACATGGCTGGGGAGGCCTCACAATCATGGCGGAAGGCAAAGGAGGAGCAAAGTCACATCTTGCATGGTGGCAAGCAAGAGAGAGCACGTGCAGGGGATCTTTTTTTTTTTTTTTTTTTTTTTTTTTTTGATACAGAGTCTTGCTCTGTCACCCAGGCTGGAGTGCAATGCCACGATCTCAGCTCACTGCAGCCTCTGCCTCCTGGGTTCAAGTGATTCTCCTGTCTCAGCCTCCTGAGTAGCTGGGACTATAGGCGCCTGCCACCATGCCTGGCTAATTTTTGTATTTTTAGTAGAGACGGGGTTTCACCATATTGGTCAGGCCGCTCTTGAACTCCTGACCTCAGGTGATCCACCTGCCTCGGCCTCCCAAAGTGCTGAGATTACAGGTGTGAGCCACTGCACCCGGCTGGAACTCTCCTTTCTAAAACCATCAGACCAGCAGGGCATGGTGGCTCATGCCTGTAATCCCAGCACTTTGGGAGGCCAAGTCTGGTGGATCACCTGATGTCAGAAGTTTTAGACCAGCCATGCCAAAATGGTGAAGCCTCGTCTTTACTAAAACTACAAAAAAAGTTAGCCAGGCATGGTGGTGTGCACCTGTAATCCCAGCTACTCCAGAGGCTGAGGCAGGAGAATCACTCCTGGGAGGCGGAGGTTTCAGTGAGCTAAGATCATGCCACTGCACTCCAGCTTGGGTGACAGAGCAAGACTCTGTCTCAATAATAATAATAATAATAATAATAATTAAATAAAACCATCAGATCTCATGAGACTTATTCACTATCACAAGAACAGCATGGCAAAGACCCGCCACCAGGTCCCTCTCACAACACAGGGGAGTTATGGAAGCTACAATTTGAGACTTGGGTGGAGACACAGCCAAACCATATCATCATACATCCTAAAACATGCACTTCCACCGAGCTTTAGGTGTAGGTGGCATGAACCTATTTTGCATGCTCACTAATAATTTTTTTTCTCCTTCCTTAAGGGCTGAGATTTGCTTTCATTGTAGCACACTACCAGCAGTCAGGTGGAGGGAATGAGAACTACAGCTCTCCCTGCCTTTTACTGCTGGGGGCTTAGGTCAGTTTCTAATACCAAGAAAAGAGGTCTCAGGCTTGTAAAGAGGCTTTAGGTTCAAGTAAACATGAGGACAGTCTTGGAGGATGGGAAGGAGCTTTGGAGAGTGACTTGGAACCCAAAGGCTAGTGTATTTATGGCCCGATTTTACTGTATTTATTGATTTTACTGTATTCCCTCCAAAATACCAGGATTTACAATTTAAGACTTTATGGAAACAGGGGCTGGGGGATACCCAAGTGATGAGAGAACCCATGGAGGCTTATATTGATATTTATTGCTGTCATTCAATAGAAGAGTAGAGGAGCTTGGTGACCTTTTATACCCCTTTAACAAGGGGTTCTGTTCAATCCCTTTCCATATCCACCCCTGGCACACTGTTTTGCTTTGCTTCGCTTCAGACACCATGGATACCAAGAGGCATGATTTTTCCAAGGCTCATGCTCTATCCAGATGTTCAATGTCTTGTGGATTTGCAATTTGGAGTGCCTCTATCACAGCCCAGAGGCACTCGTGATTTGCATTACAGGACCTCACACTTTCAGGTTATGGAAAATGTATGGAGATGTCAATGACATATTAGAATTCTGTATAAAAGGAGGAACTTAAGGGTTCTTTTGTTTGTTTGTTTTTGGTAGGAGGAGGTTGCAATCTGCAGATGTGCCTGGGTGGTGGGTGGGGGCGGGGAGGGCGGTGTTTTACGTTTCTTTTCTCTCCCAGCAGTGTCTGACCTCTCTACGCTCAGATGTATCATATCCACTCACTCAAATGTGGAGCCACTCTCAGATGACAGAATCACCAAAAAACACCAGGAGAAGGTATTAAGATGCAGATTTCTGGGTTGGCTTTAGACAGAGAGAGAGAATAAAAATGTTATCTCTTGGGGTGGGGACAATTGTCATTTTAATAAGCTGGGTCCCAGAAATATGCATTTTAAATAGGCCAGGGCCAAGGACTCTGAATTTGCTGGATTTTTATTTATTTTTTTAGAGTGTTGCTCTGTTACCCAGGCTGGAGTGCAGTGGTGCAATCATAGCTCACTGCAGCCTCCACCTCCCCGACTCAAGTGATCCTCCCACCTCAGACTCCCCAGTAGCTGAGACTACAGATGCATGCTACCATGCCTGGCTAAGTTTTTTATTTTCTGTAGAGATGGGGTCTCGGTGTGTTGCCTGGGCTGGTCTTAAATTCCTGGTCCCAGGTGATCATCCCGCCTTGGCTTCCCAAAGTGCTGGGATTACAGGCATGAACCACTGTGCCTGGCCCAGCAACATAATTTAAGAATATGAATTAAAATTCAGTAGATTCATCTTCCTGTGGGAAAGGTACATTGTGCACCCCCCGCCCTCCAACCAATTAGGTCTATCCTTATTTATTTAGAGACAGTCTTGCTCTGTTGCCCAGGCTGGAGTGCAGTGGCACAATCTTGGCTTACTGCAACCTACGCCTCCCGGGTTCAAGCGATTTTCCTGACTCAGCCTCCTGAGTAGCTGGGATTACAGGTGCCCACCATGCCCAGCTAATTTTTACGTTTTTAGTAGAGACAGGGTTTCACCATGTTGGCCAGGCTGGTTTCAAACTTCTGACTTCAGTTGTTCTTTTCGCCTCGGCCTCCCAAAGTGCTGGGATTGCAGGCATGAGCCACTGTGCCCGGCCTATTCAAGTCTATTCTAGATGCCTTATGAGCAGACACTTGTGCTCAGCATCAGGAGCCTGACCTTCTAGCAGGAAGCCCTAGGCTTTATTCCCAGCTCTGGCCCATGTGAGCCATGCAGCCCCTGTGAGCTATTTAACTTCTGTGCTTGTCCATAGATGGGGGCAGCGCCACATATAACCTTCCAGACAGGATCCCAAGGGCGCCACATGCAACGGCTATGAAAGCATGCTACCTTCTGAAAAGCACTGCCATGTACTGCGTGGGTCTCCATTGTCGTTAGAAGTCATCTGCAGTGCCAGGCCTTCCCAGGCTCCTGAGAGAACACACATGACAGCGATCAGGAAACTGAAAAAGCTGTTCATGCTAGGCGGCTGGGTGCAGGAAGAAAGGGCAACTACATTCTGTTAATACATTCGGGTGCTGTCATTTCAGAAATGGGAAGTGGGACTTATATGTTACTTTATATTCTTTCTTTTTTTTTTTTGAGATGGAGTTTCACTCTTGTTGCCCAGGCTGGAGTACAGTGGTGCGATCTCAGCTCACTGCAACCTCCGCCTCCCAAGTTCCAGCAATTCTCCTGCCTCTGCCTTCTGAGTAGCTGGGATTAGCAGTGCACGCCACCACGCCCGGCTAATTTTTTTGTATTTTAGTAGAGATGGGCTTTCATCCTGTTGGCCAGGCTGGTCTCAAACTCCTGATCTCAAGTGATCCACCTGCCTCGAACTCCCAAAGTGCTGGGATTACAGGCGTGCCCAGCCCTTCATATTCTTTGAACCATGAGCTCATGAATGTACCATGAGCATGTATTACTTTTATGATTCCCTGGTTAAACACAAATGAGATTTTTACTGTCAGCCTCAGACCCTTGTGTTCAACTAATATGTGACCACATAGTGACTGGGCAGGCCAGCCCTCACTGCTGGGCAGAGCTGACTCCAGTGCTTGATGCAAGGGGATGCCAACACAAAAGAGGACAGGGATGGCATATGGGTCTCCTCAGGAGCATGGGGTCCTCGTTCCACCCCGTTGTTTCTAGAGGGGCTAGCCCATCCCTCTCTGGGCTTCAGTGTCCTGATCAGTAAAATGAGGGGATGAGGATGCAGACAAGAGCTGCAAGATCTTTTTCAGTGAATTTCCTGACACTTAGGGCTTCTGGGTGAAGCCACTGAGGGGCTAGGGACATCGGTTTGGGGTTGTTCTCTGGGATTCTTGCAACCTTCAGAAATGCCCCAGGAGCTGACTGGTGTGGCGCCGGCCAGTCTTCTAGCCTGGCTATAGAGGAAGCAATCAACGGGCCAGGGGCAATTAAGGGCCAGAGTAAATCTACTCTCCCCCAGAATCAGCCCTGTTGGGAACGGCTGTGTGCTATTCCAAGTTCATGCCAATTAACTAACACTCTCTCATTTAGAGGGCAATTCCTTCTAAAACACACTGTGACTTCCAAGGAGCTGGATAATGCAATTCTGCCTGCTCCAATTACCGTGATCCGAGATCACCCAGGCCCAAACTCCATGAGGGCGCCTCAGCCCAGCAGCCTGTCATTCCCTCTTCCCTCAGCCTCACTGGAGGTTGTCGTCTTCCTGGGGAGCTGGAAAGCTGCAGGCAAGGGGCTGTGCAGTCATGACACCACTATTCACCCTGGCCTGGGGCCAGCTCAGATAATACCTCTCATCACCCCCGGGGCCCCTCGCTTCCTTCTTCCTCTGGGATGGGTATGTGAGGCATCTGGGAAGTCACCACCTACCACCCCAAAGGGTGGTGAGGTAATCCCCAGACACGGTCTAACAAGTGCCTGGGGTGAAAGAGGCTCTGTGTGGAGGAGAGTGCCTCCCTGTGTTGCTCTGAACCCCCAGGAGCACTTCACTGATATCCTGGCACCCAGAAGAGATGAGAAGTTAACGCGGTTTTCTTGTCATCACAAAAGCATCTTTCATGCCATAATCGAGTCTGGATTGGAGGGAAGATTTCACTAGACAGTGGCCAGAGGCTAGACACTCTGTTGGTTATTGCCCACCCCTCCACCCACTCAGCCATTTGAGGATTCCTATTGTAAGCAAGAAAGTGAAGGAGACAGGCACACTGCCTAAGAGGGGGATGCTGACATGCTAAGCACAGGGAAGCAGGACGACGTTCAGTTTTGACCAGAGTTAGCCCTGCAAGAGCAGGCTCTGTCACCTGGGCTGAGGGGGTGTGTTCTGTGATGCTGATGACTAGGGACTCAAAGGAGAGGGGCAGCATCCTCCAGAAGGTGGCTCCAGGCTGGTCACCAGCAGAAGGAAAAAGGGGAAAGTTGTCTTAACTGCGCCCACCTGAGTTTCAGGCACTTGACAACTGTCTCATCAGGTAGCTGTGGAGCACCCTCCCCTCCACTTCTCCACCTCCTGTAGCCCCTGCCTCCTCAGAGACTTGGCCATGCTTCCCCACAGCATACTCTGGAGGATACGGATGTGGGGAAAGCGTGCTTCCTGCCATTTAACTTCTCAGAAGGCAGCAATGGTAATGACAAATCCCAGAACTTAATGTTTTTACCTCTAACCAAAGTCAAAATGGCAGGTGCCCACAGTTCCAGTCTGTGCAATGACAGCAAACCCCGGGGAGTGACTGGGGAGGGCACAGAATCTGGAATAGCCTTTTGCTCTTGCATTAACTTTGAAATTTTTATTACAAAAATGTCTTTCCAAAAAAAATTTTTTTTTTGAGATAGAGTCTTGCTGTTACCCAGGCTGGAGTACAGTGGCACTATCTCAGCTCACTGCAACCTCTGCCTCCCAGGTTCAAGCAATTCTCCTGCCTCAGCCTCCCAAGCAGCTGGGATTACAGAAGCGCGCCACCACACCCAGCTAATTTTTTATATTTGGTAGAGATGGGGTTTCACCATGTTGGCCAGGCTGGTCTCAAACTCCTGACCTCAAGTGATCTGCCTGCCTTGGCCTCCCAAAGTGTTGGGATTACAGGCGTGAGCCACCACGCCTGGCCAAAAACATTGTTTTTTTTAATAGTAGAAGAGAGTATACAAGTGATTTAAAAAAACACAACAAAATCATTCTGCCCAGGTAATCACTGTATTAGTTGTGTGTCCTTCAAGATCATATAGGACACCACCTAATAGGGGGATGCTGATAAGTGCTTTTCTCTGCCCTCAAATTGCTTTCCCCTCAGAAATGTTGCATGTGGTAGAGTTGTATCATATACAGTGCTTAACTTTTGCAAATTCATCTGTGCCTAACCAAAAAAAAAAGAAAAGAGAAAAAGAAAAAAGCAGGCAATAGTGCCAGTGTCATTCCACTCAACAGGCATCTGCCCAGAATAAGCACAGTGGGAAAAGTGGTGTAAGGTTCCAGTTCCCTCATGCGATTCCAGCGTTTAAAGAAACATTTTTCTGGCCGGGCGCAGTGGCTCACGCCTGTAATCCCAGCACTTTGGGAGGCCGAGGCGGGCGGATCATGAGGTCAGGAGATCAAGACCATCCTGGTTAACACCGTGAAACTCCGTCTCTACTAAAAATAGAAAAAAATTAGCTGGGCGTGGTGGCGGGCGCCTGTAATCCCAGCTACTCAGGAGGCTGAGGCAGGAGAATGGTGTGAACCCAGAAGGAGGAGCTTGCAGTGAGCTGCGATGTTGCCACTGCACTCCAGCCTGGGCGACAGAGTGAGACTCCGTTTCAAAAAAAGAAACATTTTTCTTTAAGTCCCTACATTCAAGGCCAGTAGTACTTCAGCGGGAACTCAAATAGAGAAATGGTGATCTGCTCCAATGCTTTAGGTGCAATTTAGACTATGTCATTCTGTCTTAAGCTCAACCTAGGACCCAACCCCTAGCAAGATGATTCCACTGGTCACATACTATTTTTTTTTTCCCATTTAGTCTTCAAAGTTGTTCTGAACCAGTTTATACAGTTGACCCTTGAACAACTCAGAGGTTAGAGGCACCGACCCCCTTATGCAAAAATCTATGTATAACTTTTGACTCTCCCAAAGCTTAACTACTATAGCCTTCTGTTGACTAGAACCCTTACTGATAATATAAACAGCCATTCAACACATATTTTGTATGAATTACATACTGTATTTTGTATTCTCACAATAGGGTAGGCTACAGAAAACGTTATTAAGAAAATCATAAAGAAGAGAAAATATATTTACTATTCATTAAGTGGATCATCATAAAGGTCTTCATCATTGTTGTCTTCACATTGATGAGGAGGGGAAGAGGAGGAGGTGGAGGGAGAGGAGGAGGGACTGGTTTGTTGTCTCAGGGGTGGCAGAGGTGGAAGAAAATCCTCATATAAATGGACCCGCACAGTTCAAACCTGTGTTGTTCAAGGGTCAGCTGCATAATATGTCTTGTTCTTTAGATACTTAATACAAGACATTTCACAGCATGAAATGTATAAGATGTTCAATGGAAATAGTTCTCTTTTCATATCACAAAGGAAACAAACATCACCATGAAAAAAGACAAACTAGGAACAAATTTACAAACCAGGAATATATCACTTTATTCATTTCCAGATTATGAGTATGACACAGCATATACATATATTTAGATAATATATAAAACATAGAATAAACCGCAGGAAGAAATATTGGTCTGGAATTCCTTATGGGCCATCTTTAATTCTGTAAGTTCATGGTAAAGGTATCTCCCCCCACACTGGGGCAGGCGGCGGAATAAGCTCCAGCGTTCATGCGCCACTCACAGGACTGCTTACCCCCACTGCACTTACAATGCAGTCACAGAGTTACGGCATGTTCACCGGTGTCCATGACAAGCAACACCAAGTATAAATAACAGAACTACAGCAGAGCAAACTAAGATAAATATGTTTTTGCATCGTCCTCCACATAGTTTCCTTTTAAAAAGAAGAGTCACATCCAGGGGTCTATCCCTCGAGTCACAATTCCAGTTATTGCTGAAGGGAAAAAACAGAGAAGTGGCATCAGTTTAAGTTACTAGAAAATAGATGGTCAGTGTCACAGGCCCCCTGCCTCTGGTGACACTTGAGTGGACAGTGACTGTGGAGAATGGACACACATCTGCAGCACACAGGCAGGGAAGCACCCACCCTTGTGTTAGCAGGGACCTATCAGCTGATAATACTTTTGGGCTGATTAAGAGTTAAGATGGGGCTGGGCACGGTGGCTCACGCCTGTAATCCCAGCAGTTTGGGAGGCCGAGGCAGGCGGATCACTTGAGGTCAGGAGTTTGAGACCAGCCTGGCCAGCATGGTGAAACCCCGTCTCTATAAAAATTAAAAATTAGTTGGGCATGGTGGCAGGCGCCTGTAATCCCAGCTACTCAGGAGCCTGAGGCACAAGAATCCCTTGAACCTGGAAGGCAGAGGTTGCAGTGAGCTGAGATCGTGCCACTGCACTCTAGCCTGGGCAACAGGGCAAGACTCCATCTCAAAAAAAAAAAAAAGTTAAGATATTTTCTGAAGTTCTGTGAGCCAGTAGTAGGAAGTGCCTCATCCCCTCTCACCGTGGAGAGGGGAAACAGCAGTAACAGAGTATTTCACAGGAGCATTCCTGATTCAGTGCTGGAAGGAGACCTAAGATCTTGCGATATAAAGGCACCCCAAAGTGTCAACACAGAGAGGCTCTGCAGCTGAATTCTTAGACCAGAGCACCTTCCAGGAACACAGCTCCCCCCACTCACTGGTGGACCTTCCTCTGGGGAAGACTGGCTTACCTTTGCCTTGTTCTGAACTGGGAGATACAGTTTGAACTCTGCCGGCAGCTCATCTTCTGAGTAGAGTCTGTCTGAGAAGTAAACCCGTCGGATGCGACAATTTGCATGGATCTGTCAAGGCAATGCTTCTTTTGAGAGGCGAAATGTGACTGTTCTCCCCCTTTTCCTGAATCTTCTAGAGGCCCTCTTCCAGGACTGGAAACGCGTCATCTCCGGCATCTCCTTGGCTTGTCTTAGGGATGGATTCTGGCAAGAGGGAGGTCTTACTTGCTGTATTCACCTCTATACCTGACCCGACTTCTGAATATTTCCTGGACCTTTGTGAGGCCAAAGCTCCCTGGACAGTGTGGCAACTGAAGCCAGAAACCCACACTGTTCTGCTATGTGGGCCACAAGCCAATATTAGACGCAGTGTGCCCTATCCCCAACCCAGGGCTCTATCTGGGAAAGGAGCAGTACCTGCACTCTGAGGGTCTCGATGTAATTGGTGCCGTATGCTCGCCGTGTGAAGTCTAGCAAGTTGAACTGAATCTGGTTCCAGCCGTCATCCAGCCGCATGGGCATGGTGCAGATGAAGGGTTTGACCCGGGTGGTGCTCTGGTAGTTACTTGCCCGAAAGCGACGACGCACATTCTTGTCATCTAGTACCTGTGAAATACAGAGAAGAAGCATCACACTAGCTCTGTCTTGGAAGAAGCACACAACCTTGTCCAGACAAGGACCTGAATTCCCACAGCTTGCTTTCCCAAGGCTGAGACTTAGAGGAAAATAAACAGACCAGACACAGGTCATACACTGCATGCAGATGGCCCGGAAGTAGCAAGTTTATCTTGTTTGTTGCCAAGACAACACCAGCTGCTTATGACATATAACACAGTCAGCAGGCTCTCAGACCATAGAGTATATAAATGTTCTTCCTTTTGAAAAATCAGAAATACTAAAACAGAACAGCCACCCACTATTAAATAATCACTCCCCAAATGGATACCACGCTAACTCTGACACTTTGAAATTACTAGGTTTTCTAGGTGCTGTTTCTTTAAAAACCTGATTAAATTTTATTACTAATATCAAATTTACATAACAAGGACTGCACTGGGCTTATACTAGAAGCAGAAAAGAATACATGCAAAAGGATAAAGATACTTTGTAGGGTCACTTTTTCCCATCAGTTCAAAGGCTATCACTTTGGTATAGCCAAGAGTGGACACATTCATGTACACATACTTACCTGCACTTCGAAGGTAAAATACTTCTTCAGGTTTTTGATAATCATGACAAGGAAAGGAAGTTTAATTCCCAGCGTCTTCTTGGGGTCTGCAGGGCATGTGATATATGTGGTGCTGTAGAGAGAGGAAATACTAATAAACACACTCCTGGACTCTCTTCCTTTGTGGTATGCACAACAATAACACACGGTCCAAGAGGATACACTGGAAAGCAGATCTAAAAGATTCAGACACGCCACCCAGTGAATCCCTCAGCCCTAAGTCAGCGGCTGCTTTAACAAACGCTGGACCCAGAAACAAAAGCTTAACACAGGACTAGACAGCAGCAATAAAATATCTGAAAAACAAAGCCAGACAGTGGATCTTAGAAGCTCCTCCAGTGAGAGAAGACCTCAATTCTGGTCCAGGGGAGCCATCGAATGACAGAAAACCAAAACTGAGACCTCTATGGCACTGAAAACCACACTGTCCACCCACTGGATGAGCTGTACAACACTGCCCACTCCCCACCCCAACACACACTTTGGTTAATAATATAGCTAATACTGACATCGTGCTTACTATGTGCTAAGCAAGGCTTTACGTGTTTTATATATATTCATTTATTTACTCCTCGCAATAACCCTATAAGGAAAATGTACTATTATTCTGCCCATTGTACAGATGAGTATGCTAAGGTCTGGGGGATTCAGTAACTTGCCCATGGTAAGCTCTAAGTGGCAGAGATAGACTCACATCCGGCACTCTGACTCCGCAGTCTGTGCTATTAACCTCTATGACGTACTGCCTCCCTAGTATATGATGTCTCTGGGAGAACAGAGGTGGCAACCTACCTTACATTTGTCCCTTCAATCTCTAGCACCAGGGACTGGATGTCATTATCAGTGATTCTTTTGATGTGGCCATTCCGTACCTACAAGAAAGAAAATTCGATTAGTACTGAAATATCTGACAAGGCTGAATAGGACTATTTAAAGAAAACCACGGTAGCCCAAGAGGCGTACAAAGAAATTTGTGACACAGCACACTGAAGCTTATATGTAAGTAAGCCAAGCTATTACCTCTAGACAGGGTCACACCAACCACCAAGGGAATCCCAGGTAACTTGGCAATCCCTAAATCTGGGGAAACTTCTCCCCAAATACATCAACTCAATTTAGATTCAGCTAATATCTACTGAATGCCTACTATGCACCAGGAATATCACACACATCCCCTTCTCACTTAAGCCTCACACAATAAAAACAACAAGGCAGGTGATACTGTTTTCATTTTACAAATGTGGACATTGGCACCCCGGAACTGCAAATGCCAAACCCTAAGTAGGAGACTAAGGATTCAGCAGCCTTTCCACTGCCTCATACTGCCTCGTAGATTTCTTTCTTTCTCTTTCTTTTTTCTTTTTTCTGAGACGGAGTCTCGCCCTGTCGCCCAGGCTGGAGTGCAATGGCGCGATCTTGGCTCACCGCAACCTCTGCCTTCCAGGTTCAAGCGATTCTCTTGCCTCAGCCTCCTGAGTAGCTGGGATTATAAGCGTGCAGCACCATGCCCAGCCGATTTTTTTTTTTGTATCTTTAGTAGAGACGGGGTTTCACCATGTTGGCCAGGCTGGTCTCGAACTCCTGACCTTGTGATCCACCTGCCTTGGCCTCCCAAAGTGCTGGAATTACAGGCATGGGCCACTGCGCCCGTCCTGCCTTGTATATTTCTTTGGCCAGAAAAGCCAAAGAAAAGCTGAGTGTTACTGAGGAGGGCAGCAACAAAAAGTGAAAGCATTCCTCCCCTGGAGTTATCCTGCTTCATGCTTCCCTATCTGCTTTTGCCTAATTTTCTACTTTTTAAAGCAGGAATTCAATTCCCATCTGTGCCACACACAGATGCCTTCTTTAGCATTTTCAGCCCACACTGACCTCTCTTTTCTCTGATTTGTTTTTCTGGCTCATGTTGTCTAGACGACATAATTTAGCACCTCATCCTACATTGTTTTGTATTGTTTGCTGCATATGTAGGAGGTAGATGATGGGGAGGAATCAATATTCAATACAGATTCCTCCTCTCAAAATATTTAGGAAAGAACAATTATCTTCAAGCATTAAACTTTTAAGCAACTAATATGGACAGAACAGAGATATGCAAAGGCACTTTCAAAACAGGGCTGGGGCCAGGCACAGTGGCTCATGCCTGTAATCCCAGCACTTTGGGAGGCCAAGGCAGGAGGATAGCTTGAGCTCAGGAGTTCAAGATCAGCTTGGGCAACATAGTAAGACATTGTTTCTACAAAAAATTAGCCAGGTGTGGTGGCGTGCACCTGTAGTGTGCCTATAGTCCCAACTACTTGGGAGGCTAAGGTGGGAGGATCACTTGAGCTCAGGAGGTCCAGGCTGCAGTGAGCTGTGTTTGTGCCACTGCACTCCAGCCTAGAGGAGTAGGTGACAGAGCAAGACCCTATCTCAAAAAAAACAAAACAAAAAACGAAAAAAAAAAAACAAAACCAAAAAAACATGGCTGGGGTCAGGCATGGTGGTTCACGCTTGTAATCCCAGCACTTTGGGAGGCCGAGGCGAGAGAACTGCTTGAGCTCAGGAGTTCAAGACCAGTCTGGACAACATGATGAAACCCCATCTCTACAAAAAATTAGCCAGGTGTAGTGGCACGTGCCTATCGTCTCAGTTCCTCAGGAGGCTGAGGTGGGAGGATAACCTGAGCCTGGGAGGTCGAGGCTGCAGTGAGCCGTGATTGTGCCACTGTACTCAAGCCTGGGCGACAGAGTGAGATCCTGTCTCAAAAATGAACAAACAAACAAAAAAACAAGGCTGGACTATTAGGGCTGAATGGAATAACATATGAAAAAGATCAACTAGGTTTAGAACAGGAGACATCAGAAAGACAAACATACGGTCTTTCTTTGTGGAAAGGGCTGTGTTAGGCTGCCATAATCAATGACTCAATCACACTGACTAAAGCTCCTCTTGTTCACTCATCAGCCTGCTGATTACGATTTGGCTATTAGACTTGCATATGGGGATAAATCAGTGTTGGGTCTGGTAGTTTTATTTTTCAACATAAATTATTAATAATATGTTTCTGTTTTTAGACATTAGTCTCTGTGAGCTCTGTCACTGTGAGTCTGATCCACTCATGGTCTGCCTGGTGTTCTAAAGGTGACATCTGATGTCACTGCCCACCTTTTCCACAACTGCAACCAAGTCTTGTCTCCTTAAAAAAGAATAAGCTCAAGCAAGAGCCAAGACCAGTTATGAAGCATCATTTCTATCTTCGACAATGCTTAGCACAGTGCTAGCCATAAACTAAGCGTTCAAATATTTGCTGACTTCTGGAATCTGTCACCCTAAGAGCTGGCACATATGAATAGGTTCAAGGAGGGTTTTAAAAATTCCTGGATAACACATCCCCCGTGGACTATTATAGGAAGCCAGAGATCTGGGGCATATCACAAAGCCCACAGGGCCGCCAGCATGAAGAATGCTTCCACAAATGGGTGCCCATTGTCAGAGACAGAATACTGGGCTAGACGGGACCCCAATCCCTGCCAATGGAGCATTTCTTAGGCTCTCAAGACACAAAACGTCACATTGAAACGATTCTCAAACAAAGCTGGCAATGTTCAATGCCCTCCTGCTTTGAATTCTGGGCCCCTTTCCAAGGAGATTAAGAGCACAAAGGCCTGGGTCTGTGCAGAATACGCCACTACTGCCCGCCTCACTCGCCATCTACTGTTCCCAACCTAAGTGCCCACCTCACTCGCCATCTACTGTTCCCAACCTAAGTGCCCACCTCACTCGCCATCTCATGTTCCCAACCTAAGTGCCCACCTCACTCGCCATCTACTGTTCCCAACCTAAGTGCCCACCTCACTCGCCATCTCATGTTCCCAACCTAAGTGCCCACCTCACTCGCCATCTACTGTTCCCAACCTAAGTGCCCACCTCACTCGCCATCTCATGTTCCCAACCTAAGTGCCCACCTCACTCGCCATCTCATGTTCCCAACCTAAGTGGCGATATTCCTCCTGTATTTTCTGTGGAAAACCAAGCAGATTCAGTGAAGAAGGAATTAATGAAGAAATCATTTCCAACTAATGCGAGCAGCCCTACTGATAAGAGCTGGCAGTATTCCAACAAGATGCAAACACTACTTTTATAACACACCACTAATTATTCTCAATAACATAACCATTCTTTAAAACGGGACAAACTGCAAAGAGCAAATAGACAGTTAAATTGACAGGATTAAGAAGTAACTTGGGCCTGAAAACTGCTATTGCTAAAAAGCAACATGTTGCTATTGATCCACCCTTATTTAAAGCATGCCCTCAAATTTCACATCACTCAAGCTCTCTCTGGCCAGTGTCAACAAGAGGCCTCCCTCAGTTCCAGAAAGACCAGCCAGATCTCACAGGGAGAAAATGTTAGGGAATCTGCCTTCTGCCCATCTCAAAGTTTACGACTTCCCTGGAACTCCAGCAGATATGACCTATTCAGGTCTTCACAGAAGAAAACAAAGCCGTACAATGCACACAGAAGCCAATGCAGGCTGGAAGCTGGATAGACTGTAGTATTCCTGCACTTCTGCCCAGAGGCAAGCTAACTTTTAGTTGGATTTTCAATAAATTACTAAAGAGATTTCTTTTTCTCCCAGTGTTACTAGATAACAAACACACTCACAAATTTAAGTTTTACAAAATGAATGAATGTATTCCACAAAACAAGGGAACTTGGAGGGGTCAAGGCAACTTTGTTGAAGGAATGCCCATCAGTCTCTCTAGATTTTGAACCTGGCTGGTGGTAAGACAAACTAAACAGAGCTTTTCCCCAAGAGACTGTTTAACCCCCGATGAAGAAAAACACAAGTATCCCCATGTGAAAAGTCTCCAGAGGTTTGAAATCAAATTAAGTGGATTTGTTAGTGAATTGTGATTTTTCTCCTTTATTAAGTTTAAAGGGCTGCAAATACAAACTCACTGGAAAAGAGTAGCGTGGAGGTGGTAAGGGCGATCAATCAGATATGTGCATTAGAGGGTAATTTCCCAAAGCCTCTTCTCTAGGCTCTAAAACTAGGATCAAAGGGGAGAGGCGACAGGCAATTTGGGGCAAAGGCTCCCCACCACCCTGGCCATGTGGCTGTCATTGCCTAATATTATAAAGGTCTTCCAGGAAAGCAACCGTCTCCTAAAACCAGCTTCTGAAAACAGCATACAGGAAGATACATGTCTCAGAAAGTATCAACGTCCTTTCCTTAGCTCCTTCCAGTTCAGAGGTCACTGGGCAGGCGTGGCTTTGGGATGAAGATAAAATGAACTGCTCAGCATTTATTGCTCATGGCGGAAGCAGGTTTTAACATGTTCTGTCCTTCTCTAGATCACAAAGAGCCGACTGTTTTTGATTTGTTAATTCTTTTTCATTCATGACACATTCCCACTATCAAAGTGTGGCCTATGAGTGCTTTATTCCTCAAAAAAAATAAAATAAAAATAAAAATCTAAAGCCAATATTGTTTTATTTCATTAATTTCCCCTCCCCTGCCCATGAGCTGGAGATACTCAAAGAGCTTCAGAATCCAGTTACTGGCAATTACAGATCATAATGGTTCTCTGCCTCTGCAGACAACAGAGGTGACCAAAGCTTCAGGCCAGTCTTACAATCACTCTCCCAGGCTTTCCATGGTTGCTAGGGCAACTAATAAAGAACACCGATTTCTCTCCCTCCCCGCAATGTAAGCCTCAGGGAGGTGGGTCAAGCTGAGGGAAAAAAAAAATACTACTACTGGGATAGGGAGGGAGCTGGTGGATGCTGTATATTTCTATGACTGCTTTAAAAATAACATGAGTTGTATCCATTCCCTCCCCCAACTTTCATTTTTCTGGCCCCACCCACTCAGCCTGGCAGGCAGCTGAACCCTCAGCCATCTGGCATCCTAGCTTTAATGACACATGCTCTAATTTACATTAAACCATTAGAGCTGTCCATTTCAGCAGGAAAGTTCCTGCACTGGGTTAAGGGCTGGGTTCCCAGACAGAAATTAGGCAGAGGGAGACCCCTGTGGGGAGAACTGAGCATAGCTCCGACTCAGACTCCCAGGCTCCAAGGGTCAAAGGCTTCACTCCCTTCGCTGTACTTGACAGGGGCTATCCAGACAGCAGACAAGCAACTCTGGGCATACACCAACAACCCCTAAGTCAGCGTAAGGACAATTATGTGCACAGCTAAGAAAAGGCAAGTGTAATTAAAACCCATGTCTTCGGACGGGCGCGGTGGCTCACGCCTGTAATCCCAGCACTTTTGGAGGCTGAGGTGGGAGGATCACCTGAGATCAGGAGTTTGAGACCAGCCTGGGCAACATGTGAAACCCCATCTCTACTAAAAATACAAAAAAATTAGCTGGGTGTGGTAGCGCATGCCTGTAATCCCAGCTACTCAGGAGGCTGAGGCAGGAGAATTGCTTGAATCCAGAAAGAGGAGGTTGCAGTAAGCTGAGATTGTGCCATTGCACTCCAGCCTGGGTGACAGAGCGAGACTCTGTTTCAAAAAAAAAGAAAAACAAAACCAAAAAACCATGTCTTCGTTCAATTACAGTAAAACCTGACTCAGAATAATGAAGAACATTCTCCAAGTCAGAAAAAAAGTTTTACCACCTTTATGTCCAAATACACTCAATTCTACTACTGAAAACAGCACCAATTTAATTTTTATCAACAAGGCATGCTAACTAAAAACTAGAATGTAGGAAATTTTTTCTGAAGAGAGACTTTATTTTTAAAATTAGAACAGGACATGGGAATCTAACACTATCCAGCAACAGCAGAAGACTCTGGTCTAATATTTAGTCTTGGAGTAGGGGAGAAACAGCAGCAGCTGAGAGAAAGACAGGGTGACAGGAAAGACAGACAAAGGCGTTTTCATGAATTAATGCAATCTCATCTCATGTACTTTTAGGATACTATCTTGTTTTTTTTGAGACAAAGTTTTGCTTTTGTTGCCCAGGCTGGAGTGCAATGGCACCATCTCGGCTCACCGCAACCTCCACCTCCCGGGTTCAAGTGATTCTCCTGCCTCAGCCTCCCGAGTAGCTGGGATTACAGGCATGTGCCACCATGCCCGGCTAACTTTTGTATTTTTAGTAGAGACGGGATTTCTTCATGTTGGTCAGGCTGGTCTTGAACTCCTGACCTCAGCTCGCCTTGGCCTCCCAAAGTGCTAGGATTACAGGCGTGAGCCACTGCGCCCAGCCAGGATTACTACCATTAAGACCGAAAATTGGCTGGGCGCAGTGGCTCACGCCTGTAATCCCAACACTTTGGGAGGCCAAGGCAGGCGGATCACGAGGTCAGGAGATCGAGACCATCCTGGCTAACACGGTGAAAACCTATCTTTACTAAAAATGCAAAAAATTAGCTGGGCGTGGTGGCGGGCGCCTGTAGTCCCAGCTACTCCGGAGGCTGAGGCAGGAGAATGGCGTGAACCCAGGTGGTGGAGCCTGCAGTGAGCCGAGATCGTGCCACTGCACTCCAGCCTGGGGGACAGAGCAAGACTCTGTCTCAAAAAAAAAAAAAAAAAAAAAAAAAAAAAAAAAAGACTGAAAATTACAGCATGTTTTACACAAGTATAAGTGGGAACAGAACCTCCTGGTATTTTCCTTACAACCAGAAGTAATGTTTACATTAAACGTAAGAGTCTTTTAATAAATATAAGATTTGCTGGTCCCAGATGTCAAGGTAACATTAAAGAAACCCCTAATTTCTTCTAAGCTGTTGGTTTAGAAACTTACAAAAGCTTCTATCAGGAAACTGTATAGCCAGGAATACAGACCTTAAGAAGCTAATAATGTCAAGTGTGATAAGAAAGAAGTAAATTAACTTACCCTGAAGAGTTAAGGAAGGTCACTCTGAGAAAGGCCTTTGAACTGTGACTGGAGCCTAATGAAAAGATGGGAGTGAGGCTTGTGGGGTGGTGAGGGGCAGCGCCCAGCAGAAGGACCAGGAAGTGCAAAAGCTTGAAGGTGAGAGAACAGGACTTCCTTCAATTCAGTAGGAGGCTACTACTAAGAGGGGGAACCGGGTGAAGTGAGTCCCGCCTGGAGAACAAGTGAAGCAGGTGCCAGAGCATGGGTTATGTGGCCTTAGAGCCACATTAAGGGCTTAGGGCTGGGCGAGCCACGGTGCAACAACTAAATTCTTCTCATTTCAGGAGTCTGGTTTTACAGTACTTCCTATTCCTAGAAATCTGGATGGTGGGCTAAGTTCAAACATCTTATTTTAGTTTTGAGCAAATTCCTCAGTCCCTGCCATATTTAATTCTGTATGTCATTACTTATAAAGTACTAACTACAGTCATGCATTGCTTAAGGATGGGATTACGTTCTGAGAAATGCCTCATTAGGCAGTTCCATGGCTGTGTGAATATCAGAGTGTACTTACACAGACTTAGACAGTACAACATCCTACACACCCGGGCCATATGGTATAGCCTATTGCCCCTAGGCTACAATCTGTACAGCATACTACTGTACTGAATACTGTAGGCAACTGTAACATAATGGTACGTATTTGTGTGTCTAAACATAGAAAAGGTACAGTACTGTATAAACGATAAAAAGTGACACAACTGGATAGGGCACTGGCCATGAGTGGAGCATGCAGGACTGGAAGTTGCTCTGGGTTGAGTCAGTGAGTGAGTGGTGAGTGAATGTGAAGGCCTAGGACATTACTGAACACTTTGTAAACACAATACACTTATGCTACAATACATTTATTTTATTTAGTTATTTAGTTAGTGCTGGGATTACAGGCATGAGCCACTGTGCTTTAGTTATTTAGTTAGTGCTGGGATTACAGGCATGAGCCACTGTGCCTGGCCAGACTACACTAAATTTATTAAAAATATTTTTCTTTCATCAATAATAAATTAACCTTGGCTTACTGGAACTTTTTTACTTTATAAACTTTAAAAATTTTAAAAACTTTTAGACTATTTTGTAATAACACTTAGCTTAAAACACAATGTTCAACTGCACAAAAATATTTTCTTTCTATATATCTTTATTCCATAAGGTTTTTCCTATTTCTTTTTTTAACTTTTTAAACTTTTTTGTTAAAAACTAAGACACAAACACACACATGAGCCCAGGCCCGCACAGGGTCAGGATCATTAACATCAATCACAGTCTCCACCTCCACATGCTGTCCCACTGGAAGGTCTGCAAGAGCAATAACGCACATGGCGCTGTCATCTCCTATGACAACACTGCCTTCTTCTGAAATATCTCCTGAAGGACCTGCCTAAGGTTATTTTACAGTTAACTTTTTGTTCTTGTTGTTAAGTAGGAGTACATTCTAAAATTATGATAAGGCCAGGCACGGGAACTCATGCTTGTAATTCTAGCACTTTGGGAGGCTGAGGCAGGAGGACTGCTTGAGCATAGGAATTCAAGACCAGCCTGGGCAACATGGAGAAACCCCGTCTCTACAAAAATACAAAAATTAGTGAGGTGTGGTGGTGAGGGCCTGTAGTCCCAGCTACTTGGGAGGTTGAGGTGGGAGGATTGCTTGAGCCCAGGAGATGGAGACTGCAGTGAGCCCTGATTGCACTACTGCATTCCAGCCTGGGCAACAGCAAGACCTTGTCTCAGAAAAATAAAATACAATAAAATAATGATAAAGAGTATAGTAAATACATAAGCCAGTAACATAGTCATTTATCATCAAGTGTTAGGCACTGAACATCATTGTATATGCTATACTTTTACATGACTGGCAGTGCAGTAGGTTGGTTTACACCTACTCACAAACACGAGTAATGCATTTGACTTAACGAACAACTATTATGTCACTAAGCGACAGGAATTTTTCAGCTCCATGATAATCTTATGGCACCACTGTCATGTGTAAGGTCTGTCGTTGACTGAAACGCCATCATGTGGTGCATGACTACATATACTGTAACTCTGTTGCTAAGGACTTTATATACAGCTTCATTGAATCTTCATAACCGTGAGAAATAGACGAGAAAACTGAATGGTTAAGGACATAGCTAAGATCACACAACTGGAACACAGCACAGCCAGGATGCAAATCCAAGGTGTCTGACCACGCCCTAGCATTGAGGTTTTTCGGTAAGGTACTGTTCTTCTGCTTAAGGAACCTGCAGTCCAGTGGACGATCTACAATAGAAAACTGCCAGCCACAGGCACACCCATGAGGCTTAACTCAAGTTCTCAATGAAAAGAATGTTTAAGTTGAGATTGGAAGGATGAGATGGAGGGGAGGGGCTGTGAGCTTCAGAGAGTCAAATAAATTGCCGGTGTGACAAACACTAACGAACAAGCCATCTTCACAAAAGGGAAGCTTGCAAATTCACTGGTACTGTGAATACAGCGTTCACTTCTATGCAGACAGAGCCTAAACAAAAGTCAAACCAAATTTCTCAAGATTCTTCATAGAAACCGAACAGAAATTCTCTCTATATATACTCATGAAAGAAAACAACAAAGTTTTCTGAAATAAAAATAACTATAAATAGGTACCACAGTCAATATATACCTACTGGCAAAAGTCAAGGTCATGTCTAGCTAAATGTAGACAGTCCTCACCTCCCCACAAACTCTGTCCTTATTACAACTTTGCCTTAGTCCCTGGCAGCAGGAAAAATATTTTCTCTATCTTCCCAAGTCTACACAAAGCCTGTCACTAAGCTGTCGCTCAATAAATCTTTGATAAGTACATCAATTCCCAGTGTTCCCCCTACTGGATTGAATTTCCAGCACTTTATGCAGACATAGCTGAGAAAAAGCACACACGACAAAGCTGAGGGATACGGCCCCAAACTTTCCTTTTTCTTCTCTTTCCTTCCCTTGCCCCAAGAGGGGAAAAATCCTCAATTCTAAATATTTTTCAATTGAGTCTAAATAAGAAGAGTTAGAAACACAAAATTAGCTTTTACCGTTGTGAAGATTTTGCTTGAAATGAGTGTTCTAAAGGTTTTGCCAAAATGTCTGTTTAATTTACTCCAAGTAACCATGCCAATCGATTTAACAATGTTTTCACACGTGTTTATGTCATTAGGGTACCATCCGACCTCTAGTGGCGTTGTTAAGGGACACAGTGCACCATGGTTACTATGCTTTTATATTCTTGGGTAAACATGTTGACTATTCAAAAAGCCTCATTTGAAAAATAAAACACAGCACACAAGATCAAGCCCAGAAGGGTTAAAATGGAAAACTGATACAAGTTTCGTAACAGAAATTCTGAGGCCTCCCTACTACTGGAATTCTTTCAGCTTTAGTAAGTTCTCTATCTGCTCTGAAAACCTCTCCTCCTAGGTCAAGTCCCATTCTCGATTTCAATTGCCTTATACTGACACTTTGTTACAATTCAGTTTCCAAATTCCACTGGCACAGAGGGCCCCCCTCTCTTCATGCCTTCTGACAGCCCATAACTGAGTCAAGTGACAGCTGGGAAGCCAACCTCCTTACGGAGTTCCCAGGCACCCTGGGCTCTCTTTGTACAGATGCAATTTACAGTTTACAATGCTTTATTCCATTGTGAAAAAATACATGAAACTAAAAACCTCAGTAACGCAGCAACGTTAAGGAACTGCTTTCCTGTACTCTGGCACTAGCTCTAGCTTGTGGATAGAATCATCTGAAAGAGAAGAGATGGGCAGATTTTACATACACAAAGGCCCAACTTCATTATATTCAGATTTTTCAACTATCTTATGAAAGTAACACTATGGACACACCATCCTAAAAGCTGCCCTCAGAACGCAGAGTTCCCTAGTGGTGACAGGCAGAAAGCTGCTCATGTTCTCTCCCAACTTTATGTGGCCCTCATAAAGAGCTCTCATGTGTGGATAAGGGAATACAGAGACGTGTTCCAAGATAAAATTCAAAATTCTTGGCTTCATTACCAATAAATCCTACTGAGATTATTCCACATGCATCTCTCTAAAAAGCAGCATTCGGCATACCCACACTCGCCATTCTCCCAGAGAGCAGTACTAAGAATATGACTTAAATTTCACATTGGAGTGCCTCCCGTAACTTATATTCAAGAAATAGTACAGCTGATTGCCTGGGAATTTGCATGAAGAACGAAATACCAAAGTAATAAAATGCAGACCAATTCATAGACAGCTAGATCTTTCTTCACATCTGCAAAAAACAGATTCATCATCTCGTGGGGCCAAACACATATCATCTAGTGGATGCCTGAATAAAGATGAGGCCTGTACTTGGCTCTGAGTTTATTAATCCAAACAAGACTTTGACTGTCAGCATTCTGCAGTTTTCCTGATGGAGAAATCAGGCACCGAGGGCATAGTACAGGCAAGTCACAGTGAGTGTGGAGCAGGTGCCAAGGGCCACTGAATTCTGACTTATTTGGGATCAGTGGGAGGAAGGGAGCAAATGAATGCAATTTAAACATCACTGGCTTGGCCGGAGTCTTTCTGTCTGCTCCTCTGTAAGGGTGCCTGAACAAAGGCTCTGTGTCTAGTGCCCAGCACCGTGCCTGGCACAAAAACGGATATCAGTAAATATTTGGAATTCGTGAATAGCAGGTCCTTTCATCTTTACATCCCCAAAGCTCCTTCAAATAAGTTCGTGCATTTCATGCTACGAGATGGGCACCATCAACCCCATTATATTGGTGGGGAAACAGTGGCTCAAAAGAATGGACTGACCGACCAAGTCAAGACAGCAGCGAGGGTCGCGGTCCTAACCACACCACAGCTGCAGGACACTTAGATCTCAGCCACGCCCACCCACATGCACCGCCCCCCCCCCACCTCCTCCGCTGCTTACACGACGCCCCCACCTCGCGCCCCAGTCCCGCCAGGCTGGGGACAAGGCACAGCAGCGTCCTCTCGGCCTCTCCCAGGCCCCAATTCGACACAACCATTCCCCGTCCCCAGCCCCCGGACGAGGAGGGGGTGCAGCCCCTCCACCCCGCCCCGTCGCCGCCCCTAGCCCGACCTTTTTGTCCCAGATTTGCAGAGGCTTGCTGCCGATGCTGTAGAGGATGGAGAGGAAGCCGCTCTGGAACGTGTTTTTGAACATCTCGCCGGCGGCCTTCTCCTAAGCCGCCCCCGGAGCCGACCTAGGCCCCGGAGTAGATACAGGCACCGAGCGTCGAGGGCACAGCAGCAGGCCGGCCCTGTTCCGAAGAAGGGTGGTTGAGCTCCTGGCCTCCGGATCTGCAGCCACTGATGGCCGGACTCGGACGCGGCAACGCTAAGTCCGCGATCTTCAGCTCCTAAGCTGCGAGCTCAGAACGGAAACCACAGCAACTACCGTCCGCGCCGCGGTATTTCCCCGCCTTCAATGGAGGCGGAGGGCCGCCCGTTGCTTAAAATGAATCCCTCCGCCCATCTGAGCCCGCCCCCCGGGAGCGCGGGGCCCAATCCCGTTACAAGGACCACGGACTTCCGTTTCGTTCCGCCTGTAAGTCCCGCCTGGTCCCGCCTCCTCCTGAAAAGAGCTCAGTTGTCAAGGAACTATTTTTCTTGCCGTCGTCCCAGAGATGCCTTTGGAAAAGCGGAAGGGCACGGAGGGTTCTGGAGTTCGTTGCTGGCACCTGCGTGGTGTCATGAGAACGTGGCGGGGCGGTGAGTGACGTGAGGGGGCGTGACGGCCAGGCCGGGAGTAGTTGCCCGCGCGGGAGAACAGGGGCTGCGCAGGGAAAGCGGCTTTGAAAAAGAGCTTCTTGGCGTCGGGCGGACGCCCAACACATGCTTGTCGGCCAAGTACAGGATAAGGTTAAAGGGAACTAACCAATATTCAGCACTAACTGTGATAAGCGCCTAATATACATCCCTGCCTGTCATTATTCACATTGTGGCATGCAGTCAAAGCGACACTCTGAGGAAAATGTATCGCCTTAAATACATTGATTAGAAAATAAGAAAGCCCGAACATGATTAGGCCGGGCGCGGTGGCTCACGGCCGAAATCCCAGCACCTTGGGAGGCCGAGGCAGGCGGATCGCTTGAGTCCAGGAGTTCAAGACCAGCCTGGGCAAAAAAGCGAGACCCTTCCTCTACAAAAAAATACAAAAATCAGCCGGGCGTGGTGGCGCGCGCCTGTAATCCCAGCTACTTGGGGGGCTGAGGTGGGATGATCCCTTGAGCCCGGGAGGAGGAGACTGCAGTGAGCCGAGACCACGCCACTGCACTCCAGCCTGGGCGACAGAGCGAAACCCGGTCTCAAATAAATAAATAATCCTGAACATTAAGATAAAGGCAGACATTCATAAACAAAATTAAGAAAGTTGAGTTGAACCAACAGCTGATTTTTATTTTATTATTTATTTGTTTATTTATTTTTGAGACAGGATCTCGCTCTGTCACCTAGGCTGGAGTGCAGTGGCGCGATCATGGCTCACTGCAGCCTCGACCTCCCCTGCTCAGCCTATCCTTCCACCCAGTCTCCAGAGTAGCTGACTACAAGCGTGGGCCACCATGCCTGCGTTAATTTTTTGTTTTTGTAGAGACAGGGTTGCACTGTGTTGCTCAGGCTGGTCTCAAACTCAGGCTGGTCTACACTCCAGCCTGGGCAACACAGTCTCTGAAAAATAAAAATAAAAATTAATACGGCTGGGCGCGGTGGCTCACGCCTGCAATCCCAGCACTTTGGGAGGCTGAGGCAGGTGGATCACGAGGTCAAGAGATCGAGACCATTCTGGCTAACACGGTGAAACCCCGTCTCTACTAAAAATACAAAAAATTAGCCGGGCGTGGTGGCGGGCACCTGTAGTCCTAGCTACTCGGGAGGCTGAGGCAGGAGAATGGCGTGAACCCATGAGGCAGAGCTGGCAGTGAGCTGAGATCACGCCACTGCACTCCAGCCTGGGTGACAGTGAGACTCCGTCTCAAAATAAATAAATTAATAAATTAATTAATACCTAGAATATTTTAGAAAACATAAAGTAAGCTACATTTTGAGTGTAAAGGGAAATCTCAAATGTTGACATAGTCACTGAGCATCTACCTAAATATTGTATTTTTTGCCTAGGCCTGTGCTGGGTGGTATGGCTGATAGAAAAGGAGTCTGTAGCTAATATCATCATTATTAGCAGTTTTTGTCCATTATAGCAGTAAGTTGAACATTTACTATGTGTCAGGCACTATATATTAACACCTTAGCATGTATTAACTCATTCAGTCCTCACATCAGCCCCCTAAATAATCCAGCCAGAATTTCTGGACATAGTGAGAAAATATATGAATCTTATTACTGTAGAAAGTCAAAAACTTTTTATATGAAACTGTCATTTTTGGATGATTTCTGGAGAGGCTATACCTTAGACTGATGAACAATGTATCCTTTGATTTTTATTAAATTGTTAAAAATATCTTAGGCAAAAATTCCAGTTAAGAAAAGCAGACATATTAAAGAAAGAATTGACTGTAGAAGAGTTATTACGATGATTATTCAAATGCTACACACAACTTTACCCCCTTGAAAATCTGTATGAGATAAATTATTTTCTAGGAAAAAAGTGACCAATTTTGGGTCTAGAACTAGAAAACCAAATAAACAATAATCATAGAGGAAAATAAAGGTTGTGATTGCTCCCCTCCAGAAAGGTTCTGAGTCTAATTACTTTATGTGAGTTTACTTTTTTTTCTTTTTCTTTTCTCTCTTCTTTTTTTTTTTTTTTTGAGACAGAGTCTCATACTGTCACCCGGGCTGGAGTGCAATGGAGCGATCTTGGCTCACTGCAACCTCCGCTTCCTGGGTTCAAGCAATTCTCCTGCCTCTGCCTCCTGAGTAGCTGGGACTACAGACGCCCACCACCATGCCCAGCTAATTTTTTGTATTTTTAGTAGAGACAGGGTTTCACTGTGTTGGCCAGGCTGGTCTAGAACTCCTGACCTTGTGACCCTCCATCTCCCAAAGAGCTGGTATTACAGGCATGAGCCACCGCGGCCGGCCAAGTTTACTTTTTTCTGATTAATGTAATCTAATATTAAGTTCATTGAGGAAACTGTGCAAAATAACATTATGATCACTCATAATGCCATTATTCAGAAATAATTGTGTACTTTTGTGTATTGTCTGTTCATGTCTTCCTGTCTTGCCATCCTCACCTATCCATTTGACTTAAGTCATTCCCCTTCCTCAATCCAATTGTTAAAAAATACATACAGACATTCATGGAAGTTTTGTTTTAAGACAGACACAGCCAGGCGCAGTGGCGGCACCTGTAAGTCTCAGCTAACTGGGAGGCTGAGGCAGGAGGATCGCCTGAGCCTGGGAGGTTGAGACCAGCCTGGGCGACATAGTGGGACTTGTCTCAAAAAAGTAAGATAAAATAAAAATAAGCAGCACACATTTTACAAAGAAAAAGAAAAAAAACCGGCCGGGCACAGTGTCTCATGCCTGCAATCCCAGCACTTTGGGAGGCCGAGGTGGGTGGATCATTTGAGGTCAGGAGTTCGAGACCAGCCTGGTCAACATGGTGAAACCCCACCTCTACTAAAAATACAAAAATTAGCCAGTTGTGGTGGTGGGCACCTGTAGTCCCAGCTTCTAGGGAGACTGAGGCAGGAGAATCACTTGAACCTGAGAAGTGGAGGTTGCAGTGAGCCGAGATCATGCCACTGCACTCCAGCCTGGGTGACAGAGCAAGACTCTGACTCAAAAAAAAAAAAAAAAAAAAAAAAAAAAGCCAGGCACAGGGCTCACTTGTAGTCCTAGCTACTGGGGAGGCTGAAGCAGGAGGATCCCATGAACCTAGGAGGTAGAGGCTGCAGTGCTGCTATAATGAAGATGGTGAATAGCTACTGCACTCTAGCCCATCTCTAATATTTATATATGTATAAAGATACAATAGACACATACTGAGCACATTCTTTAGCACTGTGGCTTTTAAGATCCATCCATTGTACCAGTGTGCATCTAATCCATTGCTTGTAACTGCTGCTCAGTTTTCCAGGTGTGCCCCAACCACATTTTATTTGTCCATGCCTGCAGTAATGGACATCCTTATACCTGTCCTCTTAAGGACCTATATGAGAATTTTCTTTCTCTCTTTCTCTCTCTCTCTCTCTCTCTTTCTTTTGACAGAGTTTCACTCTTGTTGCCCAGGCTGGAGTGCAAGGTGCAATGGCGCAATCTTGGCTCACTGCAACCTTCACCTCCTGGGTTCAAGTGATTATCCTGCTTCAGCCTCCAGAGTAGCTGGGATTACAGGCGTGTGCCACCGCGCCCAGCTAATTTTATATTTTTAGTAGAGACGGGGTTTCTCTATATTGATCAGACTCGAACTCCTGACCTCAGGTAATTCACCCATCTTGGCCTCCCAAAGCGCTGGGATTACAGGCGTGAGCCACCGCGCCTGGCCGAGAATTTCTTTTGCATACACATGCAGTAACAGAATTTCTAGGTATTCATCTATGCATATACAACGTGTAATGTGACTAAATGGCTCTCCAAAATAGTGTACCCATTTACACTCACATTAGCAATGCATGAGGATCTCTGCAGTCACATCCAACCACCAATAATGGATGTTATTTCACTTTCTGAACTTTGCCAGTCTGATAGGTATACAATGACAATTCATTTTATTTATCATTTGTCTGATTACTAACATGCTGGCTTATCTCCTCATAGGCATTTAAGTTTCTTTCTTTTATTTTTATTTTATTTGGAGACGGAGTCTTGCTCTATCATCCAGGCTGGAGTGCAATGGTGCAATCTCAGCTCACTGCAACCTCCGCCTCCCAGGTTCAAATGATTCTCCTGTCTCAGCCTCCTGAGTAGCTAAGATTACAGGTGCCCACCACCATGCTTGGCTAATTTTTGTACTTTTTATTTTTTTTGAGACCGAGTTGTGCTCTTGTTGCCCAGAGTGGAGTGCAGTGGCGTGATCTCGGCTTACCACAACTTCCAGCCTCCTGAGATTCTGCTGCCTCAGCCTCCCGAGTAGCTGGGATTACAGGCATGTGCCGCCAAGCCCGGCTAATTTTGTATTTTTAGTAGAGACGGGGTTTCTCCATGTTGGTCAGGCTGGTCTCAAACTCCCGACCTCAGGTGATCCACCCGCCTCGGCTTCCCAAAGTGCTGGGATTACAGGCATGAGCTACCGCGCCTGGCCAGTTTTTGTATTTTTTAGTAGCGATTGGGTTTCACCATATTGGCCAGACTGGTCTCGAACTCCTGACCTCAAGTGATCTGCCCGCCTCGGCCTCCCAAAGTGCTGGCATAACAGGCATTAGCCACAGCGCCCGCCCATTCTTTATTTTAAAATTGCCATTTGGTATCCTTTGCCCAAGTCTCTATTGAGGTACCTTTCTTTTCCTTACTGATTTGCAATAGAAAATAGTATGTCTAGGTATTAAGAATCCCTCGTTGGTTTTAGACACTGCAAACATCTTTTCCCAGTCTGTCAATTGTTAATTTCATTTGTCAATGTCTTCATTGAACAGAAGTCTTAATTTTTATTTAATTATTTCCTTTCTTTTTTGTGTTATGGTTTGTACTTAGAGGTTTAAAGAAGTTATTACCCACCCTTAGGTCACCTTTGCATATTAACTGCATAGATTTATATTACGTATTTATGTTTCAGTTCTTCCAAAGATAGTATTTGCATGTGGCATGTAGGAAATCAGTTTTATTTTTCTCCTTAGAGTAAGCCAGTTTCATTAATGTCATATGTAAACTATTTTTTCCTGAATGGCTTATGAAGCCACCTTTATTTTATATTAAGTTTCCATATATACAATGTATCTATTCCTGAACTCTCTTCTAGTCCACTGGTCTATTTAAAAGTTCTTACACCAATAAGACCCAGATTATTAGATTGTATTAGTATTGTTTTGTAGTGTGTCTTTTTTTTTTTTTTTTTTAAAAACAGAGTCTCACTCTGTCGCCCAGTCTGGAGTGCAATGGTGCGCTCTTGGCTCACTGCAACCTCTGTCTACCCGTCCCAAGTGATCCTCCCACCTCAGAGTCCTGAGTAGCTGGGACTACAGGTGCAGCCCACCACGCCCAGTTAATTTTTGTGATTTTTGGTAGAGATGGGGTTTTGCCATGTTGCCCAGGCTGGTCTCAAACTCCTGACCTTGGGTGATCCATCCACCTCAGCCTCCCAAAGTGCTGGGATTACAGGCGTGAGCCACCACATCTGGCCTATAGCGTGTCTTAATATCTGACAGGCGAATCTCTGTCTTTTTTCTCAAGTCTAATTTGGCTAATTTTCACAGACCTGATTCTTCCATTTAGATTTTACAGTAAGTTTGCTGACTTTCTCAAAAATATTTAACTAGTTTTGATTGTGATTGCATTGTAATTATAAATTAGTTTAGGAAGAATTAACATCTTTATAATATTGTCATCCCTACGAAAAAAATATGCACTATCTCTCCATTTCTTTTTTTTTTTTTTTGAGACGGAGTCTCACTCTGTCACCCAGGCTGGAGTGCAGTGGTGCGATCTCAGCACACTGCAACCTCTGCCTCCCAGTTCAAGCGATTCTCCTGCCTCGGCCTCCTGAGTAGCTGGGATTACAGGCACGTGCCACCATGCCCGGCTAATTTTTGTATTTTCAGTACAGACAGGTTTCACCATGTTGGTCAGGCTGGACTTGAACTCCTGACCTCATGATCTGCCCACCTCGGCCTCCCAAAGTTCTGGGATTACAGATGTGAGCCACTGTGTTCGGCCCTCTCTATTTCTTATTAAGGTCATCATCTGTCTTTATGCTTTAAAACTTACTCCATAGAGGTCTTATATTAAATTGTTTCTTAGATATTTTTACATCTACTTTTTATATCTTCTTATATCTATGTCTTCTTAGATATATTTTATACCTACTTTTTTAGATATAAATTTTTGTTGATATTTGGAATAATATCTTATTTTAAATTATATTTTCTAGTTGGTTATTGCTGGTGTTGAAAACTACCACAGATTTTTCAAAGTTAATCTTGTATCCAGGCATCTTGTTGAACTTTTAAATTATTAGTTTTAATAGTTTGTGATTTCTTGATTTTTCTATGTGGATGATCAGATCACTGCACAAAATAAAAGCTATATCCCTTTTCCTTTTTTTTTGAGATAGTCTCAGTCTGTCATCCAGGCTGCAGTGCACTGGTGTGATCTCAGCTCATTGCAACCTCCGCCTGCCAGGTTCAAGCAATTCTCCTGTCTCAGCCTCCTGAGTAGCTGGGACTACAAGTGTGCACCACCATGCCTGGCTAATTTTTGTATTTTTAGTAGAGACGGGGTTTCACCATCTTGGCCAGGCTGGTCTCCAACTGCTGACCTCAGGTGATCTGCCCTCCTTGGCCTCCCAAAGTGCTGCGATTACAGGCATGAGCAACCGCGCCTGGCCGCTATATCCTTTTTCTCTGAATGCTCATACCTCTTATTTGGTGTCCTTATTGCATTGGCCAGGATCCTCAGGACTATGTTAAACATTAGGGGTAATGGTTGGCATCTTTGCCTTATTCCTTCTAATGAAATGCTTCTAAGGTTTCCCCCACTAAATATGATGTTTCCTTTGGGTTTCTGGTATATAACCTTTAGTGAAAAGAAGGAATTATTTTCTACTTCTAGTTTGCAACAACAGAAATGTTTATCATGAATAGATATTGATTGTATTTGAGGTGTCAGCTAATTTAATTACAGAAGAAAAAGCAATTAGAGTCATAAGAATTGGAAAAGAAAAGGTAAAACTGTATTTGCAGACGATATAATTATATAACTGGAAAACTCAACAGAAAAAATAAGGAATTTCTATAAATAGATAATAAAGTATCAATATATAAAAATAATATACAGAAATCAATAGCTCTCATCTTTTTTTTTTTTTTTTTTTTTTTTGAGACAGAGTCTCACTGTGTCGCCCAGGCTGGAGTGCAGTGGCGCGATCTGTGCTCACTGCAAGCTCCGCCTCCCGGGTTCACGCCATTCTCCTGCCTCAGCCTCCCGAGTAGCTGGGACTACAGGCGCCTACCACCACACCTGGCTAATTTTTTTTTTTTGAATTTTAGTAGAGACGGGGTTTCACCATGTTAGCCAAGATGGTCTCGATCTCCTGACCTCATGATCCACCCGCCTTGGCCTCCCAAAGTGCTGGGATTACAGGCGTGAGCTACGCCAGGCCAGCTTTCATCTTACTAAGAATAAACAATAAGAAAAAATGGGGCAAGGGACTTGCTAATAAGGTATTGGGATAACTGAACAACCATATGGAAAAATATGTAATTGAATTCCTTTCTCATCCCTCATCATGTAATGAGCTTGTATCATTCTGAAACCATCAACCCCCACCCCTGTTGTCCCCAGTCCGTGGAAAACTGTCTTCCACGAAACAATTCCCTAGTGCCAAAAAGGTTGGGGACTGCTGCTCTAAAGCATGTCAATAAAAATTTTGAAAACTAAAGCACAAAGAAAAAAAATAAGAACAATGTGTGAGAGACATGTGCAAAATGTCTAACATATCTGTAGTTTGAGTTCCATGAGGAGAGAATAAGGCAGAAAAAAAAATTGAAGATACTGAGAATTTTCCAAAATTGATTACACATGTTAACTTACAGATTTGAGAAGCCCTCAAGCAGATTTGAAAAAGAGAGAGAGAGAAAGCAAGAGAGAGAACACCTAGGTATTGTCAAGCTGCTGAAAACCTAAGACAACCAAAAAAAACCTTATAAGCAGCTAAAGGGAAAAAACACATTAAATTCACAGGAACAAATAAAAAAAATTACAGCTTACTCTTCAACAGCAACAATGGAAACCAAAAAACAATGGAATAACATCTTTCAAATACCGAAAAACAAATTACAGCCCAGAATTTTATACTGAGACAAAAAGGTCTTCAAACATTTGATAGCTGAAGAAGATAAACACATTTTCACATAAATAAAAGTTAATTCATTTCCAGCAGATTCACACTACAAGGAATACTAAAGGACGTTCTCCACATTGAAGGAAAATGATCTAAAGAGAAACAGATCTGTAAGAAGAAATGAAGAGCACTGGTAAAGGTAAATGTAAAATTATTTAAGACTAAACTATATGTTTAAGTCAACAATAGTTGTGATAATTATAACATAATAAAAGTAAAATTACATAACAATGGCATAATGGGGGGCATGGAATTATATTGTTTGCTATAGTTTGGAAGTTTGTTCCCCTAAACCTCATGTTGAAATTTGATCCCCAATGTTGGAGGTGAGGCCTAATGGGAGGTACTATGATCATGGTTGCGGGATCCCTCATGAGTAAAGTAATGCCCTCTTGGGACTGGGGAGCTCTTATTAGTTCCTGTGAGAGCTGGTTGTTAGAAAGAGCATGGCACCTCCCTCCTCTTCTCTTGCTTCCTCTCACCATGTGATCTCTGCACATGCTAGCCTAGCTTCACCTTCTGCAATGTGTGGAAACAGACTGAGGTCCTCACCAGAAGCAAATGCTAGCACCATGCTTCTTGGAGACCCTGCAGAACTGTGAGTCAAATAAACCTTTTTCTTTATAAATTACCCAGCCTCAGATATTCCTTCACAGCAACACAAAAGGACTAAGACATTATTGTAAGGTTTTAGACATTTTACACATTGTATAAGATGTGGTGAAATACTAATTCAAAGCACAGACAGTCCCTGATTACAGTGGTTTGACTTACAGTTTTTCAACTTTACAATGTGTTCATTGGGATGATTAAATGCATTTTCAACTTAACAATATTTTCGGCTTACAATGGGCGTATCGGGACATAACCCCATCATAAGTTGAGGAACATCTGTAGATTATAATAAATTAAACATGCACATAGCGATCTAGAATAACTATTAAAAGAAAATGCAAACATAGGTATAACTAAAGAGATAAGAGAGAGACAAAATAGATTTAAAACACTTGATTAAACTAAAAGAAGGCAGGAAAGGAAGAAAGGAACAAAGAACAAATGGGATAAAACAGAACATACAGCAAGATAATAGACTTAAACTCAATTATGCCAGCAATTACATTAAGTGTAAATGAACTAAATATGCAGTTAAAATATCTAGATTGGCAGAGTGGATTAAAACAAAATAAGATTCAACTATATGTTTCTTTTTTTTTTGAAAAATAAACATACTTTAAATATAAGATACATAATAGTTGGAAGTAAAAGAATTCTAAAAAGATATATTATGCAGACACTACTCATAAGGAAGCTGGTGTGGCTGTATTATTAGTCAGCTAAGGTTACTTCAACACAGAAATATTACCATAGATAAACAGGGACATTTCATAATGACAAAACAGTCAATTATTTAAGAAGATACAATTATAAATGTGTATGTACCTAATAACACAACTTACAAGGAGAAATAGAAAACCTGAATTGTCCAAATGTACTAAAGAAATTAAATGCAAAATAAAAATCCTTCCCACAAAGAACCCTTCTGGTTCAGGTGGCTTTACTATTAAATTCTTCCACATATTTAAAGAAGAAATAATACTATCTTCACATTCTCTTATAGAAAATATTTCCCAATTTCTTTTTCTTCCTCCCTCCCTCCCTTCTTTCCTTCCTTCCTTCCCTCTTTCCTTCCTTCTCTCCCCCATCCGTCCTTCCCTCCTTCTTTCCTTCCTTCCTCCCTTCCTCCCTCCTTCCATCCCTTCCTCCCTTCCTCCCTTCCTTCCTTTTTAAATTGAGACAGGGTCTTGCCTTACCACCCAGACTAGAGTGCAGTGGCGTGATTATAACTCACTGCAGCCTCGACTTCCTGGGCTCAAGTGATCCTCCCACCTCAGCCTTCCTAGTAGCAAGGACTACAGGCACATGCCACCATGTCCAGCTAAATTTTTTTATTTTTTCTAGAGACAAGGTCTTGCTGTGTTTCCCAGCCTAGTCTCAAACTCCTGGACTCAGGCAATTCTTCCACCTCAGCCTCCCAAAGTGCTGAGATTACAGGCATAAGCCACCAGGCCTGGCCCCAATTTCTTCTACCAATCAGTATAACCCTGATACCAAAACTTAACAAAATAATCGCAAGAAAACAAAATTACAAGTCAATATTTCTCATGAACATAGATGCAAAAATTCCAAATAAGAGACTAGCAACCAAGTTCAGCAAAATATAAATAAAGGATAATATATCATGAACAAGTAGGAATTACTCTAGGAATGCAAGGTTGGCTTTACACATTAAAATAAATCAGTGTAATTTACCACATTAACAGAATAAAGGAGAAAAATAATATAATTACCTCAAGAGATGTAGGAAAAAAAGTTTAAATGTTCATCTATGACTTAAAATAATAAAAGAACTGGGTGTGGTGGCTTGTACCTGTAATCTTAGCTACTCAAGAGGCTGAGGCAGGAGAATCTCTTGAGCCCAGAAGTTTGAGGCCACAGTGAGCTATGATGGTGCCACTGCATTCCAGCCTGGGTGACAGAGCAAGGCATCATCTCTTAAAAAAAAAAGAAAAAACTTTCAGCAAACTCCTTCCTTCCTTCTTTCCCTCCATCCCCCTCTTCTTCCCTCCCTCCCTCCTTCCTTCCTTCCTTCCTTGCTATCTTGGATAGCAAGATCCAAGACAGGATCTTGCTATGTTGCTCAGACTAGAGTACAGTGGCTACTCCTAGATGCAATCATGCTGTACACTATAGCCTGAACTCCTGGTCTAAAGGGATCCTCCTGCCCCAGCCTCCAGAGTAGCTGGGACTACAGGTGTATGCCACCATACCCAGTTTCAGTTTCTTTCTTTCTTATTCTGAAGAAGGCTATTTACAAAACTATCTCAACTAGCATCACACTTAATGGTGAAATTGAGCACATTCCCCCTGGGGTTGGAAGCCGGATAGGGATGTTCACTCTAATCACTTCTATTCAACATTGTACTGGAGGTCATAGCCAGTGCAATAAGGTAAGAAAAAGAATTATGAGGTATAAAATTGGAAAGAAAAAAGTTAGAGTCGGCTGCGCACAGTAGCCTACGCCTGTAATCCCAGCACTTTGGGAAGCCAAGGCAGATGGATCACGAGGTCAGGAGATCAAGACCATCCTGGCTAACACAGTGAAACTATGTCTCTACTAAAAATACAAAAAAATAGCTGGGTGTGGTGGCAGGTGCCTGTAGTCCCAGCTACTCAGGAGGCTAAGGCAGGAGAATGGCATGAACCCAGGAGGTGGTGCTTGCAGTGAGCTGAGATCGTGCCACTGCACTCCAGCCTGGGTGACAGAGCAAGACCCCATCTCAAAAAAAAAAAAAAAGGAATGTTCATAGCAACAGCATTTATAATAGCTCCAAATTGGAAACATCCCAAATGTCCATCAACATTGGAATGGATAAATTTTCATATATTTATTCAATGAAATTATATATAACAATGAAAATAATAAATATTCTCCCCACAATAACTTTGCCGAATATGTGCTGCTATTGGTGGTACTGCCACTTGTTTGTGCCTTCCAAATCCTGATTAATTCTATTGTGTTTGAGTCCCATTTTAAAAGAGGGAAAAGAAAAGTCCATTTTTTTTCCCTCCTGGACTCAAGCGATCCTCCCACCTCAGCCTCCCCAGTAGATGGGGCTACAGGTGCACACACCACATCTAGCTAATTTTTGTATTTTTTGTAGATAGAGAGTTTTGCTATGTTGCCTGGGCTGGTCTGGAATTCCTGGGCTCAAGCAATCCACCTGCCTTGGCCTCCCAAAGTGCTGGGATTACAGGCGTGAGTCACCACGCCCAGCTATCACTATATACTCTGTACTACTGCCTTTATTTCTGATGGGAGGGAAGTTCCATTTTGACTCAGCTTTTAAAAAAATACCCTATGAAGAGATTCACCAGCTCAGCTTTGTTGAGACCCAAATCCTCTGCTTACCTTTACAAATTTTACAAAACCATGTGGACCACTTGAATAAATCACTAAGTCACCTCCCAAGTGCTTGGAAGGGGCCCAGCAAGTGAGGGTCCCTGAAGTTTGAGTTTCTTCTGGATGAATATGTCTCTGCTTCCCTCATATCATTCCCTTACTGATACTCTATTCAGCCAGGTTGGTCTTTGCCATTTCCCATAAATAAGCACTTTCCCACCTTATTTCCTGCCCATACCATTCCCTCCTCCATCTTGTCTGCTTATTCCCAGAAGGCATGGCTTTCCCTTCAACTCTCTTAAAGTGAGGTAGGCGGCAGGGTGAGGTGGCTCACGCCTGTAATCCCAGAACTTTGGGAGGCTGAGGCAGGCGGATCACCTGAGGTCAGGAGTTCAAGACCAGCCTGACCAACATGGAGAAACCCCATCTCGACTAAAAATACAAAATTAGCTGGGCATGGTGGCACATGCCTGTAATCCTAGCTACTCAGGAGGCGGAGGTTGCAGCGAGCTGAAATTGTGCCATTGCACTCCAGCCTGGGTAACAGGAGCAAAACTCCATCTCAAAAAAAAAAAAAGTGAGGTAGGCTCTCCTTTGTACCCCTCAACCACTGGGTCTAGTGGTGGGATGTAGGTCCTCCTTTTTCTTCATATCTCCTCCCAGACCATTGCCTCTCTCTCATTCCAAAAACCCCCAGCTCCTTTGAAACTCATACCATCAGCCTCTGCTACCCACTACCCCTCCCTCATTGCAGCCATCTCAGATCCCTGGGTCATCTCTTGAATATTTAATGCCTGGCCCATTGTCTGTCTCCATGGCTCTCATGAATAACTATTTCTGATTATGTGTGCAACAGCTTCATTGAGATGTAATTTACTTACTAGAAAACTCACCCATTTTAAGTGCAAAATGATTTTTCTTGTATTTACTGAATTCTGCAAACACCATCACAAATTTTCCATAACTTTCATCCTTGAAAAAGAGTCTCTCATCTAGCTTCTGTCTGTATAGATTTGCCTTTTCTGAATATTTTATCTAAATAGAATTGTACAAAATGTGGTCTTTTGTGCCTGCCTTCTTTCACTTAGCATAATGTTTGGAAGGTTCATCCACACTGCAGCAATCAGGACTCTGTTATTTTTGTTGTTAAAGGGCATTCCATTGTATGAATGTACCACATTTTTGTTTATCCATTCATCAGTTGACAAACATATGGCTCATTTCTACTTTTTGACTGTAAAGAATGAGGCTCTTATGAGGCTGGGCGTGGTGGCTCATGCCTGTAATCCCAGCACTTTGGGAGGCTGAGGCAGGTGGATCACCTGAGGCCAGGAGTTCGAGACCAGCCTGGCCAACATGGTGAAACCCTGTTTCTACTAAAAATACAAAAATTAGCCGGGCATGGTGACGTGTGCCTGTAATCCCAACTACTTGGGAGGCTGAGGCAGGAGAATCACTTGAATTCGGGAGGCAGAGGTTGCAGTGAGCTGAGATCGTGCCACTGCACTCCAGCCTGGGTGACAAGAGCAAAACTCTGTCTCAATAAATAAATAAATAAATAAATAAATAAGGCTGCTATGAACATTCACATATAAGTCTTTATGATGACATATGATATACCTAAGAGTGAAATTACTGGGTCCTATGGCAATTCTATGTTTAACATTTTGAGAAACTACCAAATTGTTTTCCAAAGTGACTGCATCATTTTCCAGTTCCACTAGCAATGTATGACAGTTACAATTTCTCCACATCATCACCAGCTCCAATCATTGTTTTCGATGATCCAGGACTTCACTCCACCCCAGCTATCTGCTCCTGTGGAAAGACCTCTCTCTCAAGCATCCCACTCCACTACCTCCTCCTATTATTATTCAGGCTGCCTTCTTCTCATGTTCTGAGTCCTTGAGTCCTCAAGTTATGTAACATCATTGGGACTTTGAACATACTACTCTCTTATGTTGGATGCTCCCTCACTTCTGTCACATCCTCACTTTCCTTTGTCCTGGCTTAGATTTCACAGCCCATTTATTAACTCATTGGTTTGAGTACATCCTCCACAACATTTTCACCCTCTCCTCCTGGTATGCACATGGATTCATGTAGCAAAACCCAAGCCAGGTTAAATGTGGTTGGGTCTAGTCTGTTTATCCCCAGGCAGTTAGATGTGGCTGGAGAAAGGTTCACAGCCATGAGGACTCATCTTGCATCAAATTCATAACCATGGACCTCCAGTGGACACTTAGTGCAGCTCAGCAATTCTCTGACATTTCCTGGGCACTTGCTCTTCTGTATTAGTCTGTTCTCATGCTGCTGATAAACACATACCTGAGACTGGGTAATGTATAAAGAAAAAGAGGTTTAATGGACTTACAGTTCCACATGGCTGAGGAGGCCTCACAATCATGGTGGAAGGTGAAAAGCACGTTTTACGTGGCGGCAGACAAGAGAGAAATGAGAGCCAAGCAAAAGGGTTTCCCCTTATAAAACCATCAGATCTTGTGAGACTTATTCACTACCATGAGAATAGTATGGGGGAAACCACCCCCCATGATTCAATTATCTCCCACCGGGTCCCTCCTACAACACATGGGCATTATGGGAGCTACAATTCAAGATGAGATTTGGGTGGGGACACAACCAAACCATAACACTCTCTTTTATCACCTTCCCCTCTTCTCCTCAACTTTCAACATTTCCAAACCCAGTGCCTTTTGGATAAATACCATCTTCCTCCTCCTCCTCTTCTTCTTCTTCTCCTTCCCCATCACCATTATCTATTTTCAAACCTTTTTAATTATTTCAAACAGGAACTCTGTGCCCATTAAGGAAGTATAACCTTGCCTCTATTTCACTGAGAAAACTGAAGCAATCAGAACAGGGCTTCCATAGGTCCCTTCTATGAAACACACAACCCGGATGTGTACACGTCCAGGTATTGTGCTTTCCCTCCCATTACACAGGAGAACCACCTGTGCTATTTAAGGCCAGCTCTTGTACCTGGGCACCAGGTCCCAAAGCCACTGACTCATCACAGATGTTATTCCTGCAACAATGCCCTCATGCTCCCACACCATCAATTTTCCCTCTGCAGAGGATCATTTCCATAAGTCTATGAACAGCTGTAATATTCCCATCTAAAAATAAATCCCTTCCCTTGGCGCTACCTCTTTCCCCCTATAGCTCAATTTCTCTGCTGCCTTTTATAGCAAAGCTTCTCAAGAGTTGTCTTATAGTCCCCACTTCTTTTTCTCCTGTCCCTACCTCAATCCATTTCAATCCCACTTCTGCCACACCACTCTGCAAGCTCACTCCTTATGCTCACAAGTGACCACCATGTTGGCAAATCCAGTGGCCAATTCTCACACTTCATATGACTTGATTTTTCAGCAACCAGTCATTGCTTCCATCTTCTTGAACTACATTTTTTCCCTGACTTCCAGGCATCATACTCTTCTGGTTTCCCCCTTTTTTCTTTTCTTTTCTTTTTTTTTTTTTTGGATGGAGTCTCGCTCTGTTGCCCAGGCTGGAGTGCAATGGTGTGATCTCGGCTCATTGCAACCTCTGCCTCCCGGGTTCAAGTGATTCTCCTGCCTCAGCCTCCTGAGTAGCTTGGATTACAGGTGCCCACCACCACACCTGGCTAATTTTTGTATATATTTTTTTTGAGACAGAGTCTCGCTCTGTCGCCCAGGTTGGAGTGCAGTGGCGCGATCTCGCTCACTGCAAGCTCTGCCTCCCAGGTTCATGCCATTCTCCTGCCTCAGCCTCCCAAGTAGCTGGGACTACAGGTGCCCACCACCACGCCCGGCTAATTTTTTGTATTTTTAGTAGAGATGGGGTTTCACCGTGTTAGCCAGGATGGTCTCGATCTCCTGACCTCGTGATCCACCTGCCTCGGCCTCCCAAAGTGCTAGGATTACAGGCATGAGCCACCGTGCCCGGCCTCCCCCTTTTTTCTTTTCACCAGTCATTCCTTCTTTGTCTTCTTTGCTAGTCCATCTTCATTTCCTCCATGTCTAAGCTTCACAGGGCTCCAGGTGCTGTCTGCAAACTCCACTCTTCCCAAAAATCCACTCCCTCCAATATCAGCTAGTCTCATGGCTTTAATAGCTCCCTATATATAAGCTGATTCTTTCCACCCCTATTCCCAAAGTCTATCTTCACTCCCACTGCCCCATTGGGCTCCATTTGCATATATCCAACCAGCTATTTGACTTCTCCCCTGGGAGGTATCGTGGGCATTTGGATCTTAACATGGCCCAAACAGAGCTTTACATTTCTCCACCCTCTCCCCTCACACACATCCCACATGCAGCCCTTACCCAAGCCTGCTCCACCCCAAGTCTTGCCCATTTTGGTAAGTGACAGCTTGATTCCTTGCTCAGACCCAACACCTTGGAGTCAGTTCGAGCTCCACTTTTTCTCACAGCCCACATCAGCAAATCCTGTAGCTCTACCTTCAAAATATCTCCCCAATCTAATCACATCCCTACCTTTATGGGTACTGCCCTGGTCCAAACATCAACCCCTGATATGGTTTCAATGTTTGTACCGTCCACATCTCATGTTGAAATGTGATCTTCAGTGTTGGAGGTGGGGCCTGGTGGGAGGTATTTGGGTCAGGGGGCAGATCCCTCACTCATGAATAGCTTGGTGCTGTCCTTGTGATAGTAAGTTCTTGGTCTGAGTTCACGTAAGATCTGGTTGTTTAAAAGTGTGTGGCACTGGCTGGGCGCAGTGGCTGACATTTGTAATCCTGGCACTTTGGGAGGCTGAGGTGAGCAGATCACTTGAGGCCAGAAGTTCAAGACCAGCCTGGCCAACATGGTGAAACCCATCTCTACTAAAAATGTCAAAAATTAGATGGGCGTGGTGGTGTGTGCCTGTAGTCCCAACTACTTGGGAAGCTGAGGTACAAGAATCACTTGAACCCAGGATGTGGAGGTTGCAGTGAGCTGAGATCATACCACTGCACTCCAGCCTGGGCAACAGAGTGAGACCCTTTCTCAAAAAAAAAAAAAAAAAAAAAAAAGTGTGTGACTTTCCCCCTCACTCTCTTGCTCCCTCTCCTGCCATGTGGCGCACCTGCTTCCCTTTGCCTTGTGCCATGATTGTAAGGTTCCTGAGGCCTCACCAGAAGCATATGCTGGAGCCATGCTGGTACAGCCTGCAGAACTGTGAGCCAATTAAAGCTCCATTCCGTATAAATTAACCAGCCTCAGGCATTTCTTTATAGCAACGCAAGAAGGGCTAATGCAGCCTCTCTCTCCTGTACGCCTGAGACAGCCTCCTCCTGATTGCTTACAACTACTCTTGCCATCCTGTAGTCCACTCTCCACATGGCAGCCAGAAGGATCCTCTTAGTGGCTCTTTGCTCTAATAGCTACTCATTTTGCTAAGAATAAAACTAAGGCTCACACCTATAATCCCAGCACTTTGGGAGGCCAAGGTGAGCAGATTGCTGGAGCCCAGGAGTTTGAGACCAGCCTGGGCAACATGGGAAGACTCCGTCTCTACAAAAAAATGCAAAAGTTAGCTAGGCATGGTGGTGCACACCTGTAATCCCAGCTACTCAGGAGGCTGAGGCACGAGAGTCACTTGAACCAAGGAGGCAGAGGTTGCAGTGAGTCAAGATTGTGTCACTGCACTCCAGCCTGGGTGACAGAGTGAGAAATATATATATTTAAAAAGTGTGTATATAAAATATAAAAAATATTTTTTAAAAGTATATAAATATAAAAAATATATGTGTGTGTATATATACATAAATACACACACACACACCCCCACATATATACACACATTAAAAAAAAAATCCTTACTCTGGTCTCCTCCATCTTGTTCCCTGAAACCACTTTGGCCTTCTCTCCTACATCCTTCTCCTCACACCCTCCTCCCTCAGTGCTGCCTGCACCCTGCATCCCTCTCTCACCGGCTTCCCTCTGCCTCTGTCCCTGCCCTGGCTGGTCCTGCTCTACTGGCTCACTCTTTTCCTCACTCGGAGCTCCACTCAGGCGCTGTCTGTATTAGCTACCTAGAGATGCCACGACAAATGACCACAACCTTGGTATGGTGGCAATTGAACAAAATAAAATTAAAGTAAAATTAATTCAAAATAAAATTTAAATGTAAAATAACAGCAATGTAATCTCTCACAGTGCAGAAAGCTAAGAAGTCCAAAATCAAGGTGTTGACTGGGCCATGCTCCCTCTGAAGGCTCTGGGGCAGGGTCCTTCCTTGCTTCTTCCTGGCTTCTGGTGGCCCCCAGGCATTCCAATCTGGTTGGCTTGTGGCAGTGTCTTTCCAATTTCTGCCTCCATCTCCATGTGGCCACCTTTTCTCTGTGTCCTCTCCTCTCGTTATAAGGATACTCTCAGCATTGGATTTAGGGTACACCCTAAATCCAGCATGACATCATCTTGAGATCTTTGACTAATTACATCTGCAAAAACCTTCTTTCCAAATAAGGTCACATTCTGAGGCTCTGGGTGGACATGAATTTTGGGGGGATATTACTCAGCCCACAATACTGCTTTACTGGAGAGGATGTCTTTGACAACCCAGTCTTAAAAACAGCACCCCCTCCACACCCTACCGACACTTGTCTTCCCACTGCTCTGCCTGATTCTTTTTCATTGCACTCATTACCACTTGACAGTCTAAATAGTTATTTGCTTATTATCTGTCTTGCCCATCACTCAGTTCTGAGCTTCTGGGAGGAAGAATTTGGTCTGTCTGGCTTATAGATGTATTCCCAGTACTCAAGCCTAGTGCTTGCACTTTTAAGTGGGTATGCAGTATGTGTTGAATCAGTGAATCAGAATCACAGGCTTGGGGCTCCTGGCCACTGAAGGCACAGCACAGGCTCTGTGTCTCCTGGTCTCTGCAGCTCCAGACCCACCCAGTCCGTAGAGACCCTCCTCAGCTTGGAATCCAGGCTCACTGAGCCCATTTGCCTGCCCACAAAAACTCTGTGGTCTCTTACTGCATTGTGTTGTTCTTGTAACTTTCTCTCAGTAACTATGCATTTTCCCCAATTAAAATGAAAACACAGCTGGGCACAGTGGCTCACACCTGTAATCCCAGCACTTTGGGAAGCCAAAACGGGAGGATTGCTTGAGCCCAGGGCTTCGAGACTAGCCTAGTCAATATAATGAGACCTTGTATCTACAAAAAAATAAAAATTAGCCTGGCATGGTGATGCACGCCTCCTGTAGTCCCAGCTAGTCGGGAGACTAAGGTGGGAAGATCACCTGAGCCTGGGAGGCGGAGGCTGTAGTGAACTGAGACCTTGCCACTGCACTCCAGCCTGGGTGACAGAGTGAGACTCTGTCTCAAAAAAGAAAAAAAGAGCCTGGGCGCAGTGGCTCATGCCTGCAATCCCAGCACTTTGGGAGGCCGAGGTGGGTGGATCACAAGGTCAGGAGTTCGAGACCAGCCTGGCCAAGATGGTGGAACTCTGTCTTTACTCAAAATACAAAAATCAGCTGGGTGCGGTGGCAGGCGCCTGTAGTCCCAGCTACTCAGGAGGCTGAGGGAGGAGAATTGCTTGAACCCAGGAGGCAGAGTTGCAGTGAGCCAAGATCGTGCTGCTGCACTCTAGCCTGGGCAACAGAGCAAGACTCCATCACAAAAAAAAAAAAAAAAGAAAGAAAGAAACAAACGAACAAACAATAGCCAACAGCACAAACATCTCAATTGGTTCGGCTTACACAATTTTGAAAAATTAAGAAATTTTGAAAAATAAAGTTAAGCAAACTTTCCATTTGATGGGTGCTAAAACTGCTTTGCCCAGATCAACTATAGAGAAGAACAGAACTTTCAATGGCAATTTTAAATAAGTGGGATCAAGAATCTGAAGCATTTCTTCAAAAAAAACTGTAACAGGAGATGACACATGGGTTCACCAGTACGATCCTGAAGACAAGCACAAAGCAGTGGCTACCGAGAGGCGGAAGTGGTCTGGCCAAAGAAAAAGTAGACCAGTCGAAGGTCATGGCAACAGTTTTTTGGGATGCTCAAAGCATTTTGCTGTCAACTTTCTGGAGGGCCAAAGAATGATAACATTTGCTTCCTATGAGAGTGTTTTCAGTAGGTTACCCAGAGCTTTAGGAGAAAAATGCCTGGGAAAGCTTCACTAGAGACTCCTTCTCCACCACAATGCTCCTGCTCACTCCTCATGAAAAACGAGGGCAATTTTGCAGAGTTTCAACAAGAAATCATTAGGCATCCATCTTACAGTCCTGATTTAGCTCCTTCTGACTTCTTTTTGTTTCCTAATCTGACAAATTCTTTAAAGGGCACCCATTTTTCTTCAGTTAATAATGAGGCTGGGCATGGTGGCTCATGCCTGTAATCCCAGCATTTTGGGAGGCCAAGGTGGGTGGATCATCTAAGGTCAGGAGTTCAAGACCAGCCTGGCCAACATGGCGAAACCCTGTCTCTACTAAAAATACAAAAAATTAGCCGGGCGTGGTGGCACGCGTCTGTAATCCCAGCGCTTGAGAGGCTGAGGCAGGAGAATCGCTTGAACTCGGGTGGCAGAGGTTGCAGTGAGCCAAAATCATGCCAGCGCACTCCAGCCTGGGCAACAGAGGGAGACTCCGTCTCTAAATAAATAAATAAATAAATAAATCAAGGAAGCAAGACTACATTGGCATGGTTAAATTCTCAGGACCCTGAGTTTGTTTGTTTTTTGTTTTTTTTGAGACGGAGTCTCACTGTGTCGCCCAAGCTGGAGTGCAGTGGTGCAATCTCAGCTCACTGCAACCTCCGCCCCCCAGATTCAATACTGCAACCTCCACCCACCAGGTTCAAGTGATTCTCCTGCCTCAGCCTCCTGAGTAGCTGGGATTACAGGCACGTGCCACCACACCGACTAATTTTTTTGTATTTGTATAGAGGCGGGGTTTCACCATATTGGCCAGGCTGGTCTCGAACTCCTGATCTCAAGTAATCCACCCGCCTCAGCCTCCCAAAGTGCTGGGATTACAGGCATGAGCCACCGTGCCCAGCTTCCCTCAGTTCTTTAAGGAGGAACTAAATGCCTGATATCACTTACAAAATTGTCTTGAACTTGATGAAGATTCTGCTGAGAAATAAATTCATATTTTTAATTTTTATCTTTAAATTCAATTTTTCACAAACTTTTTGAAGTTCCTTTGTACAAGAAAAACCTTGCTAGTAAACTGCTGCTGTCAGGCCAGGCATGATGGTTTACGCTTATAATCCCAGCACTTTGGGAGGCCAAGGCAGGAGGATTGCTTGAAGCCAGGAATTCAAGACGAGCCTGGGCAACATGGTTTCTTAAAAATAAAAAAATACAGGGCCGGGCGTGGTGGCTCATGCCTGTAATCCCAGCACTTTGGGAGACCAAGGCAGGTGGATCACCTGAGGTTGGGAGTTCAAGACCAGCCTCACCAACATGGAGAAACCCCGTCTGTACTAAAAATACAAAATTAGTTAAACTGGGCGTGGTGATGCATGCCTATAATCCCAGCTACTCGGGAGCCTGAGGCAGGAGAATGGCTTGAACCCGGGAGGCGAAGGTTGCAGTGAGCCGAGATCGCGCCACTGCACTCCAGCCTGGGCAACAAGAGCGAAACTCCATCTCAAAAAACAAAAAACAAAAACCCAAAAAATTAGCTGGGCGTGGTGGCACACGCCTGTAGTCCCAGCTACCTGGGAGGCTGAGGTTGAAAATCATCTGAGCCTGGGAGGTCGAGGCTGCAGTGCACCATGATTGCACCACTGCAGTCCAGCCTGGGTGACAAAGGCCCTGTATCCAAAAAAAAAAAAAAAAAATTGCTGCTGTCAATATTAGAATGGATTAGCCATCCAATTGAGTGACAAGAAAAAAAATTTACATGAAAATAATTTTTTTTTTTTTGAGACGGAGTCTTGTTCTGTCGCCCAGGCTAGAGTGCAGTGGCACAATCTCAGCTCACCGTAAGCTCCGCCTCCCGGGTTCATGCCATTCTCCTGCCTCAGCCTCCCAAGTAGCTGGGATTACAGGTGCCCGCCACCAAGCCCGGCTAATTTTTTGTATTTTTAGTAGAGGCGGGGTTTCACAGTGTTAGCCAGGATGGTCTCGATCTCTCGACCTCGTGATCCGCCCGCCTTGGCCTCCCAAAGTGCTGGGATTACAGGTGTGAGCCACTGCGCCTGGTCGAAAATAATTTTTAAAAGAATGGCATAGTCAGACAAAAATAATAATAAAAAGGGAGGAAAATCAAATGAGGCAGTAAAGTAAGAGCAACCTGGGCAGTGGGTGCAGAAGCTCAACTGATGCAAATCAGGCAGTTAAAAGTTGTGCAAAAGGTAAAATAATGCACCAGAAGCAAGATACAAGTTGTCTTAAGAATCCCATTACTGCCCAGGTGCCGTGACTCACACCTGTAATCCCAGCACTTTGGGAGGCTGAGGCTGGTGGATCACATGAGGCCAGGTGTTCAAAACCAGCCTGGGAAACATGGGGAAACCCTGTCTCTACCAAAAATACAAAAAATTAGCTGGGTGGGGTGGCACATGCCTGTGGCCTCAGCTACTCAGGAGGCTGAGGCAAGAGGATCACTTGAGCCTCGGAGCTGAACGCAGTAGTGAGCTGAGATTGCGCCACTGCATTCCAATCTGGGCGACAGAGTGAGACCCTGTCTCAAAAAAAAAAAAAAAAAAAAGAAAAGAAAAGAATAAAGAAAAAACCCATTACTCCAAGACGTTTAGCTTCCAGCTTGGGTAGAACTATTACAGAAGCAGTATCAAGTCCTGTGCCTGGCCCAGAATCTCTAACCATTAACATATTGCAGTCCTGAGCTGAGGCAGAGTATGTCACCTTGGTGGGGCGAGTGCTAAAACACACAGAGATTGTGGTAAGTAAATACAACCCATGATCTCAGTAATCTGGGTTACACTGAAGAATGTTTCCGATTATGGTGATACTGTTAAAATATTTGAAATATTTAAGAGTACCTAATGTCTTAGAGGATCAGACACTTGGAATTTAATTCAAAATGCTTAAAGGAATTTGAAATTAGATCTGTGGTTTTAATTTTAAAATATCTAAGAAAATTTAACAAGTTGAGGCCGGGCTCGGTGGCTCATGCCTGTAATCCCAGCACTTTGAGAGGCCAAGATGGGCGGATCACGAGGTCAGGAGATTGAGACCATTCTGGCCAACACGGTGAAACCCCGTCTCTACTAAAAATACAAAAAAATTAGCTGGGCGTGGTGGTGGGCACCTGTAGTCCCAGCTACTCCGGAGGCTGAGGCAGGATGGCGTGAACCCCGGGAGGTGGAACTTGCAGTGCGCTGAGATTGCGCCACTGCACTCCAGCCTGGGCAACAGAGCGAGACTACTCTCAAAAAAAAAAAAAAAAGAAAATTTTAACAAGTTGATAAATAATGAATGTTTACAAGACCTTAACGTATTAAATTTATGAATGTAGATTTAGGTTAGTATTTCAATGCTCAGGAAGATTTCATCAGATTTTAGGTCTTTCATATTAGTTATTGGAAGTGTGTGCAAATCAAACAGTTTAAACGTGTAATTGAGTTTAAAATGGCCAAGGAAACTAAATTAGGCGTGCAAGCAATTTTTTCATTTTAACTCATTGTTTCGAACTAATTGAACATTAAAGATTAAGCATTTCTATCTATATACAAAATCAACTTGTTTGTAGCTAGTTGTAGCTAGATTTATAAACTGATCTTAAAGACATGAGGCAAATTAAATGTACAGCTTTAATAACTATTGTTTAAAACACTAGTAACTGTAAGCATCCCTTTCAGTGCACAAAAGCCCTAGTCAGATGCCAATACCCAGTGGACAGTGCCTCTTCGTGTTAGTCCAAGCCCAAAAATTCAGAACATCTGCCCTGGAGACACGAGGGGCTTGCCACACACTGGAAGGCAGAGTTGACTCCCTGCATCTCTTTTCTGGTGGGGATGGGGATGCGGAGGTATAGCAGTGAGGTGAGGAGCTGTATCCCTTAGCTGGGAGCAAAGATGGAAGTGTGCCCTGAATGACTGGAGTGTCTAGCTGGCAAAGAACAACTGTATCCCAGCCCCAGCAGTGATAGCCCTCGAGCCTATCAGGAAGAGTCACGGTGTGCAGATGACGTTCCTGCTCATTGGAGAGTGGAGTCTAAATGGGAGTCTGTGAGGCCCTGCATGTTATTATTAAAAAAATGAATTTTAGGCTGGGCCCAGTGACTCATACCTGTAATCCCAACATTTTGGGAGGGTGAGGCAGGAAGATCGCTTGAGCCCAGGAGTTTGAGACTAGACTGCGAAACATAGCAAGCCCTTGTCTCTATTAAAAACTTTAAAAAAATTAGCCAGGCATGGTTGTGTGTGCTTGTGGTCCCAGCTACTCAGGAGTCTGAGGTGGGAGGATCATTTAAGCCCAGGAGGTTGAACTGCAGTGAGCTATGATTACACCACTGCACTCCAGCCTGGGCAACAGAGCAAGACCCTGTCCCAAAATGAACTTTTAAGTGTACATACAATAAAATGTACTCTTTTTTAGGTGTAAAGTTTTGACAAGGGCACCAAGTCATATAACCACCACCACATTTAGGACACAGAACAATTCCATCATCCCCCAAAATTACCTCATACTCATGTTTTGTAGTCATCCCTAACCCTCGGTAACCACAGATCTGTTCCACATGGATCTGGCTTCTTTGCTTAGCACAATGCATTTAAGATGCACATTATTTTAACAGCCTGTAGAATAATATTCTGAAAAAGACTGTTCATCCATTCTAACACCTGGCCCCTTACGGCCAGAGCTATTTTAAAACATGCTGGTCCTCAGCATGCATTTTTTTTTTTTTTTTTTAAAGCAGGGACTCACTCTGTCACCCAGGCTGGAGTGTGGTGGCGTGATCACAGCTCACTGCAACCTCAAACTCCTGGCCTTAAGCGATCCTCCCACCTCAGACTCCCAAAGTGCTGGGACTACAGGCATGAGCCACCGTGCCCTGCCGTTGTGCTTACTTATGAATTCTTTCCCATGGCATTTCAAATACATTAAAATGCAACCATTTTTCATATTTATGTTTTTTTCTTCTGTGATTTTTGAGAAGAATCCTTAGAATTTGCTTTTGAAATTATCTGACAATTCTGTGACTCACTAATTTATGAGAAAGATATTTTTAAAAGCAATTATTGAATTTAATGAGTGACGTTCACAAGGTTGTACATTAAGACGTTTAATTCCACTTATTAATATTTACTTTCAACTTTCTTAGGTTAGAGCCAACACTTTTTCTTTATTCAGGTCTCAAACATTTCTGTAGTCCTCTAGAAAGCTGAGAGGCTGCAGATACCGTGCCTGTGCCCCACGTGCTTGATAGAGGCCTGCAAGAATCCCATGGCCAGAGTCATCACAGTTCCAGCCTGCACCAGTGAGGGAAGGGCTGGGAGGCTGCTTTCTAGAATCATAAGAATACCCTTTCCAAAAACATCATATAGCATAATTATTTTTAACGATTTCATTCCACATACATATTGTCCAAAAATGTATGTGCACATTTGTTTATTGCAGCAATACTGGTAATACTGAAAAATGAGGAACAATCCAAAGTCTATCAATAACAGATTGATTCAACTGTGGTGTATCACGCAATGGTAAACCATGCAGCCACGAAAAGGGGTGAGGTAGATTTATACACGGTAATGCAGTAAGATTTTCACAACTAAGTGGAAATACGAGTTGCAGAATAAGAATGCATAGTCTGATTACCATTTATGTAAAAATGAAAATTATAATTTTAAAATAGTAAGTGCATAGGAAAAAACCGGGAAGATATACACAAAATTTAATGGTGATTATCTCTAAGAGAGGAAGAGGCTTTCCTGTGAGCATGGGGTGTGTGTGTGTGTGTGTGTGTGTGTGTGTGTGTGTGTGTGTGTGTGTGTGTGTGGCTGGGGGCTGGGGCTTTCGTTATTTACTTCTCTGTAAGCATTTGAATTTTTTTTTGTTTTTACCACAAACATATATTATTTTGGTAATCAGGAAAATGCAATCAATATTGTTTAGAACACAACCAGGACCACTGGGAGATGAGAGCTGATGTTCTGAATCTCCAAGCACACTGAGGAGGAGCTGAAGACAGTTTTTGTGGTAGCAGGTGTTAGGACGTCCCCTGCTTTCAAAAGTCAAAACAACCTACTCAAAAATCACCTCCTTTCTCTTCTTTCTACAACCACACACTTTCTCAACCCAACCATAATCACCCACAAAACTGAAAATTATTTGTGAAACATGATTTCCACACGGAGCAGTTAAAGAGAGCCTTGGTTGAGGGGGGAAATTGGAGGAGGGAGTTATGGTTCCAAGTTCTACATGACATCTAAAGATGCAAGCCAATCAAATGATTCTATTCGAATAAGACCCTCTATGTCTGGAGAAGACCTGAGATGGCAGTAAGTCACGCTAAGTAGCACAGATACATGCTGTGGAGATAAACATGCACGCACGAAGCATGTTCCTAGGTACTACAGGGTACAACAAAACAACAAGGTGTTTTGATGCAGTCCCAGAGATCTGGGAGACTCACAGAAATTTGCACAGCCTTGAGTCACAAAGAGCCCCGAGACAGCCAGCTTGAGAAAATTAGGCCAGTGATGGGGCTAGAAAGCACCAAGTCTATCTGCTCAGTGTCCCACAGGTGGTGGCCTATGGGTCCTCACCTGCTGGTGTCCAGGGGGGATGCACAGTCTCAAGCTCCCACACCTGAGCAACAGCTTAGATGCCACAGAAGCTGGTCCAAAGGACACCACGATGCTGTGGTGGCCCTGAAAGGGGCCTGCTTTCCTCCATAGTCACTTCAAAAACTGTGAACATCCACACTTGGGTTCCCACCATGGGCCAGAACTAGCTGCAGAGGACAGAGAATGTTGTGTGGACCAAGTTGCTTTTGTGGAGACCTAGCTGGCGTGCCATCCAGTGGCTTGGGTGTCTAGATCTGCCCATAGCTCCTGCTGTCCTACAGGCAGTGGGAGGACACAAACCAGCAGCCAGTACAAGGTCATGGCCATTGCTTTCACCTGCCCTGGCACCACTGTCTTGAGCTGAGGACCATGGGAGCCAGCGAAGTCTCATTTGTAGCATTGGGTTTCTCCCATTTAACAAATACAACCAGTGCTTCTGTTCTAGCTCCCTGAGTGTCTGCTTTTCCTTCCAGTTCATGGGTGCTTCAGAATGTGTGGTCAAAAGCAGCCCTCAGATCAGAGACCTCGACCCCTCTCCTGCCTCAGGACAGCAAACTCAACCAGCCTCCAAGACGGGGCCTTTCTTCAGTAGCAGGTGCTGAGGGGACAGGATTGAGATGGGATGAAATGTGGAGATGGGAGCAAAGGGGCAACCAAGAAAGGGCCAAGGCATCTTCCTGCATTCACAGGAGGTGACTCTCATTTGAAGGAGAGGCCAGGGAGGATGCTGGCCAGTTGGAATGTGTTCAAGGCAAAGCCCCACTTTCCTGGCTGAGTCTACTTCAGCCATCCATATTGTCCCCATTCCTAGGACTGGTTCACTGTGTACCTCTTAACACCACTCAGCTCTGGAAGAGAGTCCTTACAAACGGGCCCTCCTTGGCTGAGTGTGGTGGCTCACACCTCTATGTAGACCCAGCACTTTAGGGGGACTAGGAAAGAGGATCACTTGAGTCAGGAGTTTGAGACCAGCCTGGGCCACGTGGCAAGACCATTTCTACAAAAAAAAAACTTAAGAAAACTTGTCAGGTGTGGTGGCATGCACCTGTAATCCCAGCTACTCAGGAGGCTGAAGCAGGAGGATCACTTGAGGCCAGGAGGCCGAGGCTGTAGTGAGCTATGGTTGCGCCACTGCACTCCAGCCTCCATGACAGAGCAAGACTGTTTAAAAACAAAAATGAAAACTGGCCCACCTTGTCCCAGGGACCTCCCCTGCTTCGTCTGGTTAGAACCTGGCACGAATGCGCTTTTGTCTCATCCTGAGTCACAGGCCTCAGTTCACGGCCCTTTCCATACTGAAAACTCTCCATACGTTTCTTTTAAAACCTTTTATTCAATAATATATACTTTTAAAATAATAATATGTAACTGCCGCCATGCCACATACTGCGCCCGTCCCCCCACTGTGGAGTCTGTGGTCAGCTAGTTAGCGTGGTTTGCTGGAAAAACAGGCGGCCACGGGACGAGTCGAGGGGCTCGGGGAGCAACAGTAACCAACAACATTCTGCATACCCTTCACATTCCCCATGCTTTCTGGGTCGGGAAGAAGTCAACAGGAAGCCAAAGGCAAGTGAGCCTTTTACATTCGGAAGTGAGGTTTGATATACGGTGGTGGGCTGCCCTTCGCTTGGTCTAGTTCGTGCTCGCCAAACCTGCCACCGTTTTGTGTCTGCTCACGGAACGTGATCTCTCTATACGCGTTAAGACGTTTGATTTGGTTCTTGTTCTGCTTATGGAAAAGTGGGAGAACCGCAACAGACCTGGGGAAAGAGACGGGAGGAGGGAAAGACGTCATTAATCAACCTGAGCGGGCGAGGGGAGGCCTCCACGTGTAGGAGGGCCTGTGCTAGAATGCAAGCTCGGCCCTCCCATGCCACTTGGTGGAGAACCCTGTGAGAACTCGCTGAGTTCAGGTTTCCAACAGTACCCTCTGCCTTCCTCTTCTGATTATCATGACAGAGATGGTCTCTAGCACGGCCTTCTGTCACAGGACGGGTGCTCTGGGCACCACGTGTGTTGTGACCAGGTCTTCCACTCTACCCCATCCCTCGGGTCCAGGGTGCTGATGGAGAAGCCTCAGAGCCTCTTGACCATTCTGTGCCAGTCAAGCTACAAATTCAGCAGTCAGCTCTAGGTCCCCCTCAGACCTGACCTGATTATCTGAGGTGTCTTAGGACTAAGACGGGGTCTGTATTTACTCAGAAAAAGGGCTGAGTCCACTAATAAACAAAGAGCAGTAAGTGAGCTCAAATATTTTTAACTCTCCCCTGGAAACAGCTAGCTGCCTGGCATGGCCTGAAAACCTCATTTCTCCTTCCAGGTCCAGCATAGCAAGTGGGTGGTGAGATGCCGGCAGTGGAATTCTAGAAGCAGTGCCTCCCAGAACAGCACTACAGTACTGAGGAAGGACTATGCACCTGGGAAGCTGTCACACACACAAAATCATTTCATGAAAACTTTCTTTGGGTAAAGGAAGGGTTCCACTGCGTAGTATTTGATTTGAGAAGGGCTGCATGGTGCATGAGGTTAAGAAAGAAATGACTATATTTGCCTTTAAACACTTCAGCTGATTCCAAGCACCCAACTTCAGAGGCTCAGTGAGAAGAAAGCACACTAATTAAAGAAAGCACATTAATTAAAGATACCACCACCTGCCAAATAATAGCATGTGCTGCAAGGAATGGGGCTAGGGAGAGTGTTTCACAAATGCAGAGCACCAGGCCACAAGGTTAAAGTCATGCACTAAAACAGTCAATCCCAAGAGGCAGGTGTCTGAGTGGCGCGACTCAGAAGCAAGTACATAAAAACGGAACACTCCCAACAGGACACCACTCTAGCCCCACTTCTGCCAAAGGAAAGTTTTCACATCAAGGTGTAACACACATCTTTGCAATTCAAGGTTTATCCCTCCCCTCTCCCCCAAAGAGACAGGAAATACAAGTTAAGGTCCTCATAGCAATGGTTTGTCTCCCACTTGGGAAGGCTGGTTATTGTCAACATTTTTATTTAAGAAAACAGGATTTAACATGGCATTTTTCTTCCCTCTAAGGGCAGCAGCACATAAATCATACATCAGTCATCCAGTGATACAAAGAGGTGGCCAATTGTGTCTGAAGTAGTCACTTGTAAAGGATCACAACCCAGGCAGTGTTGCTTTTCTGCAAACAGAAGGAAACAGAAGGCTCCATGGTCCTTGAAGATTATCCAAGTTTTCCACTAGTTGTCAAGATTTCTGTCCCAACCTCTTAGTCACCATTTACAGCAAGAAGAGCCAGCAAGTGAAAAACTGTTAATTTATTGATTCAAAGTTGTTTTTTTTCTTTTTAAAAAACAATCCCCAATACATGCAGTTCAGGGTTAAGTATCACATTTGTAGCACATTGTTGAGTCTCAAAACAAAAATATGCATCACCTGTATAATCCCATCACATCTTTTTCCAGCCTCTACAATACCTAGTTGGGGGTGTTTTCATTTATACATCCACATAGCTCAGAAGCATGTTATTAACGGTTGATCTGGCCCGATGCTTCTCCGCCACCTCCCCTGCCCTGGTCTCCACCTCGGGGTTATTTTTTTCTAAAGGCAGGATGTTACTCAGTCTTAATTTATTAAGATCACTGACAAACTTTGGCTTCTTGTGTGCTCATGTGGTCCCTGCTTTTGCTTTCGGAAGGGTTTATATTGAAACGACTGTGACTCTGATCGGTTATTATCCCCTCATTTTTTGTAGGAAATAAGTTTGCTTGTTTCTGTGGGTGCTCACACAGTAACACAGGTTCCTAAAGTAACCATTTAATCTGAACTGGTATTAAAGGAAACTGTTAACCAGGCTCTCTTAGATCTATTTCAGTTCATATAAAAAAACTCTTCCAATTGTTGCTTGTGTCTCAAAGTAGTTCTGCTTCCATCCTTATCAACAGAGCACCTGGGAGAACCTAAGTCATTTCCCTGAGTAGGCACAGACCACGAGCCCCGCGGCACCCAGCTCTCTCTGGGACTAAGCGCCTGACTCGAGAGCACCACCTTTCAGTCCACTGGGACCAATCCAGTGGGCAGCGCCCTCCCCAGGGTACATTCCAGAACATAAACTTGGTACCCTCTAATTTATCCCCTCAAGAAGTTAATTTCCTCCTCAAGAGCTACCTTTAGATGGATTTTCTTATTGGTCCCTTTTCTTTTAACAGCCCTTCCCCTAGCCACTCTCTTCAAGTCCCCAAGGATTACGAGTTTGTCTGTCTCCTCTAATCTATCAGTCTGAGAGCACCTTCCTCTCTGCAAGGGAACACATTTGCTTTAAACCTTGTGAGTGCTGACATGTTACAGAATGTCTGGGAGGAGGCCTGGCTGAGTGACTGGTGTTTAAGTGCCTCAATGAACGACATCAGCGCTTCTCTAGTTGGTGAGAAGGCCCAGGAAAGCTTGGTCTGCGTCATACACTCAATAGCTTCTCCTACCCAGCCACCTACCCTGCCTACAGGGATAGGATGAAAGCAAGGCCAGCTGACAGCATCCAGGGGAGAGTGAACTGCCACCACACCAGAGGTGCAAATGTGACTCAGCACTTCATGAGTTCTACTCTCACCATGGGATTTCTCAGCAGAAGCAAACCTTGCAGTCAGGCTCACTTGTAGCCAACAAATGATATAGCCATCTGGATTTGGCATAGGAACCTTTTGTTCTCACCATACCAGGTCTATGTTCTTGAACATAGGCAGTACCTGAGATGATAGTATAACACTACCCTGTTCCCCACATTTTTTGCTTTTCTTTAGGAAATAATTAAGTCCTTATCATAGGCACTTTTAACCTGTTTAAGATAATGAAGCAAACAAATGAAAAGTACTGAGATGAGTTTAAGAAAGAATATGCTAACTGAAAAGGATACTGGGTGCGTACATTTACCATGGTTTAGTCTAAATATTAGACACACAGACACACACACAGACACACACACAGACACACACACAGACACACACACAGACACACACACACCCCTTTTGGAACTCTCCAAGACCATCTCCGAATCTAGGTAAATAGTCTTAAAATTTCGGGGGAGCTAGGTTTGGAAACAAAAATGGTTTTTGGAGACAGGAAAAGAGATGGTCTGAAACTGGACTCACTTCAGTTTGGAAAGGAATAGCCTAGGTGCCAAGACCAGACCCAGGAAGGGGTGAGCATTTCAAGCCCAGTTATGGTCTAAGTCTAAGGCATGAAGAGAGGTAAAAGTCTAGGTGCTGGAAAAGCAAGCTGTGTGCTTCAAAGGAAGAATGCCTGTGTCAAAGCTGCAGTTACAAAACCCCAGGACAAGGCAGGCAGGCGGTGTCTGCACCTACATCACCGTCAGAGAGACAGGCAGAGGTCAATCACCTGACTATTCTCCTCCAGGTACTTTTATTACCTTTGGGGGACCCAAGGGAAAGGAATGGAGTTACCGCTTCACCAAGACCCTCCAGTAGGCACCTCTTGCCTGGTCCAGACAGGCAACTTAAAAAAAAAAAGGGAGGGCTGAGGAGTGGGGTGGGGTGATAAAGGAGATTGGAGGGGGAGCAGGAAAGACACGCAGTGGCACATCTCCCTGATGATAACCAATGCTTCAGGATTGCCTATAAGGGCATATTAGAAGGCTTTTGATAATCTCAAACACTGAGTTTTGCTGCCTGACATATCAATACAGGTTTAGCCAAAGAGCTCACATCTTGCTTTTGATTTTCAGGTAGAACAAATGTTTACATTAGTATACAGAATGTGCAATGCAAGCAGGCAGCATTGGTATGAGAACCTTAACTGAATGCATTCCTTGGCTTTGGGATCTTATTTATTTTTTACTCTATAAACTCAACTCTATAATAAGAGAAGAGTTTCATTTGTATTTTAAGTTCCCACAGACCAAACGACAAAAATAGAATCTACATTTAGAGTAGGATCTGCTACCAATACCAATAAGATTTTATTGGAATATGGAATGTAAACAAATGTTTCAAACAAACATCTAACCTTATAAAAATGTATGGCATTATTAAATAGTTAATAAAGAAATCTTAAAGGGTGATGTGGTAGACACCTCTAGTTCTAGCCTAGGTGTGTGAAGTCCCCACAGCTGTGGCATGGCCCTGCAGCTGGGGTGAGGGGACTGCCTACAAACCATGTTGCTCCTGAGTCCCCAAAATGAAATCAGCCCTATTTTTGTTTAAACAAACTCTAGCTTTCTCTGCTAACATGAAGGTTTGCAAAATGGATCCAACACTTGCTCCGGGAGCACCATTTTCTTCCCCAAGCCCCTTGTATATTCCTCTGAGTTGCTTGAGTTTCAGATGACCCTGCCCACACAACTCTAGTACCTGCATGCAAGACAGACTTATCTTTGCCATCACATAAATGTATCACATATCAGAACTTACAAATGCATATTACCCTGATTACAGTGGGAAACTGTGTCTCATGGGGATAAAAGGAGGTGGGAGAGAGATATTTTTTTCCATAAGTCTTTCCTGAAAAAATTCTAATGGGATGTTTTCCTCCCTCGCCTTGCCTGAAGACTGACTTTCCAGCTTTAGTTATGGTTGTGAACAAAAAGGTCTCTGTTTCAGAGAGGTGCATTAAAATAGGCGCACACATAGGGATGTGCTGGGAAATGGTGAAGTTCTCCTTACAAGGCTGCCAAAAAAAAAAAAAAAAAAAAAAAAGAAAAAGCAACAAAAAAATAGCAACAAGATTTTATGGTTAGGGAAATCAACAAAGGTTATAGTGAGCTCCAAGTTATGCACTTAGCATGGAACTTTTGATGATAACCATGGACCAGTTCATGGCATTGCAAGGTTTCGTGATCCCTCCTGACATCAAAGAGGACTCTTGTGAAAGTGACTGCAGTTTGCTCCCAAATGAATCCACTTGGAGGAAAACTGCGGGGATGAGGTACATTTCCTGGAGAGCTCATGTCATTAAAAAATACATAAAACGTGGATTTGTAAAGAGCTTAAAAAAAAAATACTGTCACTGTTTTAATATCTCCTTTTTGTAAATGAGGCTGGTGTGTCAGTATAGACTGCTGACATTTCGCTAAGACTTGAGCCTGAATTTCACCAAAGGAAACCCAGACCACAATGGAATAGATAGGAAGTCAGACATTCAGAGCTTGTTGACTGAATGGGTTAATTCAACAGTGGTGCCCTGTTAAACAAAGGTAAATGTACAACAACTCCGAGTCTCTATCTCCCATGCATTCCAAAGGCAGAGCTCCTTCAGATCCTGAACTAGGTGCATCCCCATGCTGCCACAGTGACAGCTCCCTGGAGACTAGCACTGGGGAGTTTCTTTCTTGCTTTTTGACAGACTTTTAGGTCTTTACTCTTCTGTGCATTTAGAAGGAATGATAAGAATTTCTTTTTATCACACTGTAGTTTTCCTTCAAGGTTTGTGTTTGGTTGGTTGGTTTTATTGGCAAGCATCAATGCCGCATTACCCGTCGCTTTCCAGTCTTCATCGTGCTGCCGTGAGACCACTGGAAAGCACAGCATTGTCTGCACAAGGCTGGGACTGCTCCTTCACCACAGGGTCTGCAAGAAAGCAGGAGGAAAGTCAGGCAATCAGGGTGGTGAGTGCTGAGAGAAGCCCATGGCAAACCCACCCTTTCAACGGAAAGAGAGACAGACTGATGGGCAAGCCAGGGTCAGGGGGGCAACAGGAGAGACGGAAATCACGGAATTCCAGCCATATAAAAACCAAACACTGAAAAATGATCAGGGAAATTGTTATTGCAGTCAACTCTTACCCTTCCTCGGAGTACAGACTCAATGCTAAGAGGCATAGAAACTCTAATTTCCCACTGTTCAAATTTCTACATTTATTTTCTTTCAATATTAATATCATCTCTAACCCCTAATTTCTTCAAAGCATGTAGAATAACAAGCACTTCAAAGGAAAGGTGAGTAAAAAGAGCCATCAGAAGACCTATCCATTTTAAGCAACCGTAGTTTGAAATTTTTTAAATTGAAGTATGACATATATTCAGAAAAGCAGAAAGATCATTAATGACATGTCATAAACATCAGTATTCCTAATTTGATCTAACTCGGGTAAAAACAGCTTTCTGTGCCAGACACTGGGGCGGGGACATCTGAGTTTCCTGGGGCTGAGGTCTAGAAGGCTGAAGGCTTTTCCATTTGCGGTCTCCCTTATGCATATGGGCCACAGGCTCAAGACTACAGCGACACATTCTTCAGGCAAGAATTTAGTTCATCTCCAGAGGAAATCAAAGGAGAGGGAAAGACAGCATGTTTGTTAAGCCAGAGACAACGACTTTAAGGGGTGAACGTTTCCCTCTTGATTCAGAAAGCGACTGAGGTAAGTCTCTCAACCTCCCTGCTCCCCAGGAAGGAGACTGATAATAGGAGGAAGTTTATTTGAAACACACGTTATCAGAGGAAAGAACCATACACATGCAGAAGAATAAGCAAACACGCAAAGTGAATCCACACACACTTCTAAGTGAGCAGTTCAGTCAAGATTTCAGTGAGGCCTCTCCACACTTACTTCCCTTTCCTCAAATTCCTTTCGTCCATCCATCTGTTCATCTCCTTCTTTCAAAACATACAATAGTTATCTTACTACTTTTAACTAATTACTAGTTTTCTGAGGGGAGAAATAATCTTCAATTAGGTTTCCACACAAATATATGTATGTTTAAAAAGAAATTTTAGAAACTTGCGATCTATTAACTCAGGGTAACAGGGAGTAGTCAAACAGCTTGAACTCCGGGGAGATACATTCAGTGAATAAGCAAACACCTTTGGTGATCAAGAAACGGATCTGCAAAGTTGTCTCAATCATCTACGATAAATGAGGCCAAATTCTAGGAATAATCCAATCCAAATACCCTAGAATTCTCCTGACTGGTCTCAAAGACAAAGAGTGGAAGATTTGTTCTCTTGACTGAATTACTCCCTGAACACAGTCCCTGGAGACTCACAGAAGTATGGGTGCTCCATGGCCTCTTTGGCAGTCAGTCTCTGTTGATGGTCGTATCGCAGAAGTTTGTCCAGAAGATCTAGGGCCTCAGGGCTGACAAGGTGTCTGTTCTCACTATGGATAAAGTTTTCCCAGCGTTTCCGTGAATGTCTGAGAAGAAAAATGAAGCATTAGTAACCAGAGACTAAATTCAACAAGAATCCTTATCTACTAGGGCTAAAGCCAACAAAATCTCAGAATAATGTACTGATTACAAGCTTGTTAAATCTCTAACTGGTGCCTGCCCTACGGCCCCATAGTTACAGCATAGCATCCTGAAACACAATGGTGCTCTGTGATTAGAAAAATACAACTAGGTAAAACTTCTATATCTCATTTAGAATATGTGGAACCTTTCTAGATTATTTTTTATGCTGTAGACTTTTAGTCAATTCTGGGTGGCATGCAGAAGAGTGGGCAATTTTTATTGGTCAGCAGATATATTTCCCAGGGCTAGCCTCAGAAACAGGGAGGTTCCATAAAATACTGTTTGAAAACTGTTAACAAAATGTTTACTTCTCAACATTATTGCAATGTACCTGAAAACTCAATGTGCTTTAAAATTTGCTATTGTATAGAAAATCCATTACAGAGAACAAGAAGAAATTGTAAGTCCACCTTGAAGAGATATGAAGTAAATAAAATAAAATATAATAAAAAACAAACTAAGTCTCTTATTCAAAGAATCATTGCTCTCCAAGTTTGGCCATTAAAAATAAGCTTTTGCTGTACCAGAAAACTTTTTTCTATAACATTATGATTTTTGTTTTACCTTTTCTATTAATAGGTTATCTCTCAGAGAAGTAAAATGATTAAAAGACATAAAGTCCAAATATCTCAATAAGTTAAAAGAAAATATGCATAGGAAAAAAGAGGGCTACTTCCATTTTACTATAATCAGAATGGGAAAAGAAAGTGATTTTGGCTAACCTTTCCACTTCTGAAACGGGGTAAGGTAAAGCACTCTCTCTCTCTCTCTTACTTACTGTCCCAGGATATCGTTGAAGTGTGGATCTAGGTCTATGTGATACTTCTTCAGATACCCATACAGTTCTTCTGTACCCAGAACCTTGGCAATGCGAACAAGCTGAAACACAAAACAAACTGACCAAATCACTGAGCACAGAACACACCATGAGCCCGTGAGGACACTGCACCAAGGAATCAGAAGACTTCCACACCACTAAACCTCTAGGAACGAGATACAAACCCAGGTCCAGGGCAGGCAGACAGACCCAAGGACAAGAAGTTCACATGAATGCAAATTTCCAAACGGCCTTTAAAATAATACAACTTACGATAATAATCTTCTAGAGGTGGACCAGTACAGGGCATCACAATCTAATGACTAAAATCTAGTTTTATTAGACAAGGAGGTGCCTGACTTCTTCACAGATTCACTTTGGAAGTTTGGCATAGATGGCATTATCTGCCTCTACTTCTGCGGACCTGGTAAACACAAAATTCTGTGCGATCTTTATCTTGAAGAAAAGCTCATATGCAGACACTGAGTGATACTTAGTGGCTCAAGGATAGTATTCTTATCTAAGGATGCTATTTTTTTGGCATTCACCCCCAAATAAATAAGAACCAGAAAGCATTTGCTCACCTGGTCATAGTTGTCCTGTCCATGGAAGAATGGTTCCCTTCGAAAGATCATGCTTGCTAACATACAGCCCAAACTCCACATGTCCAAGCTATAATCATACATCTGAGGCAATAAGGACAACGCATTAGCCAAGGGTATTAGAAATCCATTTTTCTGATATAAATTTCTTTTTTAGACGAGATTGGGCGTGTTCAGGGTGGTATGGCCATAGATAATTTATTTAAAAAAAATTTTTTTTAACTTCCTGGCTCCTAGAAATGATCTGAATTTCTAGTCTTCATTTAACCTTTGCAGATATTTTAGATTTAAAAACTTCTCTGTCCCCCCAAAAAACTAGCTGAGAAAAAACTAAAATCAGCATTTTAGGGTGAAATAATGGCTGGGTTTTGAGTGTATTCAAACTGACTAGATCAACAGCAAACCAGAAAAGCCCTAAGCAAGTATAAATAACCCAGAATAGCTCTGCTAACAAGTTTACCTGATAGTCCACGAGGAGCTCTGGTCCCTTGAAGTACCTTGAGGCTACACGAACATTGTACTCCTGAGCAGGATGATAGAATTCTGCCAGACCCCAATCTATCAGTCGCAGCTACAAATAGGACAGAAAAAAACATGTGAAAGGAGTGTTTCTAGACGCCTATGCCTTAGAACAAGGCCACATCACATTAGGTAACAATCATTTGGCCACACAAAAAATGTGAGCAGGTGCACTGGCTTAAAAATTACATTTTCAGCAATCGTGCAAGAGGTCATTTTTAGAGCAGAACACTTGAAATGCTTTTTGAAAAAATTTTAAATTATCCTGGTTCATCCCTCTCTCTAGATCAACAGAGCTCAACCTTTTTTTCTGCCCACATTCAGAAACTGTAGGCAGTTACACTTGGTAACACATTCTCCCATCATTCATAGCTTTTCGTTATAAGCTCCAGGCGTCAGTGAAAGGGCTGGGGACACACATCCCACTCCAGGACTGAAGCATTGCTCTAATGATTTATTCGTCTAATACTAGATGATCCATTTACTCACTGATTAGGGCCAACAGAGTTGGATATCAAAAATAGGAGGGACCCAAGTGTTCTTTTAAGGCCAGGCAGATTGGTCTGCGGGTCATCAAGAAATGAAGCAGAAACCACCAGCTGTAATTTCTTTCTGAGGCCCTCCAGAAAACTATGACCAAAATAAACAAGTGACTATAGTTAGTTACTATAGTTAAACCGTCTACTTTCCTTGTGTACTACACTATACAAAGTAGAAATCAACAATGGAGATGGGAGAAATCACAGTAACGAAAGTTTGCCAAAAAACCCACCACGGGTCTACAGAAACCATCATGGCACTGGACAGCTTTTTGGTCTGCTCTAAGCCTTTTAATCAAGCTTGTTGCTGCCTGGCTGTAATGGTACCTTTTTCTGTTGGTGATCTATCATGACATTGTGAGGTTTCACATCCCTGTGCATGATTCCCTTGCTGTGGCAGTAATCCAGAGCCTATTAGGTAAGAAAGCACAGATAATAGTAAGCAACCCCTCTACCATCCCCCAACGCAAGCATAGTCTTATTGTTTGTGACACCTTGACTTGAATACAGTCCCCCAACGGGCAGCTTGCTGCCTGTAATGAAAGAGAAAAAAAGCGTGCTTCAGAAGGCACCCCTTGCTCTCTCTGCACACTACAGCTGGTAGAAAGGGGGTATGAAGGGAATGGCAAGGGCTATGAGGAAGATTTCTTTTTTTTTTTTTTGAGATGGAGTCTTGCTCTGTCGCCCAGGCTGGAGTGCAGTGGTGCAATCTCGGCTCACTGCAAGCTCTGCCTCCCGGGTTCACGCCCTTCTCCTGCCTCAGCCTCCCGAGTAGCTAGGACTACAAGTGCCTGCCACTACGCCCAGCTAATTTTCTGTATTTTTAGTAGAGACAGGGTTTCACCGTGTTAGCCAGGATGGTTTCAATCTCCTGACCTCGTGATCCGCCAGCCTCGGCCTCCCAAGGTACTGGGATTACAGGTGTGAGCCACTGTGCCCAGCCGAGGAAGATTTCTTTAAAAGAGGGGGTGATGAGGCCAGGCACAGTGACTCATGCCTGTAATCCTAGCACTTTGGGAGGCCGAGGCAGGTGGATCACTTGAGGTCAGGAGTTCGAGACTAGCCTGGGCAACACGGCTATACTAAAAATACAAAAGTTAGCTGGGCGTGGTGGTGCGTGCCTGTAATCCCAGCCACTCGACTGGGCTGAGGCTGGAGAACTGCTTGAACCTGGGAGGTGGAGGCTGCAGTGAGCTGAGATGGTGCCACTGCACTCCAGCCTGGGCAAGAAAGGCGGGCAGTGGGGAGGGGGGTGTGTGTGTGGGATGATAAACCAGACTTTGGAACCTCACTGGAGTCACCTCTCATAATGGTTCAAAGGACAGACCAGCATCTATGTGGACATGAAGAATGACATTCAAATACATCTTTCAGTATGGCTTATTTTGTACATAAGGGTCCCACGTGGGTTTTCTAGATGACCAAGTATTAGTATTTTCCTTAATATAATCCCTGAGCCAGCTAGCCTTTAAGACTTATCATTATAAGGCCAGGCATGGTGCTCATGCCTGTAATCCCAGAACTTTCGGAGGCAGGCAGATCACTTCAGGTCAGGAGTTCAAGACCAGCCTGGCCAACATGGCGAAACTCCACCTCTACTAAAAATACAAAAAATTAGCCAGGCAAGGTGGTGGGCACCTCTAGTCCCAGCTACTTGTGGGGCTAAGGCACGAGAATTGCCTGAACCTGAGAGGCGGAGGTTGCAGTGAGCCGAGATGGCACCATTGCACTTCAGCCTGGGCAACAAAGCGGGTCTCAAAAAAAAAACAATTATCATTACATATTATTCCAAGGGAGAAAATTGCTTTGTTTAAGATGATTGATATGCAGATAAGATTTTATGTATATAATGGTTTTTCACAAATTTAAAAAGCTGTGCAACCATTACCACAATCCAGTTTTAGAACATCTCCATCACTCCTAAAATTTTTCTTGAGCTTGTCTGTAGTCAATCCCCTTTCCTAACTTCTCCCAACCCCTCCGTGCCCTGCCCACAACCACTGACCTGCTATTTGCTGGTATAGATTTGCCTTTTCTGTACATTCATAATATGAAATCATACATGTATAGTGCTTTGTCTACCTTCTTTCCTTCAGTATACTGTTTCTGAGATTCATCCAAGTTGTTTTTCCTTGCTGAGTAGTATTCCACTACTAGCTGATGGACATTTGGGTTGTTTCCACTCATGCTTTCATTTCCCTTGGGTAGATTCCTAGGGGTGGAAGTGCTGGGTTGTATGCTAAATTTGTGTTTAAACTTTTAAGAAACTGCCTAATTATCTTCCAAAGTGGCTGCGTCACTTTTACTCCCACCAGCAACCTGAGGGTTCAAGTTTCTCCACATTCTCATCAACACCTGTCATTGTTCAACTTTTTGATTATAGCTTTGCTGGTGGGTGTAAAGTGGTATCTCCATGTGGTTTTGATTTTTATTTCCATAATGAGTGATGAAGTGGAACTTCTTTTTATGTGTCTACCGGCCATTCTAAATCTTCTTTGGAGAAATGCTGATTCAAATCTTTCAATCATTTATTAGATTGTTAAGCTCCATTTTTTTAATGTAAAAATTTGCTTCTAAATCTCCCTTGCCTAACATAATAACTATCTTCATAAACTTCAAATTCAGGACCTTTGGCTAATCTTAACAAGCACCTGAATCCTACACAAGGTCAATGAAATACTCTTCAAGTAGAATCCCTGTCCTCTACCTACCACTAGAGCCCCCCTCCAGTTTTAACAACCAAAAATGGTTCCAGATTTTGCCCAATGTCCCCTGGGGGACAAGCTTGACCTGGATAAGAAGCAATAAACTAGACTCTTGAGGACACTTGAATGGACTTCTTCATGCTGGAGGAGTACACAAGGCAGAGAATGAGCCCTAGGATTAGCATTCCAGGAATAAGCTCCCTCGATCTGTGCTTTTCCCTGAACCAAGAGTATACAATATAGAATGCTTGTTATGGCCAGGCGTGGTGGCTCACGCCTGTAATCCCAGCAGTTTGGGGGCCAAGGCGGGCAGATCACGAGGTCAGGAGTTTTGAGACCAGCCTGACCAACAGGGTGAAACCCCGTTTCTACTAAAAATACAAAAATTAGCCAGGTGTGGTGGTGCGTGCCTGTAATCCCAACTACTCAGGAGGCCGAGGCGGGAGAACTGCTTGAACCCGGGAGGTGGAGGTTGCAGTGAGCCGAGATCATGCCACCGCACTCCAGCCTGGGCGACAGATAAAAAAAGAAAGAATGCTTGTTATTTGAAGATCAAGAACAGGCACTACTAACTATGGGGATACATATAAAGATATAATCTTCAGAGGAGACACTGAACAGAAGAACACAAGAGAGCCCTGCAGGATGTTCACAATATCCTCTACCAGCCCTGTCCAATAGGACCTTCTGCAATGATGGAAATATTCTATTCCTGCACTCTATAATACGGTAGCCACTAGCCACATGAGGCCACTGAGCACCTGAAATGTGCCTAGTGTGATTAGGGAACTAAATTTTATTTTATTATTTTATTTTTTTGTACAGGGCCTTGCTCTGTTGCCCAGGCTAGAGTGCAGTGGCATGATCTCAGCTCACTGCAACCTCTGCCTCACAGGCTCAAGTGGATCCTCCCACCTCCACCTCCTGAGTAGCTGGAACCATAGGCATGTACCACTACACCTGGAGCATGCATATATATATATATATATATATTTTTTTTTTTTTTTTTTTTTTGGTAGCTATGGGGCTTTGCCATGTTGCCCAGGCTGGTCTTGAACTCCTGAGCTCAAGCAATCAACCTGCCTTGGCCTCCCGAAGCATTGGGATTTATAGGCGTGAGCCACCGAGTCTGGCCAGCAACTAAATTTTGAATTTTACTTAATTTAAATAGCTACCTATGGGCAGTGGTTACTAACTATACTGGATATCATCGTCCTGTGTAAATCTGGGTGAGAGTTTTACATACACAAACATCCAAAAGACTGTACGTTTAAGATTTATTTACTTCACTTACATTCTACTTCAATTTTTTCCCTCTGTTTTATAATAACTGTAGCAAGATTCCAAAGTGCCTTTGTGGCAGTGCTTTATGAAACCAGGGGTTGTGAGGGCAGACCTCCTTGAATCTGAATCAGGAGATCAGGTTAAGTCACCGAGTCATCACACTGCAGCCCTCAGCCTCAGTTGCTTCTACATTTTCAAAGGAGTTAAATATTTAGTCTTCCCCACTCCTGTTTTTTCTTTTCAAAGAGAAAATTTACCAAGTGTTGATTCTGCTATATTGCCTACTCTTTGTCCAAAGGAATAAACTAATTAAGACCACAATACCTGGCATGTGAAAAATACTCAATGAAAGCAAAGGCTGAACAAATACAGTAAGGTAATTAATTCTTTTGCCAAGTTTCCTAGTCGGACTCCCTATGGAGTTACTGACATGCTTTGAAATTCTTTGGGGAATTATTTCAGTTTTAAAATCTCGTACAGTTTCTGACCATTAAGCATGAATGACGTTTTTCAAGTTTCATCTGGGATTCTACGTCTCATTAGCAAAAATAAGTATATGTCCTCACTGCCTAGCTGCTACCTCCAGAAAGCAGAAAGGACATCAGACATTGAGTGACACCCACATGTCCACCTGGGAAGACCTGCATTAGTTGGATGTCTTTATGGGACCTAAGGGCAGGCTAGCTTATACAACTTTAGCTTTGGCTGATGGTTAAATAACACAAAATCTCAAACCATCTTACTTAAAAATAACCAACTGTGAGATCTGAATTGTAGCTCTCATGGGGTGAGAGTGCATGGGATTACTCAGGAAGCACTTCCAGGAAAGGAGCTAGCCTGACAGTTCACAGGATCATGGCACTGCAAATTTTATCCACACCAATGCTTCAATTTTAGTCTAGAGAAGACATGGAGAAACGTGGGATAAATCAAGCTCGACCTTTTTCGTGTTTCTGATCTTACTGACAAAAAGGAAGACCCATTAGCCATAAGAGTGAACCTTAAATCCACCACCTCAGCTTTCTCTAATAAAAAGTGGTGCGTACAAGTTCTTATAAAAACACATTCATTTCATAGAACTGTTCTTAAGATCTACAACTACCCTAAAACTTTTCACAAGACTGCATATTAATACATGCATTTTTGGAGGCAGTTCATAGTTTTCATTAGGTTCTTAGTGATCCAGGACACAAAAATCTAGGACCCATGGGTGTATTCCATTTTACAAACTGAGCATTCCTTTAAGTGCTTATCTAGACAAACAAAATGATCATTCCTCCACCAACCAGTAATTCTTCAAATTTCATTGTGCTTGGGATTAGTAAGTCTCTTAGACATTCTACCCATCACTTTTCCCTGCATTAACGAGCCACGGCTACAGGGGTAGGTTAGGAAGACTCATGCAAGAAGGGGATGACGACACATGGCAAGGAAAGATGGCTGCAAATGCCTGCCACCCCTGTAGGCATGTCTCTCTATAATATGCCTACATATTCAATGCTTTTCCCATCAAGAGTGGAGTCGGTTTTTCCATGCTTTGAAGCTAGGCTTGGCCATGTGATTTGCTTTGGCCAATAGGGTTATTAGCAAATATGACACAGGTAGAGGGTTGAAAAGTGCCTATACATTGAGGTTTCCCTCTCTCTGCTGCTAGGAACCCCAGGAGGACCACCATGGGAAGCAGCATGAACTTCACAGGCTGGAGGATGAGACCTCAGCTATCCCTGCTGCCCCAGCTGTGGTCCTAGATTGTGAATGAGGTCATCCTGGACCATCCTGCCCCAGTCAAATCAACTGAGACCTAAAGAATCACCTGGCTAACTCAATTATAAGAAACAATAATCATTTTTTAAAAGTCATTAAGTTTGGGATGATTTGTTACATTCACAGTAGGTATTAATAAAGCAGCAAAGAGAAAACATATGGACCAACAAGAGCTATGGGAGGTTCTAAGGTATAATGTCCCTGGTACCCCTTGACTTGGCCACTTTTTTCCCAGTTCCACTGGAAAGTTTCTATGTGAAGATTCCTCGATGGAGGCCTCAATATAAGTTTAAAAACTTCACTAAATCCTCTGGGTATCAAGAAACATTCTGCTTAAGTTCTCTTTGTTCTCTCAAAAACTTATCTTTTAATGAACAGGCCTGAAAAAAATTAATGGTTTATGAACACCACTTACTTTAAGTAGTTCATACATATAAAACCGGATATCAAAGTCTGTCAGGATCTGGTAGAGTTGCTGAAACAGATTCCAGAAAACAGAAAGTTAATTTAGTCTCACTGCATCTTGTCATCCTAAGTGCAGGCCATTCTCTAAGCTTATTTGATACTTAAGTGACTAAGGAATCCCATGACTTTTTTACTACCTGATCTGAAATAAATGGGAAGACTAAAGATGAAGGTTTTATATTTTAATCATCAGAAGAGAAGAAAAAAAAAAATGGAAGGAATTCCAAGGGAGAAAAACATTTAAGCCAACTCAGATCTTTCCTATTTAATGCTCTGTGATTTTGCCAATTACAATTATTAACCACAATTACACCATTGTGAAGTCTAAGTTGTCTGTCTTCACATTCTTACCGAACATCAAGAAAACTAACCCCACTGTAACACCACAGTATACTCTAGAGAAGTGAGTTCTGAGTGGATGGCAGAGCTCTGAAGAACTTCATGGGCTACTGTGGTAAAACAGTGGCGACACAGGCTGTTCTCAAAAAAGAAAAATAAGGAAAAAGGAGGTGCTATAGCATTTGCAGATGGCAAGAGCTTACAAAAAAATCTATACCCTCTGCTCCCCGGAAACCAATTCCAGACTGGAAAAAAAGAACATTTCACAGGCAACACCTGACGTCTTAGGAGTGAAAAAAGACAGGGGTATCAAAAATGATCACTGGCCAAACTGATAGGTAAATGGAAGTTTTCATTATTGGTAATCCAGAGACCCACTCGCTGGGAGTTTTTAAAAAATTTCTAAGAGTCAGAATACATTAATGCTACAAGCTTCATTAAAGGCATCATAAACCCTTGTCAGGAACTCTCATTATCTTTGATATCCAATCAAATCCATGTAAATCTGTTTTCCCATCAATCCAAGCCATGCTTTCTATAAAATTAAGAAACACACCTTTATTAAACTTCTCTTGTTCTTCTATTGAAAGAGAGACTCAAGCAATGTAGGGAATCTCTCCAGGGAACACAGAACAGTGTATATAATGTGTCTCTGTAATAAGGGGGAAAATAAAAACTATACATCCATATTTTCTGTATCTGCAAAAATGATACAGAAGTAATAAAAACTGGTTTCACGTATATATGTGTAAAGGAATAGGCAGCTGGAATACAGGGGAATAAAAGAGACTTTTCACTGTCTACCATTTTATATTTTTGATCCACATATAATGTTCAAAAAAATTTAATAAAAAAATCAAATTTGCCAAGAACCAAATTTAACATTTTCTAAGAATACCAGGTCTTTGCTTTCTCAAGTTTCCCCCTTTAGGTAAGAGTAATTCCCCCTGCCAGCTTAGGAAAAATATTTGATTTCATCAACCTCAGGGCAGCGCAGGGAACGAAATGCACAGGCCAGTACATGGTGTTGTGGGGTTGGGTGGCTGGCCCTGGCTACAGCTGACCCCCATTCAGGCAGAACAACACCAACAAGCCACCACTTCTGCTCAGGAGAGCTTCAGCTACATAACACACACCCAAGCTTTTTGTTCTTCTCCCAGCTCTGCTGCAAGAAGGCTTCTTAGCCAGGACTTGGCTGCACACTGACAGCTTGAATGTAAAGACAGGCTTAAGATGCCATCTCTTGGGTGTCAAAGCAGCTCCTCCTCTGTGAGTTAAGGAAATCACTCACAGAGACTAGGCTAAATTGAACTTCAAGTCAATAAATACGCTATGAAAGAGAAAAGATCTAATTTTCTAACCCTTAGAGGGCTGGAATATTTTATTTCCAGAAAACTAACATGGGCTATCTCATTAGGACTTTTATCTGTGGAAGGCCTCCCTCATCATGTGGTACCTACACCATGCATCTGTATAAATGGTGTAAGCCATAAAAATAAATGTCTCTGGACTGCCAACACAGTATTTCTAGCTACAAAAACCATTAACAATTTAATTCAAAGACACCAGTTGTACACTAGTGTTTAGGACTAAGATATTACAAAGTCCCAAGTGACTGGTTGCCATTCACCCTCACTTCTCAGGATCTCCGGGTAGGAGGAGACCAAACTACATCTGTAACATTTAACCGCCTGGGCCCAAAATTCAAGACTATGCAGGGTCCACAGTCTGGCTTCCTCCGACTTTTGTAGCTCTGTTCTTCACTGTACCCCCAGGAGTCCACAGCTCTGACAAAACAAGCCCGTGTTTGCTGCCTCCACTCTTCCCTCTCTAGCCCTACTCCACCTTAGCCTGTAAAGCCAAAACCAACCTGTCTGCTTTCTACAGAGCTGACAATGATACCTCCCTTCTCTATCTCCATGCCACTGACTCTCCAATGTGGCTGTGCACAGGACACCATTAAGAACACAATGTCCCCAGAGTTAACATTCCTCACACAGGGACTGGTGGTAACCTCAGGTTCTCAAGGTGACTCCTCACTCTGCTGCGTGCTTTGTCCAGACCCCAAGAGTCTCATGCCAACATTCCCTGTGCTTCGTGGCATACACAACAGGGAGAAATGGGTACAGTGGCTGGTGGCAGAGTCATCAAATTTGGTGATAAAAGATCTCTGAACTCTCCCCACCACCCAAGTATGCCAAGGGCCCACTGAACAACTCACTCAGTACCACACCCATTTCCTACACTGAACTCCAACCACATATGAAGTCCTCACACAGCCGAAAAGCAAGTGCTTCATACACCAAACACCATGTATGGCAGCTCTGTCTTGCATACATGTTTTTACAATGTTCACAGTCAATGGAACAAAACAGAAGCACTCTTCCAAGAAACAGAAGTACCAAGAGTCCATGACACATTAGAAAGAGAAACGTCACAAGAACTACACTTTCTCTCCCTTCTTCTTAGCCAGCTACAGGGAGAACATTATTAAACAATCCACTGCAAAATGCTGGCAGGAAGTCAGCTTTGGTTACATTTTCAAAAAATAAATGACTTAAAAGGTGGAAATTTCCTGGGCCTTTTAATTAGCTCCAAAAAGTCTGAGGAGGGCCTCCATGGTGTAAAACCACAGACACCCACAAAGGCATGGCCACAGGTGGGCCTCACTGCTACCGTAGGCATACACACAGCTGTTCAGACTCCAAGTGCAATTCAGCTGCATCACCATGAGCCACAGATCTGAAGACCCCATTCCCAACCATGACCTTCAGGAAGATTCACACTTTTATAAGACAGCTTCCCAGGCAGCTCTGGTCACCTGCCAGATGTGGGAATCACCAACACACCAAACTCTCAAGCCACACAGTGTGTGCACATTCCCTGATATACACAGCTCAGTCTATGCCCATAAATCCCTGTCATGTGTAGAGAGAAGAAAAAGTGGTGGGATACATAAAGTCCAAGCAAAAGAGGTATTTACTGTAGCAGTCACCAGTTTAAGAATTGTTTACATGTAACCTCTAAGTTCCAGAATAAAACCGAGGTCAACGTTTTTAGAAATTTAAGGAAGTAGAATAAATCTTTAATCAAGCAGATCAAAGTTATTACGAATCCCCTGAAAATGTCACTTATTTTCCTACAAGGAAATGACAAAATAATGTTAACGACCTATAATAACATACACGACATAATATAAAAGTACAATTTGTTTCTCCAATTAAGGAAACTATTTAGTCTGTAAACTCAACCTCTAACAGAATTAACAAGGCCTCACATTATTTACTAAGTGGTGATTTACCTCTATGTGAGTGATTTAGAAATCCTCCAAATATCAATATGATTCTACCAGCTTCTTAGGATGGAGCCCATTTGGAGTGTCTTATCGAAATCTTTTTTTTTTTTTTGTATTTCAAAATAGTACCTTAGCTTCTCTTGAGGCGCTTTTTTTTTCTTTCAATTGAGATGGAGTCTCACTCTGTTGCCCAGGCTGGAGTGCAATGGCAAGATCTCTGCTCACTGCAACCTCTGCCCCCTCGGGTTCACGTGATTCTCCTACCTCTGCCTCCTGAGTAGCTGGGACTACAGGCGTGCACCATAGCCCGCCGAATTTTTTTGTATTTTTAGTGACGGGGTTTTGCCATGTTGGTCAGGCTGGTCTCTAACTCCCGACCTCAGGTGATCTGCCTGCTTCGGCCTCCCAAAATGCTGGGATTACAGGCATGAGCCACCGCACCCGGCCTGAGACACTTTTAAGTATGGGAGGTTGCTACAATTATTCAGTCCAACTCTTAGAGACTGACTTTTCTCATTCATTCGTTTCGAAGTTTTGTCTTGTTCTAAAGTATCTTTATTACAGTTTTGGCATATATGAAGCATAAAAACTGCTGATTTTAAGGAGAAACTGACCAAACCAATACCTCTACCATAAAGTGAAATACAAGGAAAAAAATTAGTAGGCCATAATTCTGAACTAAATTAACACACTTGGTATAACAAATGATCATGTACTAAAGTTACAAAGCAACCATCAACAAATTCCAAATAATTAACATTATATAGGTCACGTTCTCTGAACATAGTGCAATCAAATTTTTAAAAAATTCACCTGGATTCTGGATCACACATTCACAAACACACAGCTATAAAGAACATTACTGAAACAATAATTATAGAGAAACTTTTGAGTATGAACTTATCTTAGATGGCATTATTGTATAAATATTAAATTTCTTTGGTATACTAAAAGTATTGTGGTTTGCATAGGAAAACAGCCTAGTTTCAGTGCTAGCGTATTTACAAGTGACGTATCATAATGATGTCTGCAACTTAATTTAAAATGACTCAGCAAAAAGATAAAATAGAAATAGAAAGGAGAGGCTGAGCATGGTGGCTCAAGCCTGTAATCCCAGCACTTTGGGAGGCCAAGGTGGGCAGATCACCTGAGGTAAGGGGTTCAAGACCAGCCTGGTCAACATGGTGGAACCCTGTTTCTACTAAAAATACAAAAAATTAGCTGGGTGTGGTGGTGCACGCCTGTAGTCCCAGCTACTCAGGAGCCTGAGGCAGGAGAATCGCTTGAACCCAGGAGGCGGAGGTTACAGTGAGCCAAGATCAGGTCACTGCACTCCAGCCTGGGTGAGAGATAGAGGCTCTGTCTCAAAAAAAAAAAAGAAAGAAAAGAGAGGGTGAGGGGACAGGGAGAAAAATAACTGCAAATGTGGCAAAACAGTAACAACTGGTAAATCTAGGTGAAGAATATATACTGATTGTGCTACTCCTTCCAATTTTCCAAGTAAAAAGTCTTCGGAGAAAAATGCAAATTCACAATGTTGCAGTTTGCACTTCTAGTTTGAAAACTATCCAGAAGTGAGTTCCATAACCATGGGATACACGTAAAATGACGCTTAGGGTTGTACAAACTTAAGCACATGTATTGTCAAGAAAAACAAAATCAAGGCCAGGCGTGGTGGCCCACACCTGTAATCCCAGCACTTTGGGAGGCCAAGGCGGGTGGGTCATGAGTTCAGCAGTTCAAGACTAGCCTGACCAACATGGTGAAACCCCGTCTGTACTAAAAAATACAAAAATTAGCCAGGCATGGTGGCACACGCCTGTAATCCCAGCTACTCAGGAGGCTGAGGCAGGAGAATCACTTGAACCCAGGAGGCGGAGGTTGCATTGAGCCAAGACTGTGCCACTGCACTCCAGCCTGGGCAACAGAGCGAGACTCCTTCTCAAAAAAAAAAAAAAAAAGAAAAAGAGAAACAGAATCCAATGAGTTTAATTCAACTCAAGAAATGAAGAAGAAAACCACTGAAAGCCCAACAAAGTTGAAGGAAGAAAGAAGAAAAATAAGATAGGAGCAGAAAGAGAAAAACAAACAAAAACAATAACTGAGCAATAAAACCAAAAAGCTGGTTCTTTTAAAAGATTAACGACAGATCTCTAGCACGACTGATTTAAAAAGGAGTAAAGGCACAAATACTACTTAAAAATGTGAAGGAAAGGATAACTACAGATACTCCAGAGTTTTTTTTTTTTTTTGTGACCAGTCAACAATATAGTTTTTAAGTCCTAAGAGAATTCTTTGTCAATCAAATTGAAAGTGAATAAAATATATATTATCCAAATAGACTCAAGAAGAGACAGAAAACCTGGATAAACTTTAAGTTATGTTTTAAAAAGGAAAGTATAGTTCAAAGTCTTCCTCCCATCCTTGAAAGACATCTATCCATATAATACCTATCTTACATAAACTTTCAGAGAATAGGAAGAGGAAAAGCTACCCAATCTATCTTATATAGTATAACCTTGATAGCAAACTTAGAGAAGGACCCTATGACAAAATAAAATTATAGATCAAAATTTATAATCCATTGCACAAATATAAAATACTGAAAAGAATGGGCTGCGGGCTGCATCACTGTTAATTCACCCTGGTATTAACGAGGAATGAACACTCTCTGGGTGATAATCTTAAAACCAGTTATTAATATACTTTACACTAAAATTAAAAAGACAAAAAAACAAACTTTCCTAATAAGATGGACACAGGACAAAATAAAAAGACTAAAGGACATCACGACGGTGAACTAAATGATTTTGTTTGTGGCCTGCCATACTATCTGGAAAAGAATTTAATTTTCCTGCCATGATTTGCTCTTCAAAAATACACATCTGCCATCTGATATTTAATGATCTCTTGATTAAAATGTCATGGCTTGAACATTCAAAGGGGACCTCCAGTTAAACAAGGCAGATCAAACACCTCTGCTCTACCTGAAACTCCTCTAAAATAACCGTAAAAGGAGCAGGGAGATTAAATCGTAAGAACTAAGAAGATAGGAGAAACAACATTGTGAAGCTAGAAAACATGTCTCTGCCAACAGCGAAAGGCCAAAAGCAAACAGCTTCAAACTGAACAACCTCAGAAATGTTCAGGACGGGGGACCTCCAATGTTGGTTTAAGAGAGGAAACAGAGTGCACCGGAAACGGGAAAATGAGTTTAAGATGCCACACTGAAAAGGGGAGACTTAGGTGAAGTCTGCACAACATTCCCCATGGTTCTCCTCAACTTGAGGCTAAGATACCAGCAGCCAAGCCTGCATCCTTGAGACAGGGGCTGATGGTTCTTTAGAGCAATGAGCAGACATTCAAAAACCATGATATTTCAGAGACTGAATAACAAAATAACAAAAACTCACACACAAAGAAAAATAGAGAAAAAGTATGAAGGGAAAAAATACAATATTCTTAGTGAGAAAATAGAAGGTATTACATAAAACATAAAAGAACAGGATACTATTTTAAAAAGTTCCAAGACCAAAATGGAGCTGTAAGATGTGAAGTCTAACATTTGAATGAGTTCTGGAAAGTGAGAACAAAGAAGAAAGGGGAGAAAAATCAAAGAACATTAAAAATATTTTTCCAAAACACAGGGGAAAAAGCCCAGCAAGTATGCAGAACAAAAGATAAAAGGGACCCATACGAAGGCACGTCATTGTGAAATTTCAGAAGAGTGCAAATGAGAAAATCCTAAAAGCTTCCAGAGGTAAAAAACAAAAACAAAACCGTCACATAAGATGAAACTAGAATGGCTTCAGTGGTAATACTGGAACAATCTCTTCAAAATCAAGGAAATTATGAATTATAACCTAGAACTCTATACCCTAGCAAATACATTAATTGGCAGGACAAAATAAAAATGACTTCAGATATGCAAGCTTCAAAAAAACATTAATTTCCCATAATCCCTTTAAAGAAAGCTACAAGAGAATGTATGAAACATCCCCTTTGAGGGTTAAGACCCCAGAGAGAATTTCTCTAAGAATTAGAATTCCCACTAACTGATCTTCAGCAGTTGTTAAATCAACAGAGCAGATGTCACTTTAAGAAACAGAAAATGGGCTAGGTGCGGTGGCTCACGCTTGTAATCCCAGCACTTTGGGAGGCCAAGGCAGGTGGATCACGAGGTAAGCCATCGAGACCATCCTGGTTAACATGGTAAAACCCCATTTCTACTAAATATACCAAAAAAAAAAAAAAAAAAAAAAAAAAAAAAACTAGCCAGGCGTGGTGGTGCACGCCTGTAGTCCCAGCTACTTGGGAGGCTGAAGCAGGAGAATTGATTGAACCTGGGAGGGGGAGGTTGCAGTGAGCCGAGATTGCGCTATTGCACTCCAGCCTAGGCGACAGAGCGAGGCTCCGTCTCAAAAAAAAAAAAAAAAAAACAAAACCACAAAATGCTGAGGTGAAATTTTACACATGTAGCAGACAATTGGTAAAAACTCATTAACGAAGCCCAGGCATTTAAAACTTGGGGAATTACACTACGAACTTCCATTCAGATAAGGTTTCAACTTTTGCATTAGGAAAATATTTGGTTTCATTAAAGCCTATCTGGTTTTCTAAGACATGCACACACATTCCCACTCACATATACCAGGATAAACCTGGGTGATTCATAGGATCAGCTACACATATCAGCATAGTACCCTACCAGCTAAGCGCTGTTATGCTACTGAATGAAAAAATTTACACCCTGCTTTTTAGAGTTCACTGCTAATTTCACCTGTAAGGAGTCACATTAACAAGAAAATCTGTCACATGTGGGAAAGTGCTATACTACACATAAAACTTCCTTATTGTTTTATAAGTCAAAATATCTTCTTTTGCTTACTTTTCACTAATTAACCTTGTTTTAGTCATTTTAGAGTGATTAAGAAAAATTAGGCCAGGCGCGACAGTGGCTCACACCTATAATCCCAGCCCTCTGGGAGGCCGAGGTGGGTGGATCACCTGAGGTCAGGAGTTTGAGACTAGCCTGGCCAACATGGTGAAACCCCGTCTCTGCTAAAAAAAATTTAAAAATTAAAAAAAAAAAATTAGCTGGGGGTAGTAGTGCATGCCTGTAATCTCAGCTACTTGGGAGGCTGAGGCAGGAGAATCGCTTGAACCCGGGAGACAGAGGTTGCAGTGAGCCAAGATCACACCATTGCACTCCTGCCTGGGTGACAAAAGCGAAACTCGATCTCAAAAAAAAAAAAAAAGTGTGAGAATAAGGTTCTCTTACTTTTACCCAGAACCATCCGTCCTGATACCAACATCTTTTAACTGCTGATTTAGTTTTGTCTCTAGCTCCTGTCACAACAAAATCACAAGTCTCTTATTCACTGACAGAGTTACAATCAACTACAAGTCCTCCAAGTGCCCCTGAAAATCAACACTACTATTTTGTTTGTATATTGGTTTTTAAATTACGTTCTAAAAAAGGGTTTCCACCATGTCTAGTATGCCTAACCCCAAAAACCTTGATATTAAGGTTTTAATGTTTGAACAATAAATTTTGTGAAACACGAGCTTAAAACCATGATTTAAAAAGAACACTTCAATGTCTAAAATAATTTACATTATAAGAAAATGTAAAAAACCCGATAGGGCTCTTCTAAAGCACTGACTCTGGTTTTTCTGAATCATTTCTTTGTACGTCACGTGCGCAAACACACACTTTGTTATTTGACAGCACTGAATCCAATGCATTGCTTCTTTTCACAAGGGCCTTGTATCGGTCTATCCCTTCCTCTCGGCAAAGTAAGATTTCGTACAAAAGGCAAAGTTAACATACAACTAAAGCTATGCTGTCTAAAACAGGAGTGTTACAGATGAGGCATTAGCTTAGACCCAGCCGAGCAGCTACTCCTGGAGTAGGCAAGGCAAAGGGTGATTAAGTAATTTCACCTAATGCAAGAACCCTAGCCACTTTCTGCATCCTGCACTCATGCCTTAAGGAACCCAATTTGTTATTTCCTCCTCTCACCAATGACAGCCCTGGCCCCTTGGGTTCTGGAGTACACAGTATTTATCACCAGCTCCCCCTCACCCCGTTAACCCCATGCCAGAAAGAAAAGCATACGCACCTTAAAATCTGTATTATTGATATATTCAAATACCAAAGCTGGTGTCTTTGACTGTAAAAGAGAATATTAATGCTTTTTAAGTACCCAAACAATAATCAATGTAATCTGCTTCTGCCAAAATGGCCCATCCCCAAATCCTACTTAGGTAACACAGGGATTCACTCATCAGGGACAGCCTGTCAAGAAAAGTATTCTCTTGAAATTTTATGATGTCTGGAATTTGCTTCAAAATAACTGGGGATAGTGGGAGGTGGGAAGTGGTGGGAGTATAGATGAAACAAGGTTGGCCACAGCTGATTAACTGCTAAAGTTGGGTCATGTGTGAGGGAAGTTCATTACATTTTTCATTTACTTTTGAAAATGGTTGAAAATTTCATAATAAAAAGTTTTAAGAGGAATGTATTCTCCGAATAACCTACCAATGGCCTTAACCAATCTTCAAAGGTTATGTGAGGATTTACACCCTGCAGTGTTCCAGTCTGCCATATACAAAAAAAGTGACACATTTTCATCTTAGTTTAGCAAGCCAGAATTGCACTTGACAGAATTATCATAGGTTGTGGGAATGTATCATAGGTCTTTTGGGGGTCCAAAAGGAAAATATAACCATCCGTGATATTATCAATAAGCTATACTATAATATTATTGCCTTGGCTAGAGACCATTAAAGATTGTCTCATCTTATCAAGCAGACCTGTTCCTAAAAACTCATATATAATCAAATATTTTTAAAGCACTATAATCTTTAATCCAATGAGTACAAAAGTGCTCAATATCATCTTGTGTAAATCTAGATTTTCAAATAACAGGATTCCTTAATTGAAGTAAAATAACGCTAATTGGCAGTAATAAGCTTTCAAAATTGGGAGAAAGTAGGGACTTAAGGGGTTATAGAAAAAAAAAAACATCTAGAAATCTTTGCTCAAGAACCATGTGAAAGTTACCTAGGAAACAGGCCACAGGGCAGCATGCAGATCTCTGCGAGGACAACTCAGAGTCCAAACAGCAGCCCCAGTAGCAGCCATGATTAAAAATTCTTCACCAGCCCGAAGCTGTAAGGGTTTCATCAGTATTACCACTTCTCTCAACGGGAGAATAGTGGAGTAAGCCTGACCTTCTAATAGACAAGGGGTCCCTGTTGATTTTTGTCATCTTCAACTTACTTGTCTTACATATCATGTAAAACATACACATACTTTAACAAATTAAGTTCTGCTAACTTAAAAAAAGAAAAAGCAAAACAAAAATGCTCCTGGTATACCACATACTGACTCACATTTTAAAAATTATTCTGAAATTCATATTTTTACACGGTGCTCATTTTTCCATGGGTACTCATTTCTAATGCAGCCCATTTTCAAACATGAGGCAGTCCAGAACTAGTCATTATAAAATCAATTTGTGCTAAAAGGACAGGATATCTTAAAGGCCAATTAGTTACAATCTGGCATACAACCATCCCTTCCCTTCTCAGTCTTCTCAGGGTCCAGAAGGAAAAACTTTCCTTATGCTTCAACAATACTGTGTAATCTTGAGTGAATTTTTTAACCTCTGCAAACTACGGTTTTCTCATCTGTACAATGTAAACAATAAATGGTACCCACCCCAATGGACTGTTGTGAAGACTGAGTGACATGGCACAGTTGGGCACTTGGAATGTGCCCAGCACATAGTAAGCACTCAGTGCATGTTAGCTACTATATTATTATGAGGATGTCTTTAGCAGCCAGAAGCAAAAACCTATTTCTTTAATAAACAAAACTATCATGGGAGGATAACAGGGAAATATCTGAGGTACAGCAGGTGGAGAACAGCAATGGGACAAGAAGGGGTACAAAAGTGGGGAGGTGAGGTGTCTCCAACCTTAGCTAATCAAAAACACCTAAGGTTAAGTTACTCCCTAGGGAGAGAAAACAAAATTAAACAGCACATTTAAAATGGCTACAAACTGAGCACTGACAAAAATATTTTAGTCTATCTACACATGTGACATGAGCCCTAATGGCATATGCTGATTTAAGGGAAAGAAGAAGACTTCTTCACAGGGTCAGTGGAGCTGGGACCTGCTCAGGCCTTTATGCCAGGTGTCCACGTGGAGATATTCATTCTTTCCTTGTGTAAACCCAGATTTTCAAATGTCATGCTTACTTAAGTGAGGTAGAGTAACACAAATTGGCAGTAATGAACTTTCAAAACTGGAAAGAGGCTGGGGCTTAAAGGAGACATTCAGCAAACATTTGTGGGCTGAATCAAAATAGTGAAGTACAAACCCAGAAAAGGGATTTTTCTCTGTACACTTTTAGGTTCCATCACAGTGGTGGTAGCTGTTTTATCACTGGGTCACCATGATTTTTTTCTGGTTTTCAAACCAGTCAGTAGTTAAAGACAAACACCACCATCCCCACTGTATCATTACGTGAGGTTCTGTGTGTTAAACAACTCCCATATCCACACCCCGGTCTACTAGTATACTCCCCCAACCATTTGGCACCTACCACGGGGTCCTTTACAGTGTCAATCAGCTTAATGATATTTGTTCCACCACGAAGGTTCTCCAGAATCTTAACCTCTCGTTTTATCTTCTTTTTCTTCACTGGCTTAAATACACAAGAGTAATCAGAAGTGAGACTCCTTTTGAAGTTAATAAATAAAACTTTAAAACAATGTTAGCCAATCAGATGGATAGTACGCTATCTTGTACACTCTGTTGTGTTCAAGAGTGTGCCTAAATTTGAAAAAACTGAAATAGAATGGGCTTGCCCATAAGAACCTTTAACATTAAGTTAAATAATTTACAGACTCATACAGCTTATGTGTCAAGATCTTCTAAGTAGTTACATTGAGGGCACTTAAAAATTTTGAATACCCATATCACACTTTAAAAATAAAACTTGGGCTTACTAGATAACTGCCAAGTGGAAAATATAGCTCTGAACAGCTGTATATCATGCACTCACAAATGGAAAAACTGAAACAAAATGGTGAGACACCTGCTCTTCCAATGAGTTACATGTAATTTTGTCTTTCAGGAGTGAAAGACCAGTTCACTGACATCAGGTTACAAACTTGCTTCCCAGCTGCTGGCTCTCATTTCCTGTCACCACTCCCATTTCCTTAATATCTAGAATCTGAAATCAGCACAGAGCCAGTTAATGTTTTCCAACAGATCCCATTCCTGAAGAAAGAAATGTTGAATCAGGAAAGGAGAAATCAATCTGATACAACAGTGACTGAACACTTCTATCTAACTTTTCAGTCTGCTGGAAAGATTAAAGGCTTTAAAAATAATTACTCTCATTATACATATTACTCCTTGTCTTAAATGAGTTAAAGAGTTTGAAGAAGAATAGAAACAGTTCTGAAAAAGTAAGTCTATCATAATCAAGTATGCTTTATAAGGCACTCAGAATGGTGACCAGAACACAGTAAGCACCTAATAAATGATAGTGTTATTTTCATATTTTTAGTAATTTATTATTTAATAAGTCATTGTGATTCCTCACAAAGTCCTTATGTAGCAGAGTTGAGCTATCTGCCCAAGATCACAGAGCCCATGGCAGAGAGGGGCAGGAATCAAAGCTGGAAGCTGGGCAGTCTGACTGCATGCTATACTCTTGCCACAGTGCTTTTGTTTCCCAAGTGTGGCTAACGGGAGAAACGTAACTAAGGAAAAAAGAGTATTTTATCACTGAGACACTGTTATAATAGCAGAGGCAAAGAGAGGCCAATGGATTTGCCAATAAATAATAAAGCAAGACTTTTTTTGCCTGTGTGTGGGGTGGGGAAGGGGAGGGGAGGGGGAAAATATAACATACACACATGCCAGAGAAACCTTCATCTTTTGTTGGTCACTAAGATACAGCTTTGAACACATAACAAAACAGAGAAGGAGAGGACTATGAAACAAGAGCACTTGCATCACCTATAACAGGGGGCTCAACTGACAGGCTGGGCTCTCGCTGCGTCCTTGTGAGCCAGCTGCCATGATGACACCCGCTCTCCGCCCGCTGTGCCAGGGTTCCCAGGAGAGCAGATGTGGCTGCTGTGCATGTTCCCCGACTCCACTTAGAAACCTTACTCCTTAGTCCCTTTTTCATTAACGAGGGAGCTCGAAACTTTGGGGGAAAAAAGCACTGTACAATCTGATTAAAAAATAGCCAGGGAAGGACACACTACAAAATAACCGGCCTGTAAGATCAAACACGTCAATGTCATTCATGAAACAAACTGATCCAGACTTTTAAAATGTGACAACTGAATGTAACACATGACTACAGCTGAATATCATCATGTAATCTGGGATTTTCCTTTGCTATAAAGAACATTATAAGGATAGCTGGCAAATGTGAATGAGAGCTGTAGATTAGGTAACAGCAATGCATCAATGGTTACCTTCTAATTTTTTAATATGGCATTGTAGGGTTATGTAAGAAACTATTTTTAGGAAATGCATACCAAAGTATTTAGGGATGACTACGATTTACTCTCAAGCACGTCAGGAAGAAATACATAACATAAATGTCATTATATAGGTGTGTGTATATGTACACAAATGTGTGTGTATATGAGAGAGAAAGAGAAGGATAAAACAAATGTTAACATTTGAGGAGTCTGGGTGAAACAGATATGGGAATTCCTGCAACTTTTTTTAAGTCCAAAATTATGTTAAGAAGTTAAAAGAAAAATAAAAACTGGCTTTTTTTTTTTTTTTTTTTGAGACGGAGTCTCACTCCGTGGCCCAGGCTGGAGCACAGTGGCGCAATCTCAGCTCACTGCAAGCTCCGCCTCCCAGGTTCAAACAATTCTCCTGCCTCAGCCTCCCAAGTAACTGGGACTACAGGTGTGTGCCACCACGCCCAGCTAATTTTTTTGTATTTTTAGTAGAGACGGGGTCTCACCATGTTGGCCAGGGTGATCTCGTCCTGACCTCAGGTGATCCGCCTGCCTCAGCCTCCCAAAGTGCTGGGATTACAGGCATGAGCAACTGCGCCCGGCCAAAGCTGGCTATCTTATACTTATAAATTCAGCCAATGCTACCAGTTTAGTCAATGCCTTTCGATATAAGAAAATTCTAGATTTGTCATCCAATACTGGAAAGCAGCTATAGATCTATAAGAGTGGTAACAGAGAGGAAAAAAACCCACAGCCAGAGGCCTATATCCACCAAAAACCCTCTTCTAATTCTAACAGTACTCCTAACTCCTTACAGGCACAACCCATTAGTTGCCTTTATGACGCTGCCCCATGTAAAGTCTTGCATTGGTCTCCGGTTATTCAGCAACAGGTCAGGCCTGGACAACCCAGTTAAGATGAACCTCCCTCTCAATACATCTAAAGGTATCTGGCATAGCAACTGAAGCATATTTTGCTGCCCACCAGGTGTCTAACTTAAACTTCCCAAACTAGAGACTGGGAATAGCAGGGCAACTCTGAAGGTGGCACAAAGGAGTCCCAAGTCACAAAGGCAGCTAGAGTCCTCACATGCAAACAAAATACCAAGAAATGATAAAAAAGGAAGGTGACAGACCCACAGTCCAGGACACTTCCCTCCAAACCATCAAAAACTAAGCTACAGGTAGATCCCTTCAGCCTCAGTTTATTCCTCTGAACTGGAGAGATGCTCGAGAAACTAAACCAATGAGCTCTGAGGAGCTGAAAGTGATCCTTTTAATGTGAATCAGAGATAAAAAGTTAGGATTTATGAGGGAGGATTGTTGGTATCCTAAGGAAAATAAACCTAGTTTTACAGAAATAAGGATGCCTTGACTCTCCTGTCCAGAGCCTGTAGCCATTCACCACCAGTTACACAAAATGGAGAAAATACATATATTTCCACAACGATCTCACAGTTTCACTCTGCATGCTAGAAGAAGTCTCCGTCTGGGGTTCATTTATTCCAATTCAGAGACTATCTGTTTAAAAGATTCAAACTCAATCAGTTTAGCTATTGTCCAAACCAATAAAAAAATTTTTTTTTAACTTGAAATCTAGTAGACAAAGTGGTGAAAAAAAGAACAACTGAACTGACAAATTCAAGACAGGCAGGAACATATCTACAGCTCCTAGCTCTCAAATTTGGGGTTACTTTTACTCTACTACCAAACTAACAAGTGCTCCACCAAGATATTAATTTCATCACCTGCAATGAACAATGGTTGCCAAGAATGTAGAAGGACAGAGTAAAAAGAAAGTTCAGCCTGGATGATGGCACGTAATTCACTACCCTGGTGGCATCCCTAAAACTCACTGCACTTGACCTATATAAAAATATTATCTGAGCAATGTTATTTCATCACAGAAAACTTTTCCTCTAATCTTTCAAGTTTCATCACCCCAATTACATGATCTACTCCTTGAGGGTAACTGTTTACTCTCAGGAGTTAAAAAAAATTATTTAAAAAGGCAAGGCATAAATTCAAAATGATAATCAGATACTATCTCACACAAGTCAGGATAGCTGCTATCAAAAAAACCAGAAAAGAAGTGTTGGCAAGGATGTGGAGAAACAGCCACACTTGTACACTGCAGTCAGAATGTAAAATGGTATAGCCACTATGGAAAGTTCCTCAAAACATTAATCATAGAATTACCTTATGATCCAGCAATTCCACTTCTGGGTCTATACCCAAAAGAAGTGAAGCAGGGTCTTCAGGAGATATTTGTACACTCATATTCAAAGCAGCATTATTCACAATAGCTAAAACATGGAAGCAACCCATCCACTGATGGATGAATGGCTAACAAAATGTGGTATATACATACAATGGAAAATTATGTAGCCTTAAAATGGAAGGAAATTCTGATGCATGCAACAGTGATAAACTTGGAGGACATTATGCTGTGCAAAATAATCCAGCCACAAAAGGATAAATACTGTACAATTCCACTTATATGAGATACCTGGAGTAGTCAAATTCATAGAAACAGTAAGACGGTTGTTGCCAGGAAATGGGGGAGGGAGAAATAGGTAGTTACTGTTTAATGGATAGAGTTTCCATTTTACAAGATGAAGAGTTATGGAGATGGACGGCAGTGATGGTTGCACAACATTACCCACTGAACTGTACACTTAAGAATGGTTAAGATGGTAAATTTTATGTTATTTTATTTTATTTTTTTTTAGACGAGTTTCACTTTTGTTGCCCAGGCTGGAGTGCAATGGTGCAATCTCGGCCAACTGCAACCTCTGCCTCCCGGGTTCAAGCAATTCTCCTGCCTTAGCTTCCTGAGTAGCTGGGATTACAGGCACCCGCCACCATGGCCAACTAATTTTTTGTATTTTTAGTAGAGACGGAGTTTCACCAGGTTGGCCAGGCTGGTCTCGAACTCCTGACGTCAGGTGATCTGCCCACCTCGGCCTACCAAAGGGCTGGGATTACAGGCGTGAGGCACCGCGCCTAGCCTATGTTACATGTATTTTAACACAATTTTTTTTTAAAGGCAAGGCATAGAGCAGACCCTTTGAATCTCATTAGGAGAACACTACAACCCTTTCTACTATTGGTTCTGCCTCTAACATCACTCGCATGACCCAAATGTAATATTGTTATTACTACTATACTTTATTGATCTCTCAGGCCAGGCACTGTTTTAAGCACATTTAACCGTCTTAGATGAGCACTATTAACAGTTTTACTTGAGGAAGGACACCAAGGCACAGAGAACTTAAGTAACTGTTTGACGTCACAGAGCGTCTACAGTTGGAGCTAACACCTGAAACCAGGCAGACCACTTCCTAGGCCATACTCTCTCAGGAAAGAAAAGCATTTTGTAGATTACTAAAACATGACAATCAATCTCTCTACCCATCTATCTATAGTTTATCTGACTTTCCTAACAATCCTGTGACTTAAGCAGGAAATGTATGCTTATTTCATAGATGAGAAAACAGTCAAGTGGGTATCAATGAAGAAACTAGTTCTGGAACTCAAGCCTTCTGCCCTCTCATTTACAGCACTTCCTACACTACACCACCCTGATGATGAGATGGTAGATCCTGAAATTAAACTCTAGAAACTATCTGGAGCCCTGCTTTATACATGAAAATGGGCACACTATATCAAGATATTCTTTTCACATGTGGTTTGCTCTCAAATAAACTCATATATTAAAGGGATAAAACTATTAAACTATTAATCCCGAAATCTGCCAAGTGATCATGCTGAGACTTGGAGGAACTCTATGGGTTAAAAAAAAAAAAAACCATAAAAACACTATTTACTGAGGCTTCAAGAGAATAAAGCAGCATTTCATTGAAGCATTAAACATGCTGCTGTGGATACTAATCATAGAGAACGCCTGCCTGGGTCCCTATAGCCCTCGAGGACTCTTGGATTCCACACTTCAACTAGCAACTTACCAAAGTCAAACACTTCCTTTGAGAAAAATAACTCCAAAAATCATTAGAAACGAATTAACTTCATTTGACTCCTGGTGAGTGTTCCTCAATTCTTCCAGTACAGATCAGGACATCACAAAGTCAAACATCCAGCTAATGTCCTAATTATGCTCCTCGCATCTACCAAGACTTCATGACAGGTACACAAGGTCCTACACCGAGTGCTTCCACCCCCTGACTACATGACGCTGAGCATATACATCCTTTCTCTGGGTCTTGGTTGATTTGTAAAAAGGGCCTGGGTTCTAATGGTTTCTAGGTTTCTAAGTGCCCGCATTCTGCGATTCTGTTTGACACAGGTTAACTACACTCTTAATCTGTGACTCCCCAGTACAATGCTGGAAACGGCCTAGTTCACATATAATTTTTAACATTATTTTTAATGTTAGCAATACTTTAGTGATACTGTTTGCACTACTTTTATACCATGAGACATTAGTGAAAATCAGAATGTACCAAAAACTTAGATAAATACCACTAATGTGTTGTTTCAGGAAGATGTCTTCATACACATGCCTAAATTTAGGAGGGTAAAAAACCTACCACAGGAGAAATAAAGAGGAAATAAAGAGGAAAGCACCATTCTGATATAATATAAAGATCACCAGCTCACGATGAAGCTACTAACAAAGATGTATAACCAATGCCCATCCTTTTAACACTACCTACTGACAACACAGAACTTAAAAAATATCTGCAAGTATGCTAAACATGCTTAAAGAGCAAAATTTTAATACCACCACCCTTTGTTTAAAGCTAAATAATTAATATCTAGGGGAAAATGGATAGTCAATCTGTTTATAAAATAAGACCTCTAAGAGGAAGCCTTATATGGGAATTTCCAAGTCATTTTGCACTGGTTCAAAATGCTGTTTTTTAAAAATAGTGTTGCTCTTAACTTTTATTCAAGAAATAGCAGTTTAATTTGAAAGATCCCAAGGACCCCAAGAAGTACTGAAATCTACACACACAGGCAGTATTCATAAAATGCTAAAAGTTGTCAAAGGTGGCCACTTTTACTTCTGTGTACACTTTTCTAAGAGGTACTACAAAGGAAATGAAGAACTGATTTTTCAAAATCAAAAGATGAAACTTTTGGCACTAATGTAGCTTTCTGCCCTGCCATATAAACGCTTACCATTTTCCTCCTCCTTTTTCTCTTTTCTCCTCAAAACAATTTGTCAAAAAAAGATACAACCTCTCTATTGATTGGAAAGTTTTAAGATTTTAGCCACAGAATACCACTTGGGGATAGACAGTAAAATTTTGCTCACCAGTTTCTAAATTCCTAAAACTTTTTAGCAGCTCATTTTTGATCAATACCTGGAAATCCACTAATGCAAATTAAATGATATAAAATTCCTCTGTAGTCACTCATCATCCACCCATTCTCACATATATTGCAAAGAACTGATACGAAACGTTACTGACTACAAAAGTAAGACCACTTGTCCTCAAGAAAGCCACCCTCTATCTTGGTCACTATGTGCATAATACAATCCTGCAGCTAAAATACAGCAGGCTTTTACAAAAAGGAAGGCTGTTCTAGATTCTTCCAAGTTATGAGGAGCTGGTAGTCTGTTAAGGACCTAATTTCCTATGACCAAGCACCACAATAGTAGCTATTAGTCATAACTTCAACTTATTTGAATAAAGAAACACAACTTTGGCTAAAGACCTTGTTACCCTGTTCTTTTTAAAAAGTAATACTTTTAATTCACAAAACAACAAAACCACAATAATGCCATTAGTGATATATTACCCCATCCTTCAGACAGGAACAAAATCTGGATAGAAATGCCACCGGGCTTTAAAAAACATAAAGAAGTGAGTCTAATTTTCACTAGTGGTTTAGGCTGCACTGTGAAAACAAACAACATCAAGAAGAAACAAGAAACATTTCATTAACTAGGGGCCTCCCAAGTCTGATTCCAGGACACTGGTACCTGTTTCTGTGCTCAACGTTCAGATCCTACAATCCAGTGCTAAAATGAACAGTAAGAGATATGAAGAAATAGGAAACAGGAGTTCTGGCTAATGGTCATTCAACATAATGACATTAGGTAAGTTTCTTTGTGCCTAGGTCTCCCATTTGTAAAGATAACCTGCAGCAGCTTACATACTGGGTTTCCTAACATACGCCAAGAATCTTTAAAGTAGGGGGAAAGCTAGAGCCTATAAAGCTCTTTGGATGATGAAGCAGCAATGCGATGCTCTCCTAAATGAACATGCTGGTATTTATACACACACCTGAATGCTGTTCCTTTAAAAAAAAAAAAGCACCACAGAAAATCATACACTTATTCTAAAAATGCTGCCATAGCACAAAAGTTCAGACATTTTTCTGGAATTGCTTTAGAGTCAGCAATTCATTCTTCTGAATATACAGCAGTGGAATATGGATATTCCTAATTTCAATTTACGTTTTGCTTATTTCTTAGATTTGAAGCAGCTTATTGAAAACTTATGCTTATGTACATAAAGCTAATGTATGGCTTTCTAAGGTAATTTTCCTGTGACTTAAAAAAAAAAAAAACCACCTTGTGACTTCATAAATGCAATTCATATTTAGGGAAGAGAGGAGTCACACTCAGTATCTTCAACATCAGTTCCTCACTTCTCAGCCCCAGTGTGTCTGAGAACACAAATAACTTTGCTTTTTCTCTTTACTGCAATTCTGCTCCTTTATCACTAGGCTAGGATGTTTTGAGTGATGGAGTTAATCATTTTTTCTGAAAGATGATTACCAGAAAGCATAAGCCTGACCCCTCACATTAAACAGGGATTACCTATACCAGCTGCCCTAGCACACAGAAACAGCTTTTCTATACCACAGCTTTTCTAGTCCACAGAACCTCTGCAAAAGGGCCACAATGGAAATCACATGTATGCAAAGTGCTTACATCACTCTTCGGTCTTCTCAATCTCTCACTAAATGACTTGTATCCACATGAAATGATCCGGCAATAACGAGGACCCATCACAGATTCTAAGAACTACTTTTTACTATACCCTATAAAACATTATTAAAGCTACACAATCAGTTACCAGAAGGAAAATTTAGCCGACCCTTCATGCTAATTAAAATCATCTTCATCAAAGAGATAACGTCATATCATTATCAAATTCATTGCTAAACCATATATTAAGATAGTTTTGTTCCAATTATTACTTTAGTAATTATACATGAACTCTTCTATATTTTTACTAGCTTATAAGCAACAATGGCTCTCTGGCTTCCCAACAAGGCTTCTCAGCACTACTGGTGCACTGTATCCATACCACCTGAAACTTTACTGCCAAAGGAAAAAAACAAGTGATTATCCGCTAAGGAATTTCCTTCCACTTGGGCTTGAAATACATTTCTGAAGTCGCTCCAATTTTTTCCAACTTTCTTTCTGGAATAACATACAGCATGCACCAAGAGTAACAAACACAGTGCTCAGGGAGCCCTTAAATTGAGAGTGGCTTTTCTGTCTTTTGATTACCTATTTATTTTCTAACAAACGGAGCCCTTTTGGAATTTTTGCTTTAGGGAATTTACATTTTAGAACAAACACTTTACTGAACTTAGATTTGTGATGTCTGCACATTTTCTTGAAAGTTCATGGGAAAATGGGGTGGAAAAAGAAGTAATGAAGGGACATCAGATAAATAAAATTTGAGCGTCGGCTGGGCACAGTGGCTCACGCCTCTAATCCCAGCAACTATAGGAGGCCTGCAAGGAGTCCTTTTGGAGGACTGCTTGAGCTCAGGAGCTTAAGACCAGCCTGGGCAACATGACCAGACCCTGACTCTACAAAAAAATTTTAAAAATAGCTGGGCGTGGTGGCATGCACCTGTAGTCCCAGCTACTTGGGAGGCTGAGATGGATCACTGGAGCCCAGGAGTTGAAGGCTGCAGTGAACTATGATCTGCACTCCAGCCTGGGTGACAGAGTGAGACTCTGACTCTAAACAAATAAATTAAATTAAATTCAAGCTTGCATTGCCCATTATAGAATGTGACTGGGGTACCTTACAAACTTTTGCCCTGTGGGGAGGAAAATGTTACATACCACTCATAGGACACTCACCTTCAGGATTTTTACAACCACTCTCTCATTGTTGGTGATATTAATGGCCTCAAATACTTCACTATATTTTCCCCGACCAAGTTTTCGAACCAGTTGGTAATCATCTTGATTACTGTAAAAGGAAGACACACACATAAATGCCAGGACTGGGGGTTAACCAAGCCTATGCCCACTGTACACGTCATTCAGCCGCTTCCACCAGGCAAACACTTGGAAGTGTCTATACATCACGTCACAACTCATTCCCTAAATGAAAGCCACGACATAATCTTGGCTCCCTTCACTCTGCAGAGCTCCTAACCTAATTGGTCTCTCCTAACTTGGGAAGATGGGGCAGGAAGGCAACGCTCTGAGCCAATCCAGAGGGGCGAGCAAAGCACCCGTCCTGAAGGCCTAGAGGGTGCCCCCTGTGCCCCGCGGCTCCCCAGCACCTGCTTCTCGTTTCACATCTTCAAGGTAGACAATGCCTGTTTTAAAAATCTGGACGTCTTTAAGAAATTTCCTCCCACCACCTCATCTCAGAAAACCTAAAAGGCAGGGCATTTTAATAGCTCCAAAGGACAGCTGTTGACTTCCCACCCCAGTGGAAACCCAGAAGTGTGAGGAAGGGCAGCTCCCTCACTTCCACCCGGCGTCGATCCCTGGACCCCACACTTCTCCCCGAGTAAAAAAGCATTCCTTGGGGGAAAGGGGTGCGCAAAGCGGGGAGAAAGGGACGAAACGGGGGTAAAGGGGAGGGAAGAGGAAGACGAGGACATGTGCGAGAGCGGGACCTCTGCCTCCCTGCGGGCCCGCGGAGGGGTCGGCGGGAGACACCACCGGGCCCGAGTGCGGTTCGCAGGGGGTGGCCGGGCGGGGGCAGGGATCAGCGGGCCCGGCGGGGGGCGGCGACGGCTTTACCCCCAGCTCGGGACGTGAGCCTCGTAGTCCCAGTACTCGCGGCTCCTCAGACTGTTCACCTCGGCGTAGACCCGGGCCCTGCTGCCCGCGGCCGGGCCGGGCATGGCGGGCGGGACCGGGGGGCGGCGCGGGGCGCAGAGGGTGGCGGCGGCGGCGCGGCGGGGGACGCGGGGCGTCGGGCGGAGGAGGCAGCGGGCCGCCGGGCGCTGGAGGAGGAGGAGGAGGAGCGCGGCGGCGGGCGGCCGCGCCAGGCCGGGCCCGCGGGGGCGGGCGGGCTGGGGGCGCGGGGGGCGCCGGCCGAGCCGGCCCGGCCCTGGAGCGGCCGGCGGGGCGGCGGGGCGGGCGGCGCTCGCGCTCCGCGGCGGTCTCCGCTCGGCTCGCGGCCCCCAGGAGGCGGCGGCGGCGGCACCGGCAGCGGCAGCCACCGGCCGGGAAAGGGGCAGCGGCGGCGGCAGCGGAGAAGAAGGAGGAGAGGAGGAGGAGGCGGAGGAAACCCGGAAAAGGGGCCGCGCTCACTGGGAGCGGCCGCCGCCCGGCCTGGGGCCGCCCAGGCTCACAGCGCCCCCTGGAGCGCGGGGGGACCCGCCGGGCGGTGCCGGCCCCGCCCCGGCCCCGCCCCGGCACGCCCCGCCGCCTACCTCGCGCCCTCCGCCACCCTCGCCCTCCCGCCGCCACAGGTCGGACTGTCCAAATCGCCTCACCCTCGGGCTGGCTTGACTTCACGCCACAGGAGCCCCCCCTTCCACTGGCCGTTGCCCTAGAGCCCTCGCCCGCGACTCCCGACCCTTTCACTGTCCTTGGAGACCCTATCCCCAGCCCTGCACTCACCCAGCTTTTACCCACCCAACACATCCCATACTGACCCTATTCTGACCCTCCTGTCACCCAAACTGTCAAGTCCCTCCCCAGGGCCTCACTCAAACCTCAGAACCTCCCCCACCTCAATACTTCTCCCTTCCCCCGAGACATACCCCTCCTTCCCCCTCTGGACCCTGCCCTGTTAGGGTAGACTCCTCAGTCCCCAAGGCTTCCTACCCCCGTCATTCAGAGTGCTCCTCACAAAACCTTTCTACACTTCCCCCAAATGCCCTTCCAGAGCCTTCCCTGAATATCCACTTTGGTCACTTGGTTAAGCTGGCATTGACCAGGTTGTGCCACTGCAAAGTTACAATTTTTCCCTTTGTGATTAATAAGTCATTTGTGGGGAGAGACTTTGAGAGTGTAAATCTCC